>NW_011332701.1:0-358759 GCF_000001405.40 Homo sapiens
TGTAGATCTACATAAGCCAGGCCAGGGCACAAACGTTACAGAATGGCAAGGAGGCGGCACTGCCTTCTCTCTACATCAGCAGCAGGTGCAGAGGGACGCATGACTGCAAAGATCTCAGGCCTGAACTAGACCCGCGTTGCCACCCACATACTCTCCTCGTCACTCCCTGGGTTCAGAGGGCTCCACAGCTGTGCAGTGTAAAGGTCCTCCCAGTCAAAGGGGCCCCTCTGTAGGCAGGAAACCCAGATCACCTCCCAAAGAGCCATTCCTATCACTGCATCTGTCAGAAGCCAGAACCAGTGGGAGAAAACTGTAGACATGAGGATTTACTATGAATGAGTTGCCTTACATGACTGGGGGCCTGAGCAGGACACCCTACCTCCACCCAGAGGGCAGGCCATCGTACCCAGAGGCTGCCAGAGGGAAGGCAGATCCAGAGAAAGGACCAGCTCCCACCCAGGCAATGTAGAGGGCTATAGGTTGGTGTGGCTGGCTCCCAGTACAGGGAAGGAGGGAGTTGAGAGGGACAGCTGCCACCAGTGGCAAAGAACAGCACTGTCAAAGGCACAAGAGCCCCAGCGTCGTGCTGAAGAGGTGGCACCACATCACTGAAGATGAGGGTGTGTCTCGAGTGGCAGGTGGTCTGGCAGGAGGGAGGTGCACAGCTAGGGTCTGCGACTCTGAGACATGCAGCAAGCATGGGGTGTCCAGCTCCCTCAGTAACAGAGTAGCAGAGGATGGCAGGCCAGGGAGGAGGCAGACACAGAGTTATTCCAGGACAATTAATCTACTGCAGTTAGTTCACTTTCCTATTCATCTGCAAACACTTGCTAAATATCTTTTTGGTGCCAGGTATAACGCTAGTGAATGAGGCTACAAACACAAACGGCTGGAATTCCCAGACAGCTGCAGACACTCTTGACAATCCGCTTGTCCAGTGACTTGGTGGATGTAGGTGCACAGTACTGTGGGACCCAGAGGGCAAGCGAGGCTCTGCACCAGGAAGCACAGAAGCATCGAGGAGAAAGCGCTGAGGTAGGGATGGAGAAAGGCTTTGAAGCCTCCTCGGAGATCTGTTTTGTGAGTTCTGGGCCTCCAAGGCAGAAGCCAGAAACACACTTTTGCCACCTGCATTGCAGCTAGAACAGGCATGGGTTCCTCCAATCAGACACACCTGCTCCAGAGGCCAGTCTGGAGAATTTGGAGGAGAGGTGTGACAAGGCATACTCAAGAGCAGGCTGACAGAAGTCCCTGGACTCAGCAGCCAGCGTCGGGGCAGGGATCCTGAGCACTCAGGGCAAGCTGCAAAAGCTGGGGGCTTGTGGGCAGCCGCCCCCCATTCCCAGTGTGCAGTTGAGAAATTCTCAGAAATTCCAAGAACTATGTACTATCCCTAGATAAACTCCTTCTCATCTTAAACTAACTAAAATAGGTTCTGTTCACTGCAACTGTTGTTTGAAATGTTGATACCACTAGGTGCATTACAAACAGAATGATTTCCACTAAAGGACTAGGAATAAAATCAGTACCTTCAAAACCAGTTGATGGATGCGGAGGTATGATGTATCAATCTAAAGAAGTCAGGAAATGATGGTGAAAAAAAAGAATTAGCAAGGAAAAAGCATTAAAAAGTGAAATGATGGTACTTAGTTCAAGTCGATAAGTCATTACAATAAATGTAAACATGTTAAACTATTCTCTTAAAAGATAATCTGCTTTGAATTTTAAAAATCTACTTGCATGCTGCTTAAAAATGCAATTGGAAAAAGAATTTAAAATAAATAAATAAAGGACTAGAAAAAGATAAACCTGGCAGAGGCTCAGAGCAGAGATGGAGACCTCACACAAGGTAAAAGAAACCAGTCGCTGTGAAGTTACTAGATAATGAACTTTTAACACCTAATATGATCACAAAGTAAATAATGCAAAAACGTGCTGAAGTGCAAGGAGAAACAAACCAATTAACAAAGTTCTCTGCTGTATCAAAACAGATTGATTTAAAAGAGATAAGTGAATCTAGAGGATAACAACACAACGACATGCTTATGTATGTTAATGCTCACATTATATGAGCAATATATATGTATGTTAACTGCTCACAGACACTGAGAAAATTTGAACATTTCATCTCCTTTGCTGCAGGATTTCCTTTTTGCTTATTTTTTAAGGAACAAAATATTATAAATAAATGTGAAGCTCCTTTCCTCCCTCAGGCCCCAGGATTGTTTTCATCCTTCCCTCTCCTCAGGGAGCTGCCTTCATGAATTCAAGTCGTAACCACCTATGCAGCAGCCCACTGTGGGAGGAGCTGGGGCAGGATCCTGGCTCCTGTGTGTCAGCAGGGGCAGAAGCCAAACACGGAGTGACCGAAGCAGCCGCAGTGTGCAGAAGCTGACATGCAGCTTTTTAGGCGTGCAGCTGGAGAAAAACAGTCACATGGTAAGTCAGATGATGTTTTGGGGGTTTCTAAGCATTAAACCCTATAGACCATATCTTCTAACCACCTGCAGCGGAAATCAGGCTCTCGAAGAAGAAATAGCTGTACTCCCATTTTCACTGTAGCATTACTCAGAATAGCCAAGACATGGGAAAAACTTGCGTGTCCACTGATGGACATGTGGATAAAGAAAATGTGGTATATGAATATATATGCAATGAAAGGTGATTCGGACTTAAAAGAGCAGAAAATCCTGCCATTTGTGACAACATGGATGAACGCAGACGGCATTATGCTATGTGAGATAAGCGAGTTACAGAAGGAGCAACACCGCCTGATTCCATCGTGTGTGGAATCTAAAATCGTCACGCTCACGGAAGCAGAGAGTAGAATGGTGGCTGTCGGGGGTGGAGGGAGGGGGATGGGCAGAGGCTGCTCAATGGGTAGAGTTTCAGTTATCCCAGATGGGTACATTCCAGGGGCCGTGGTATGACACAGTGCCTAGCGTTAATATGGTATCATGCACTTCAAAGTGTACTAAGAGGTCAGATGGGTGTTAAGTGTTCTTACCATGAAGCACACATATATACACATAAGCACATGTATGGAGATGATGCATGCGTTCAGTACCTTGATTGTGGTGATATTATCACAGGTATACACATATATGTCCAAATTCATGAAAACTTATACATTCGATAGGTGCAGATTTTTGTCAATGACTTCAATACAGCTTTTTAAAAAATGTGGTGAAAAGACACTCAAAGGAAAAGAGGGGAGAAGGGAGTGAGGGAAAGTGGAGAGACCTCGACGCCCACCCACTTCGCAGATCCCTGCTCCAGGGAAGGGCCACATGTCCCCTTCCCACCCAAGGATTGTGACCATCGCTGCATGCCGCTTCCAGCCTGAGGCAGCAAACCCCAGTGGCTCCCCATGTCCCTCCCGTGATGTGGCCACTGCAGACACCTCATGCTAGCGTGGCACAGTCACTCCGGGGAGATGCATGGGCTTTGAAGAGCTGTGTGTCCACCTCTGCACCCTGTGGCTGCTGTGGTCATGCTGTATGTGGCTTCTGCCCCTGTGGACACACAAGAGCCAGCATCCCACCCTCAGCACCCCCACAGCGGCCACTGCAGAGATGGATGGGACCCACATTCATGAGGGCAGAGATGGTCCTGAGACTCCAGGGGAAGAACAGAGACCTGCCTGTTTATCTGTAATGTTGTATTTCTTGATAAAACACACAACAAATTCTGAGGCAAAGAGGATAAAATGTTGACACTTTCTCACTTTCTGTGGTGAACATATGGATATTTGTTGTACTATTGTCTCTGATTCCATTTTTTAAAGTTAAATTTTAGGTAGTCATAAAAATTTATGGAACAAAACTGTGAAAGTGTCCTATTCTCAGAAAAAGCAGCAACTTAAATCATCAATGCTAGGGCTCTTCTAATTCAGTCCCAGAAAGGATCTGGGTGCAAACCTCAGAGCCCCCCAGAGGTGGGGTTCAGCTGTGAGCGCAGGGTCAGAAGGAAGCACTGATGGAGGCTGTGTCGGGGTCCTGCGCTCGGTCCGCAACTGTGGCCTCATTGGCTGGGACAGCGCGGAGTCTCCTGTGGACTGTGTTTCCCTGGAGAACAGGATGAATGCACAGGATGAAGCTGAGGATTGGGTAAGGGCAGCCCTGCCAGAAGGCATCAGCCTGCCTGGGGCGCAGGGAGAGGTGGAGCCAGCTGGGCCACAGCCGGGACATTTGACAACAGCCGCAAGAGTTCTCCAATTTGGAACTTCACCAAAAAAATAACAGCCACCGAGTTAGTTCAGGATTACCACACCCAGGCCCTGGAAGGAGAGCAACAGCCAAGCAACTAGAGGGCCAACCTAGGCAGAAACTAAATTCCAGGCTGCAAGCGAGGGATGCAGGTTCCCAGATCCGCCTAAGGTCGGCGCTGCATGAGCCTGGCCTGCCCTTCTCCCCACACAGCCAGGCCTGCTGCTCCAGCCCGGGGGTGCCATTGTTCAGAATACTATACAGGGCGGTGGGATGTCTTGGGACCCCCTTGCATGGGATGTTCCCTGCGGGGAAGGGGGAGACCCTCAGAGTCAGAAGAACAGAGGGCTCTCCCCTGTCCTGTGTCCTGCCATGGGGAGTGCTCACCAGGCTTCTGGCCTGTGCCCTGCACACCTGGGACCTCAAGTATTTGTGAGAGGACCCCAGAGACTTGTGTGCAAGCCCCTGGGCCTATCTTTACTTTGCCACACCTGGATTCCCAGTTCCTGCCCTGAGCCAAGCAATCAGTGACGGCAGAAGTCACGCCAGGAACAGGCTCATCTGCCCAACTAAAGGTCTTCGATGTGTACTTCCAATCCTGGCTGGGGCTCAAGACCACACAGAGAATGAAAGATCTTGCCCAGGCCAAGCACTAGGAGACACACAGGCTGGTTAGAATAGCTTTTGCCTCCGCCGCAAATGAAGATGCAAGTCTCTATCTTTTGATGTCTCACAATTTTCGAAAGGAAGGAAGGAAGGAAAGAAGGAAGGAAGGAAAGAAGGAAGGAAGGAAGGAAGGAAAGAAGGAAGGAAGGGAGGGAGGGAGGGAGGGAAGGAAAGACAGAAAGGAAAGAAAGAAAGAAAGAAAAAGAAAGAAAGAAAGAAAGAAAGAGAGAGAGAAAGAAAGAAAGAGAAAGAAAGAGAGAAAGCAAGCAAGCAAGCACAGCCTTTTCTGGGAGGGGTGGCAGCTCTCAGTGGGGCTGACCTCGAGATCACCAGTCACCCCAGGACGTGCTGTCCACGGCAGCTGCAGAGCCTCGGCTCCCAGCCTGCAGTCTGGGCTCTCGGCACTCCCCACCCAGCTGCCCTGGGCTCTGCTCACTTTCGTCCTCTACACCTGTGAGTGCAGCAGAGGGGCAGGCTTCATCCTCTGCTGCCTTAGGAAGGGAGGGTGAGCCCCAGGCTATGTCCAGGCTAAAGTTGAGCCGTCGACATGGACATGTGCAACTCACCATGGTAGCAGTGAACGGGATGTTGTCAATCAGGGACGACGCCAGGGCTGAGACCCACACCACCAGGACAATGGCGGCTATGAGGCGCTGCTCCTCTGGGACCATCTGGAAGGAGGACAATAGCAGCTGCAGTGTTCCATCGCATGCACTTAGGGTCAGACCCACCAGCCGCGAGACTCAGAGGGGCCCGAGGGTGTTAGTCCTTCCTCTTACCCATCACGAGACCAAGGCAGACATAGGTGTGCAAGCCAGGGCCACACCCACACCAGGAGCCTCTGCTGGGTTTCTACCAGCAAAGCCCAGCCATGCCCAGACCTGCCAGCCCCCTGGATGGGGAGGCAGAGTGACCCTGCCCCTCATCCCCATGTGGTGGCTGCGCACACTGGTCACATTGACCTGATGGCCCGGCAGACCCCTGGGGCTGGGGCGCCTGCAGCACTCATTTACTGAGGCTGGTGTCAATCCCACTCCTTCTCAGACAGGCTTTAAATAAAGGCTAAAAGCAAAAGAGCAGGCATCTGTAATTACATATTCTTCGGAAAAAGTCTCCCTTCATCTCTGGGCTGCACAGGATAGAACAGGTTCCCTGCTGTGCCTTTTTACATAATTAATGGGACCTGTTCTTACCAGAGTGCTTTTTTTTTTTAATTTTTTTCACAAAATCAAAGAACAGTGGCTGGAGTGCCTTCTATTATAGCATTTATTTTACCTTTATTAGCAAAGCAGTTTGTTCTCCAACATATTCTATTAAGTGGAGATGTGCCAATGCCTAGAAGAAAGGATGTGTGGTGAGAATCAGTTTAGAACCGAAAATATATGCAAGATTTAAAAAAAAAGTCTTGAAAATGAAAAGACGTGAACATAAGGTAGGCCCAGATTCCTGCTTCTTATAAAAGATCAGACTCAAATACACAGTCTATAAATAATTTACTATCATATATGCACAACGAAGATTCATGGAGAAAAAGTCCAACAGCAGTGGCAGAAATCCCTCATTGATTTGAGTTAAGGTCCATGTTAAATTTAAATCCGAATGGAAGACTCTCTTTAAGACCTGTGTATAAAGATACTGTTCAATCGTACATAATGAAATACCACTCCATATAGATCTTTCAAGAAAGTCGCATTTCCAATTTCTTTTTAAAGTTAAACATCACAGAGTTTTAAAAGACATTTTTAATGCAGTTTTTGTAATCTTCAAAGAAAGAAAGGAAAAGTCTATTTAACTGGCACATGTAACTATTTTCACAGTACTAGGCAGATTCAGAAAACTGTACTCAGGGAAAGGCAGGAAAGAGTAGAAGAGAGAAGATGAGACGCAGGAGCCTTCTGCCCAGGTGGCCAAGGTCCCACACAGGGATGCCCAGAGGCTCACGACCGAGCCACTGTGAGAGGTCACCGGAAAGCAACAGGTGCCGGTGGCTCAGCTGCCCAGCACCTCTGTGGGTGTGGCCTTTTCACTGTGATTCCATCGCGCTGAAAGACTGCAAATATTGGAAACAGCAGCTTGTCTGCGCTTTTTTCTTTTAATTTTTTAATTTTTTTTTTTTTTTTGAGACAGAGTCTTGCTCTATTGCTCAGGCTGGAGTGCAGTGGCACGATCTCGGTTCACTGCAACCTCCACCTCCCGGGTTCAAGTGATTCTCCTGCCTCAGCCTCCCAAGTAGCTGGGATTACAGGTGCCCACAACCATGCCTGGCTAATTTTTGTATTTTTAGTAGAGATGGGGCTTCGCCATGTTGGCCAGGCTGGTCTCGAACTCGTGACCTCAGGTGATCTGCCTGCCTTGGCCTCCCAAAGTGCTGGGATTACAGGCGTGAGCCAACGTGCCGGCCAGCTTGTCCAAGTTTAAATTAAGCTTCAGAATCTCAATCTGCATGTACAGTTGTTAGCCGACTTTCATTTAAAAGCTATGGAGCCCAAATGTTGGGTCTTCAATCACGATTCTCCATCAAGTTTGCTTTTATATCAACTAAGTCATAAGGAGAATCTCTTTAGAGCAGGGTTTCTCACCCTCGCCCTGCTAACTTAGAGCCAGATCGTTCTTGGCTGTGGGGCTGGCCCGTGCATTATAAAATGTTGCGTAGCAGCCCTGGCCTGGTGCCACTAGATGCCAGTGGCACCTCACCAACACCAGTGTGACAGCCAAAGATGTCTCCAGACACAGCCACTGTCCTCTGGGGGAGTAAAATCACCCCCTGTTAAGAACCAATGTTCCCAGGGGGGATAAAATCACCCACTGTTAAAGAACGAATAATTTATCATAATCCAAATTTTATTAAATAACACTTTAAAATTGAAAAAATATTGAATGTAGCTATACCTTTTATTTTGTTTGATATCATCAGTTGAAAGAAAAATCAGAGGCCTAAACCAGATTAAAATGTTCTGCCAAATACCAAATAGAGATGGTTGTGTGTGTATATGCCCCCCACATGCACACAGAGTATGGTGTGCACCTCTTGATGTGTACCTATAGACATTTATATTTACATATTTAGTGTCATATAATTATCCTAAATATCATGCTCTGCGTTATGTAATGTAAGACAAAATAAAGTAAAATCTTCAAAAAACTTGAATATTGCACCTAATAACTCAGCTCAAAATAAATGATCTCTTAATTTAAAAAAAATCAAAATATGAAGAAAATACAAATACACTCTTTTACAAAATAAAGTAATTATCTAGCACATCCCTATCTATCAAGCCTAACACTGTAGGTATATAATGTGTATTTTACAGTATGTGAAGTTTATGTACAGTTGAAGATTATACATATTACTTGTCTCCTTCATCAGCTTATACAGTGAAAAGATGATTGTGTGGTATAAATCAGGATGTGAAACATCATTAGTCTGTCACAGAAATGCTGATTCAGCAATGACCTGACATCCTTGTCCCACTGAAATAAGCCAATACAATAAATCATTGCTACCACTTATTTCAAAATGATAAACTAGGAGGTCTAAGAGTCCCTTCTTCAGCCAAACAAATGGACCCTAGATAAAACATACTTTTTAACACATTCTAGATTAGCAAGACAAGGTATGGTTTTCCAAGGAATCTCTCTCCCCACGAAAACATTTCCTGCAGCTGTCTAGGAGCGGCAAGACTTGAGTGGCACAGGATGGAACTGCCTGGAACCTCGAGGCTGATCAAGCACTGAAGTCAGAGGAGGTGTGAACACCTGTGAGGGTTGTAGGCTCCACTGTTTCTCACATTGAGCCAAGATCCTTGAAATGCACTAAAATTATTCCCTGGCATCCAGAAGAAGCAGACACAGCAGTTTCTGGAGGAAAGCATCCCGCCTGCAGGCCCTCAGGAATCCCACAGAATACGATGAAGTGATGAGATTATAGTCTTGCATCTCCAGGGACACAAGAAGACAAGCAGCATGAATGAGAGCAGAAACAACCAAAACAGATTTAGCCAGACCCCAAAACCGCATGGATGAGAATTCATAGATACTGAATGTAAAAGAGGAATTTTGCTTAAAGAAATTAGGGGTTGAAGAGTTTAAAAGTACCAATTAACATGGGCCCTTAATGAGTTAAGAATGAAGGCTATCATCTCCAGATGACATTAAACCACTAAAAATACTAAAAGAGTGAGTATATAACTGCCAGGAAAGGGGAAATAGAATTTTAAATAATTCTCAATCAAATCAAATAGTCAAAAATTGACTAGTCAAGAAAACTAAGGTAATAAATCATAATAGAAATTTAAAATAATTTTGAATAAATAAAATGTAAATGCAATCAAAATGCACATGAAAACTTGAGGGATGCAGCTACAGGGAAATTTATAGTCTTAAATATACACAATGGGAAATATGAAGCATGAAAATCAAAAGCTAAGTATCCATCTTTGTAAGTTAAGAAAATGACAAATTGAACCCAAAGAAGTGAAGAGAAAATGATAATTTTAAGTAGAAAGTGGGAAAGAGAGTCACCAAAAACAACAACGAAAAAGAGATCATCACTATAAAGATACTACAATAAACAGATAATGGAGTAAAACTACAAATCAACTCTAGCATTCTTTTGGTTTTATACAGATATCCAGTTGATTCACCACCATTTGTTGAAAAAATGTTTTCTTTCCTAAATAAATTGCTTTGCCACTGTGGTTTAAAATCAGTTGTATATTTAAATAACACATAACACATCGACAGAGTCTATTTCTGGACTCTCTCTTCTGTTCCCTTAATCTATATCTATCTTTTGCCAGGACCACAGTCTTGATTACTATAACTTTGTAGTAGGTCAGGAAATCAGGTAAGTGCTCCAAAAGTTGTCCTTTTGGGGAAAAAAATGCTTTAGTTATTTGAATTTAGTCCTTTGAATGTCTACATAAATTGTGTAATTAGCTTGTCATTCTCTGCAGAAAAACCTAGTTCAATTTTTATTACAATTGCACTTAAATCTGTAAGTCAATGTGGGAAGAACTGCACACTAAACAACACTGAGTCTTCTTATCTATGGACAGACTATATCTCTTCATTAGATCTTTAGATCTTTTACAAAAATTTCTTTTCAAAATATCTCGGTAATTTTTGGTATAGGAATCTTGAGCATACTTTTTTTTTAAGGTTTATTCCTAGGTTTCTTAGGGTTTTGGTATCATTATAAATGCAATTGTTCCTTAAATATTTTCCAATTATGCGCTAGAATATGAGAATATATTGATTTTTGGATACTGATCTTGTATCTTCTGACCTTGCTAAATTTATATATTAGTGCTGGTAGTACTGGATTTTTTGTAGACCACTTGAGATTTTCTACATAAACAATCATATAGCCTACAAACAAGAACAGTTTTACTTCTCTCATTTTCATTTTTCTGTGCTTTATTTCTTTATATTGTCATATTACAAGAACTAGGCCCTTCAGTACATTGACTGTTGAACGGAAAAGGTGACTGCCTTGCTGCCAGTCTCATGGAAAAATAATTAAGTTTTTCGCCATGAAGTATAAGGTTGGCTCTAGGTTTTTCAAAAATGCCTTTCATCAGTTTGAGAATTCATGGTTTGCTCTCTAATGCTTTTTCTGCATTTATTGAAATGATCATATGGTTTTTCTCCTGCAATCTGTTAATATGGAAAATTATACTAATTATTGAATGTTAAATCAACCTTGGATTTCTGGAATAAACTTTTTTTGGTTATGCTGTACTATTTTATATACCATAGCATTTGATTTGATATCTTGTTTGGATCTATGTGAGTGGGAGATGGTGATCTGTAATTTTCTTTTCACATAATACGTTTGTCTTAATATCAGGGTAATACTAGACCTACAAAATAAGTGGGGAACTGTCCTCCACCTCCATTATTTTCTGAAAGAGATTTATAGGATTGGTATTATTTCTTACTCAATGTTTGAGAAAATTAAACAGGGAAGCCATTTGTGTTTGGACTTTTCCTTCTGTAAATAATTTTAATTACTAATTCAGCTGCTTTATTGATATAACTCTATTTTGATTTTCTATTAAAACGAGTCTATTTTGGTAAGTTGTATTTTTTAAGGAACTATTCCATTTCATGTAGGTTGTTGACTGTGTTGGTATAAATTTGTTAATAGATTCTCTTATTTTTTTTAATTCCTGTAGGGTTTGTGTTTGGTCACCTCTCTTTTCTTGATGATATTGGTGATGTGTGTTCAATTGTTTCTTTTCAAAGAACCAGCTTTTTGGCTTAGTAGGTTTTTTTCTGCTTTGTCTGTTTCCTACTTTGTTGATTCTGATCTTATGGTTATTAGTTTCTTCTTCCTATGTATTTTAGTTTTACTTTCCATTCCAGCTTCTTAGAGTAGAACATTAGATTAGATAATTTTAGATCTTTCTTATTTTCTGTTGTATTTCATCTACAAGTTTCCCTCTAAGCTAACTTTAGGTGCACTCAAAAATTTTTTATATATTTTCATCAACATTTTGCTTTGTAATATTATCTTATTCCCTTGTGATTTCATTTTTGACTCATGATTTAACTAGAAGTGTATCATTGACTTTCCAGACATTGAGGTTTTCCTAGACTGCTATTGATTTCTAACTTAAATTTGTTGTGGTCAGAGTATATAATCCTTATGATGTAATATTATAATCTTGGTGAATTGACCGTGCACGCATGACAAGATTGAATTCTGTGGTTGTTGGATATAGTGTTCTACAAATGTCAATTGAATCAACGTGGTTGATAATGTTATTCATAGCTTCTATGGCTTTCCTGATTTTTTTTTGTCTAGGTGTTCTATCAATTTCTGAAGAGTGATAAAATCTTCTTCTATGATTGTGGAATTGTCTATTTTGTTTTACTTTAGTGAATCAATTGCATCTTGAGTATTTACCAGGGACATTTATAATTGTTATATCTTCCTTATAATCTGTCCCATTTATTATTATTAAATGTCCCTCATTATTTCCAATTACATTATGTGCACTGAAGTTTATTCTATGCCACTTTGGCCTTTTATGCTTATTACCTGCATGCTATGTATTTTTCCATTCATTTACTTTCAACATATCTCTATGCTTAATTTAAAAGCATGTCCCATATCATTGCTCAGCCTTTCAGCTAAGATCAAGGGTAAAAGTATGTCTCTTAAGAGCAGCATATATTAGAGCCTTACTTCCTTATCTGCTTTCTCAATATTTTCCTGTTAATGGGAATGTTTGCAGTTAACACAATTATTGATATAGCTGCATTCAGGTCAACAAAATTATTTATTTTCTGTTTGTCTCTTTTTTTATTCATTTCTGTGCCCATTTTTTGCTTTCCTTTGGGTTACTTGAATATTGTATTTTCATCAGTTGGCTTTTAATAATATTATTATTAAGTATTAAATATTAATATTTTAATTAATTTTTAATTATATTTTAGTACTTACTCCGTGAATTAAAATATACATACATAACTTCTCTACAAAGTTTTATTGCATCAAGTGAAATATACAAGCCTTGAAATGATATAGGTCACTTTACCTCTCCCCTTTCCTCTTATGGTATAGTTGTCATACATATTACATCTATATACATTAAAACTCCCACCAGACAATATTATAATTTATACTTTCAACCATCAAACCTATTTTGAAGAACGTAAGAGGGAAAAACGTTATCTTTTACACTTACCTACTATTTACCATTTCTGCTGTTCTTCATCCCTAAAGATCTAATTTCTCTGTAGTATCATTTTGCTTCATCCTGCAGAAATTCCATTAACATGTCTTATAGAGCAGGTCTGCTGGAAATGAATTCCAGTCATTTCCTCCATCTGAGAATGTCTCTCTTTTTTGCTTTTATTCCTGAAGGATTATTTTGCTGGATAGAGAATTCTGGCTTAAAAGTTCTTTTCTTTCAGCACTTAAAGAAGGTGCTCCACTATCTACTTGCCTCCAGGATTTCTGATCAGAAATTTGCAGTCATTCAAATCATAGTCCCTTGCATGTAATGTATCACTCTTCTCTCACTGTTTTTGAGACAT
Organism: Homo sapiens; assembly: GCF_000001405.40. Taxonomy (NCBI): domain Eukaryota; kingdom Metazoa; phylum Chordata; class Mammalia; order Primates; family Hominidae; genus Homo; species Homo sapiens. The sequence continues at coordinate 12,924 of NW_011332701.1, forward strand.
TTTCCTTATTTTTAGTTTTCAGCACTATGATTATGATGTGTCTAGGCATGTTTTCCTTTATTTCATCCTGTGTTTTCACTGAATTTTGTGAAATTGTAAATGTGTCTTTGCAAAGATTGACAATTCTGTCATTACCTCTTCAAATATCTTTTTCTCTTAATCTCTTGCTCCTCTGAAACTATAATTGTTTTTAATATTTCAAAATATTTATTCTTTTTTAAATTTTATTTTAAGTCCCGGGACACATGTGCAGGAAGTATAGGTTTATTACATAGGTAAATGTGTGCCATGGTAGTTTGCTGCACCTATCAACTCATCACGTAGGTATTAAGCCCCACATGCATTAGCTATTTATCTGATGTTCTCCCTCCCCCTTTTCCCCCTTGACAGGATCCAGTGTGGGTTGTTCCCCTCCCTCTATCCATTGTTCTCTTCGTTCGGCTCCCACTTATAAATGAGAACATGCAGAGCTTGGTTTTCTGTTCCTGTGCTAACTTGCCGAGGATAACAGCTTCCAGCTCCATCATGTCCCTTAAAAGGACATGACCTTGTTCCTTTTTATGGCTGCAGAGTATTGCATGTTGTATATGTACCACATTTTCTTTATCCAGGCTATCATTGTAGGGCATTTGGGATGATTCCATGTCTTTGCTATTGTGAATAGTGCTGCAGTGAACATATAAGTGCATGTATCTTTATAGCAGAATGATTTATATTCCTTTGGGTATATACCCAGCAATGGAATTGCTGGGTCAAATGGTATTTTGGGCCCTAGGTCTCTGAGGAATCACCACACTGTCTTCCACAATCGTTGAACTAATTTAGATTTACACCAACAGTGTAAAAGCATTCCTATTTCTCCATAGCCTCACCAGCATCTGTTGTTTCTTGACTTTTAAATAATTGCCATTCTGACTGATGTGTGATCTCATTGTGGTTTTGCTTTGCATTTCTTTAACGATTAGTGATGTTGAGATTTTTTTCTTAAGTTTGTTGGTTGCATAAATGTCTTCTTTTGAGAAGTGTCTGTTCATGTCCTTTGCCCAATTTTTAATGTGGTTGTTGGTTTTTTTATTGTAAATTTGTTTAAGTTCCTTGTAGATTCTGGATATTAGACCTTTGTCAGATAGATAGAGTGCAAAAATTTTCTCCCATTCTGTAGGTTGTCTGCTCATTCTGATGTTAGTTTCTTTTGCTGTGCAGAAGTTCTTTAGTTTAATTAGATCCCATTCGTCAATTTTTGCTTTTGTTGCAATTGCTTTTTACATTTTTGTCATGAAATCTATGTTTGTGCCTATGTCCTGAATGGTATTGCCTAGATTTTCTTCTAGGATTTGTAAAATTTTGGGTTTTATATTTAAGTCTTTAATCCATCTTGAGTTAATTTTTGTATAAGGTGTAAGGAAAGGGTTCAGTTTCAATTTTCTGCATGTGGCTGGCCAGTTTTCCCAGCACCATTTATTAAATAGGGAATCCTATCCCCATTGCTTGTTTTTGTCAGGTTTGCTGAAGATCAGATGGTTGTAGATGTGCGGTCTTATTTCTGAGATCTCTATTCTGTTCCATTGGTCTATGTGTCTGTTTTTGTGCCAGTACCATGCTGTTTTGGTTACTGTAGCCTGGTGGTATAGTTTGAAATTGGGCGGCATGATGCTGCCAGCTTTGTTCTTTTTGCTTAGGATTATCTTGGCTATATGCACTCGTTTTTGATTCCATTTTAATTTTAAAGTAGTTTTTTTTCCAATTCTGTGAAGAATGTCAATGGTAGTTTAATGGGAATAGCATTGAATCTATAAATTACTTTGGACAGTATGGCCATTTTCACAATATTGATTCTTCTTCCTATCCATGAACATGGTATGTTTTTCCATTTCTTTGTGTCCTCTTTGTTTTCCTTGAGCAGTGAATTTGTAGTTCTCCTTAAAGAAGTCCTTCACTTCCCTTGTTAGCTGTATTCCTAGGTTTTTTATTCTCTTTGTAGCAATTGTGAATGGGAGTTCACTTATGATTTCACTCTCTGCTTGTGTATTGTTGGTGTATAGGAATGCCTGTGATTCTTGCACATTGTTTTTGTATCCTGAGACTTTGCTGAAGTTGTTTATCAGCTAAAGGAGCTTTTGGACTGAGAGGATGGGGTTTTCTAGACATAGGATCATGTCATCTGCAAACAGAGACAGTTTGACTTCCTCTCTTCCTATTTGAATACACCTTTCTTTCTCTTGCCTGATTGCCCTGGCCAGAACTTCCAATACTATGTTGAATAGGAGTGGTGAGAGAGTGCATCCTTGTCTTATGTCAGTTTTCAATGGGAATGCTTCCAGCTTTTGCCCCTTGTCTAGTATGATACTGGCTGTGGGTTTGTCATAAATGATTCTTATTATTTTGAGGTACAGTTCCATCAATACCTAGTTTATTGAGAGTTTTTAACATGAAAGGACGTTGAATTTTATCAAAGGCCTTTTTTGTGTCTATTGAGATAATCATGTGGTTTTTATCTTTAGTTCTATTTATGTGATGGATTACATTTATTGATTTGAGTAGGTTGAACCAGCCTTTCACCTGAAGGACGAAGCCGACTTGATCGTGGTGGATAAGCTTTTTGATGTGCTGCTGGATTCAATTTGCCTGTATTTTATTGAGGATTTTTGCATCAGTTTTCATCAGGGATATTGGCCTGAAGTTTTCTTTTTTTGTTGTTGTAACTCTGCCAGGTTTTGGTATCAGGATGATGCTGGCCTCATAAAATTAGTTAGGGAGAAGTCCCTCCTTTTCAATTGTTTGGAATTGTTTCAGAAGAAATGGTACCAGCTCCTCTTTGTACCTCTGGTAGAATTCAGCTATAAATCCTCTTATCCTGGGCTTTTTATTATGGGTAGGCTGTTAAATATTCATTACTGCCTCAATTTCAGAACTTGCTATTGGTCTATTCAGGGATTCAACTTCTTCCAGGTTCAGTCCTGGGAGGGTGTATGTGTCCAGGAATTTATCCATTTCTTCTAGATTTTCTAGTTTATTTGCATAGAGATGTTTATAGTATTCTCTGATGGTTGTTTGTATTTCTGTGGGGTCAGTGGTGATATCCTCTTTATCATTTTTTTATTGTGTCTATTTGATTCTTCTCTCTTTTCTTCTTTACTAGTCTAGTTAGCAGTCTACCTGTCCTATTGATTCTTTCAAAATACCAACTCCTAGATTCATTGATTATTTGAAGGGCTTTTCATGTCTCTAGCTCCTTCGGCTTCACTCTGATCTTGGTTATTTATTGTCTTCTGCTAGCTTTAGGGTTTGTTTGCTCTTGGTTCTCTAGTTATTTTAGTTGTGATCTTAGGGTGTCGATATGACATCTTTCTAGCTTTCTGATGTGGGCATTTGGTGCTGTAAATTCCCCTCTTACCACTGCTTTAGCTGCATCCCAGAGGTTTTCTTTGTTCTCTTTGGTTTCAAAGAACTTCTTGATTTCTGCCTTGATTTCATTATTTACCCAGGAGTCATTCAGGAGAAGGTTGTTCAATTTCCATGTAGTTGTGTGGTTTTGAGTGAGTTTCTTATTCTTCAGTGAAACTCCAATTTTTGGTCGTGTTCCACAGCTGCATGAGCTCTGGCAATGTAAAAAAATTTTCTCTAAGTTCTTTAGATTGGATAATTTACACTGATCTATTTCAGTTCACTAACTCTTTGCTCTGTCATAGTCACTCCACTACTGAACCCATCAAGCAACTCTTTTTTATTTAAGGTGTTGTAGTTTCATTTCTAACCTTTGTATTAGATTTTCTGGTAAATTCCTATTCTCCCCTGAGAACTCCCAACCTTTCATTCATTTCAAGTGCATTTTCTTTACCTCATTGATCATAGTTATAAAAGCTACTTTAAATTCTTTGGTCATTTCAATATCTGGGTCCTCTTAGGTTTGCTATCTGTTGACTGTCATTTTCCCTTGGAAATTTATTACATTTTTTTCTTATTCTTTGTACATCGAGTCCTTTGGTACTGTCTCCTGGATACTGTCAATGTTAAAATATGTAAACTCTGGATTCTGTTTTAATCTTCTGGAGATTATTATTTTTTTTTACTTATAAACTAATTGGCTTCTGACCACAATTTCTGTCACACTTTCTAAGGGAAGTGGTTCAAATTCAAATTTCCTGTGATCATATTGGCCTGTATCACACGTGTATCATCCAGTAGCCAGCCACATGCTTGTGCAGATGGTTCAAATCTCAGTTCGGTTCTCTAAGCCTTGCCATCTTGCTTCATGCCTGTCTAGCACATACACCATTCAAGAGTTAGTCAGATACCTGTATGGATGGTTCTAACCTCAGCCAGTCATCAGTCAGTCCTCTGGGCCTTTGCTGGGCTGGTTTGAGTCTGTCCCCAGATGGTGTTGTTCTGAAATTAGGCTGAGGCTAGTGCAAGTTCATGAACAGAACTGGGGGGCTTCTTTGGCTCTCTCTTCTGGTTTTCCCCCACACTCCCTGGCCTGCAGGTGCTGCTCTCTCTGACTCCTCTGGGCCAAAAGATGGGGTTGCTACAGGATTACTAGCTACCTATGCCACCATGCCACTACATGATGAAGACTGGCTCTAGGGAGAAATCCAGGAGAGAAGAAAACAGGAAAACCACCCCGAGAGGGTCCCTTCTCCAGGTTTTAACATTCTCCACAATCTACCTGTTTATATTTTTCAGAGTCCATATGTAGTTGATTTTTGTCCAGTTTTCATTGTAATCAGAGGGAGGCGTGAGCTTTAGTAGGTTTACACGCCCTTAGCAGATTGGAATTCAACATTCTCTCTCATTATGACACCCGGTTAAAACACTCTTTTCTTGCCAATATCTAAAATTTTAAAATAAATTAAGTCGGCTACTGTTCCTGTGTCCAATCCTCCCCAACTGACCACCTAGAGTCCTGGGACCTCACGCCCCCTGCGGATCCCTCATCAGGGCGAGGGAGATCAACGAGCATCACACAACTCTGGATAAGGAGGAAAGGGCGCAGGGCTGCCTGCCTTCAGCCGGCATTTGAGAACCTGAACAGTCTCCATGACCATCAGGTGTACCATGGCAGAGGTACAAGCAGGCTGATATATCTCAGAAGTCAGGTAGACAGTCCCTGGGATCTCTGGGCTTCCTTTTATTGGATGCCCTGCAGCCTGCGTTTCTGTGCTGATGCTTCTGCTCATGATGTCCTGTCTCATTTTAAAATCATCTTCATCAAAATCTGACCTGAGCAAAAAGAAAAATCTGATTTTTTTGAACCTCTAAAATATATTGAAAGTTCTTACATGTTTAACAGCTGACATATTTAGCAATTTTCACAAGCATTTCAAATATATTATAATTGAATTATTTTAAATGAACTTGACTTATTATCTTTGGAGAATGTCAGAGCAAGGTTAGAAAGACTATCAAAATTAGTAAAAACTCATTATAAATCATCGTTACTGCAAACATTTAAAAATAAAAATGTGCCAGGCGTGGTGACTCACACTTGTAATCCCAGCACTTTGGGAAGCCAAGGTGGGCAGATCACTTGAGCTCAGGAGTTCAAGACCAGCCTGGTCAATGTGGCGAAACCTGTCTCTACAAAAAATAAAATTAACCAGACATGGTGGCGCAAGCCTGTAGTCCCAGCTCCAGAGGCTGAGGTGGGATGACTACTTGGGCCCGGGGAGTAGAGGTTGCAGTGAACCGAAATCGCACCACTGCACTCCAGCCTCAGTGACAGGGTGAGACCCTGTTTCAAAATAAATAAATAAGTAAAAATAAAAATGAAAATGCCTGTATGTCAATTTTCCTCCAAAATTATGCATGCATCTTCCCAGTAAACTTACTAATGATTCTGTTTGCAAGGCAGCACTTCCTTAAAGACTCAGATACAAGATAAAGTAAGTTAAATGACCCTCATGTTTATATGCCTGGCAGAAAAGCTAGGTGACCACTCTCGTTCTAAAAATAAACTTCTTGTTATGTTGTTCATTCACATTGGAATCAGAGATCCATTTAAAATCATCTGTAATTTAAAAACTAATCCTATTTTTGTATTCCATGAAAAAGAGATATTAGAAGTGACTTGAATCATTATTGAAAAGCACTAAATAAAGGGAAGAAAATAAAATTTATTTTGGGGGGATTTTGATAGTGATACGTATTTTTTTGTTTAGTTTCATTTCTGTGTTCTCATTTGTTTAGTTTTACTGCTAAGGGAGTATTTTCTCTTTCTGCTGTTTATTTCCCCAAAGGCAAGAAGAATGAGTTATTGTGTCGGTGAACTTAGAGACTGCACAGATCGGTGGCCACTCTGCCTCTGTGGGGTAGAGCACATGAGGACAACCGTGCCCTTCACCAGCATTCCTATGATGAAGCTTTACAGTGAATGAACTTTCTTTCACTCTTTTACATTATGTCATTTCTCAGATCTTAACATTTCTCAAGACAGTTAAGAATATAAAAGCTACATGACTTATGTTATAAGCCCTATAGTTTATGAGGAAAGGTAACTAATATTGAAAAATAACATACACCAGAAATGACAGTTAGCCAGGAAGAACTTGGAAGGCAGCAGGGAAGCCTGATTTAGGATTTGGCAAGAGTTATCAACTATTAACATGAAATTATTATATGCAACCTATAAATTAGAGCCTTTATCCTGCCTATTATCAGCACTATTCTTACTTTCAATGACAGAGTCTTGGCATGGCTAAAGATGTCCCACTGGCAGAGACACAAATAAATCCAGACCCATGGGAAGGCTTTCCAAACCCCCTTCACACCCAAAGGAGGAAATGAACACACAGGCATGAACAGGCCTGCATGGAGAATTCATCACTTAGGAACCAAGAAATCCCCAAAGCTTCCTAACACTGCTGAGAAATAACAAAGTTATCTTTTTCTCTTTCTTCTCAGCTTAAGAAATCTGATTAAATATCCTCACAAGAAGCCTTCTTAGGTGAATCCATGTGAGAACCACTCTCCTCACAGAACCTGTGAAAATTATGATGAATGACTATTACACCACTTGATATATGGTTTGATTTCTAAATATAAGTACACGTATTTCAAAAACGTGCAGTCCTCATGAGCCAGCATCCCATATTGCTTAGTCTCCATTCACTCCTTTATTTGTTTGATGTGCTTACTATGTGGCAGCACTGTCAGGACCACCCAGGATGCCACAGTGACCAAGATAGACACACATTTGCTGATCTCCTGGAGCTTATATTCTGGTGAAGGGAGACAGAGAAAAAGTTTATATATTCATATATTTGCCACAGATATATATTAGAGCATTATTACAATGTGTCATAGGTAATAATCTGTTGGAAGAAAAGGAACACAGGAAAGTAGTCAGCAATGATGGAAGAACTCCTTCCGCAGGGCCAGGGAAGGCTGCCCTGAGGATGGATATTTGAGGAGACTCTAGAGAGGTGAACCACCACCAGCATGCTTGGGAAGAGCATCCCACGTAGAGGTGACAAGTACAAATGCACATTCACCTAGCAAGAAGGCCACCGTGTCTGGGGTCCAGCCCCCTGAGGCAGGAAATTATATGTAAATGGCAGCTGCAGCCAGGTCATTTGTGGCTTTGTAAGTCATGGTTGAGGCTCTGGATTTTATTCCAAGTGAAAGAAGGACAACATGCTGCTATCAAAAGCACCAAAAGATCCAAGCAGCCCTTCAGGTCTAACTTTTCAACATCACAAGGAAAAAGAGGAAGCAGTGTCTCATTCAAGGTTCTCAAACCAAACGGCCGCTGAGAAGCCAATAAAGTTCCTTAATCTCTAGCAGAACCCTAAAATGCATGGCAACTCTTGTTTTATTCCTACTATTTATAATGGCAGGTTTAAATATGATTTAGTATATTTTTAAGCCAAAAATTAAGAGAATGCAACTATTATTTATAACTTCAAAACACTGAAAAACAAGATGCAAAGAAACTTTAACAATATACAACATCAGCACATGGGAAGAGGAAGTATCAAGGAAATACAATATAGCGAATATAAGGCATAACAGCAAATATTTTAAAGTTAGGTCCAATTATATGTTCTCTACTAGAAACAAATTAAAAACAAAATGACAGAGATTAAAAATAAACAAATGGGCAATTCCAAGGAACTTCCAGTCCAGACAAAATGATATAGACCCCAAACTCCCTGCTTACTCCTGCCAAGCACACCTATAAACCCTGGGAATAAAGCAAGAGGCAACTAAAGGAGAATTCGGAAAGGTGGTAAGAGGAGAGGAAACTGTTTGGGATCTGATATGGTTTGCCTCTGTGTCCCCACCCAAATCTCATCTGGTAGCTCCCATAATTCTCATGTGTTGTGGGAGGGACCTGGTGGGAGATAATTGAATCATGGGGGGCTGCTCTTTCCCAGCTGTTCTCATGACAGTGAATAAGTCTCACGAGACCTGATGGTTTTAAAACGGGAGTTTCCCTGCACAAGATCTCTCTCTCTGCCTGCCGCCATCCATGTAAGATGTGACTTGCTCTTCCTTGCCTTCTGCCATGATCGTGAGGCCTCCCCAGCCATGTTGACCTGTAAGTCCATTAAACCTCTTTCCTTTGTAAATTGCCCAGTCTGGGGTATGTCTTTATTAGCAGCATGAAAATGGACTAATACAGGAGCCCAGGAAAATGGGAACAGCACAGCTGCAGGGAGTATTTCATCCCTCAAAATCAGCATTTCCAGACCAACTCCCAATATAGCAAGAGAAGACAGCTAGGTGGGCTTGTTCCTCCCTTGGATGAAAATATATCAGGGGAACATGCCCCCCTGGCAAGTAAGATTAATAAAAGCCCTGCCAGCAAAGGTAACCATGGGGGGCACCCCATCCCCTACAAAGAGATACCAGTGACTGGACAGAACCTGAGGAGGGACCCCACTACACCTCACACCTGGGATCTCAGGCCAAGAGACACCCAGGTCAAGAGCCATGTGCTATGGTATTCTACTGGGAGACCTGTAAGTCCACTAAACCTCTTTTTTTTTTTTTTTTTGTAAATTGCCCAGTCTAGGGTATGTCTTTATCAGCAGCATGAAAATGGACTAATACAGGAGCCCGGGAAAATGGGAACAGCACAGCTGCAGGGTGCATTTTGTCCCTCAAAATCAGCATTTCCAGACCAACTCCCAACATAGCAAGAGAAGACAGCTAGGTGGGCTTGTTCCTCCCTTGGATGAAACAATACCAGGGGAACATGTCCCCCTGTCAAGTAAGATTAATAAAAGCTCTGCCAGCAAAGGTAACCATGGGGGGCACCCCATCCCCTACAAAGAGATATGTGGTGAGTGGACAGAACCTGAGGAGGGACCCCACTACACCTCACACCTGGGATCTCAGGCCAAGAGACACCCAGGTCAAGAGCCATGTGCTCATCAATAGCACATGGCTCATGAAATGTTCTGAGGCCCCCACAGGAAGGGGGATGCCATCTTAACAAACACTTAGCCATGGAAGCCTCTTCACTTCTGCAGACCTGAAACTCCTCTCCACAGGAAGAGACATCTGGGCAGCCCAGCCTGGGGATATCCCTTCCAGCCCCCAAGGCAGCACCCAGCAGCACTGGAGAAACCAAACAGATCAAAGTAGCACTGCAAGATCTCTGAAAATTAAATCTTCATTTGAACAACAGGCTATGTAAATAGTCTATAACCTGTGTGCTAAACTTAAACAGGTTGACTGCCTGCTGAAATAAAACAGTTATTTATGACTCAGAGTCTCCTAAAATAATAGACAAAATATCCAGGATACAATCAAAAGTCACCTGTCATATCAGAAACTGAGAAAATCACAACTTGAATGGGAAAGGACAAACACCTGATGCCAACACTGAGATATATCGGATGCTGGATTATCTTAAAAGGATTTTAAAGCAGCCTTCCTAAAAATGTCTCAACAATCAGTTAACAACTTCTCTTGGAACAAGTGAAAAATGAAAAACTATGGGAAGAAACAAAAGATATAGAAAAAAGAACCAAATGGAAATGATAGATCTAAAATATACAATAACAGAATTTCTTTTTTTTAATTTTATATCATCAATACAAATTTTACAGCATCTTCAATCTGAAAACATCCTAAGAGCAATCTCTTCCTTGAAGAAGGCCGTGTGTGTGTGTATACATATATATATTTACATGAACTATATGTATATGTGTGTGTATTTACATGAACTACCCTTCTTAGAGCTCCCAGAGTGGTTTTTCCGGGTCTGTTACAACCTTTATCACATTCTCTCTTGTATTGTAGTGATACAGAGCAAAAATGTAAACGAGACCTGGTGCCTTCCCTCATGTGAGGAAGCAGTTTGATATAGACATCTCAGGGTAAGATTAGGTTACTGTGGAAGCTCATAGTGGAGGAATTAATGTAGAATTGGAGACATCAAGGAAGGCTTCCTAGAAGGCGTCATGTCTGAGTATTAAACTACAGGTTAGACTGAGCCACACATGAAGAGAAGTTAGAGGACCCAGAATTCAGGTATTTTACTATTCAAATTGAGGCTTTCTAGTAACCAAAAGGTTGGGATACATTCTCAAAGCAGGAAACAGCATAAATTACAGCCTGCAAGACTTAGCTACCCTTGAGCGCTATATTTCATGGGCTTTTCACTACAACTGCTTTCATTTCAGATCCCTCAACTCATGCTCTCTCTCACCTTTGAGGTCTAGCACATGTAGTAGGATAATGTGGGAGCATTTTCTCTTACAGAAACAAGAACTGCAGCTCAGGTGGTGGTACACATGCTCAGTTCCTGCCACACCCCTTAAGATGAGTCATCCTGTCTGGACATGAAGAAAGGCCCCTGGGGCTCCACATGCCAAAAGGTATGTCTAAGGGTATGTCAGAGGCAGCCGGGCAGGTGCTGACATCTGGGGTACCTGGCCTGCCTGGAGCTGGCACCTCAGCCCTCCTTTCTCCTTCACACTTCTGAGTCACCGTGGGAAAGTGTATCAGCCAGTGCCCATCCGTCATGGGGCATTTGTTCAACATCAAAGCCTCACTGCCCTTCATTGACATAATTTGAGGCATTCCGAGGTTATCAGGGATTTGCTAGCCTGTCAGAGCCAGGGAATGGGCAGGCTGTCTGGGGAGGATGTGCCATCCAGGAGGGATGCCATTTTGATGTACCTGTTTGGTCACTGGCTCTAACTGGTCCATGGACAGGCTGGACAGCATCAAGGTGTGAAGAAAAGAGCTTGGGCTTTAGAGCCAACCCTGACTCATCACCTCCCAGAGTCAAAGCCTTGGAAAGATACCCAGATCTCTGGAGCTTCAGTTTCCTCCAAGGTAGAAGAGAGAAGATAGCACAGTTCTGAAGGCTGGAAGTCCAAGATCCAGGTACCAGCATTTGGGGTCTGATGAGTGCTACATCCTCACGCAGTGGAAGAGCAAGCCCAATAACAGAATTTCTTAAAGCTTCTTGATATGCACTCAATAGTAGAGATAATAAAGAAAAGAATCAGTGAATTTGAGGGCAAATCAATAGAATTCACCCAATCTAAACAGCAAGGAGAAAATATATTTTTTTAAAAGGGCAGAGGTGGAATGGAGCCTCAGGGAACTGTAGAACTATTTTTAAAATCTAATATTCATGTCACTGGAGTACTAGAAGGATAAAAGAATTAGAGCAAGGTTAGAAAAGTACAGTAAGGAATAAAGGCTGAAATTTTCCCAATTTGGCAAAAGACACAAACCTACAAATTCAAGAAGATGAACAAACCCTAGGAACAGGATAACACGATGAACCCAAAGAAATCCATATCAAAATAAATCATCAACTTTCAAAGACTAAAGACAAAGAAAAACCTTGAATGCAGCCAGAAAGTACTATGCGTTACCTACAGGAAAACACAAATTCAAATGGCAGCAAATTTCTTCTCTGACACCAGGAGAGAGGGAAGGAAATGGTACAACATTTTTCAAGTACTGAAGAAAAGCACTGTCAACCATACATTCTATATCCAGTGAAACTATCCTTGAGGAATAAAGAGGAAATAAATACACTCTCAGATAAAGAAAAAGAATTTTTTACTAGCAGACCTACCCTTAAAGATTGGCTAAAAGAAGTTCTTCAAAGATAAAGAAAATTACAAAAAATAAGACAGGCTGGGTGTGGTGGCCCACACCTGTAATCCCAGCACTTTGGGAGGCCGAGGCAGGTGGATCACGAGGTCAAGAGATCAAGACCATCCTGGCCAACATGGTGAAACCCTGTCTCTACTAAAAATACAAAAATTAGCTGAGCATGGTGGTGTGCACCTGTAGTCCCAGCTATTTGGAAGCTGAGGCAGGAAAATCACTTGAACCTGGGAGGCAGAGGTGGCAGTGAGCCAAGATTGCACCACTGCACTCCAGCCTGGAGACAGAGTGAGACTCCATCTCAAAAAAAAAAAAAGACAAATTTTGGAGCATCAGGAAGCAAAAGGAACTGAAAAAGCAGAAATGTGTACACACAATAGATTATTCCTTTCCCTATGAGTTGTATAGATCGATTTGATGATTTAAACAAAAGTTATGTTGCCATCTGATACTCAAGAAAAGATAAAGGAATCTTAATGGAAGTGGTATTGTCACACTTCACTCAAAGTGGTAATTCTAATAAGTCATGTATGTATACTGTAGTCCTCTGAGCAACCACTCCAAAACTATACAAAGAGAAACACTAAAAAATACTATAAATGAATCAAAATAGAACTGTAAAAAATGTTCAAGTAACACACAGAAAATCAAGACAAAAGAAACATGGGTATGTACTGGAAACAGAGGAAATAAAGAGAAAATAAATACAGTAATCCTTCAGTATCCATGGGGAATTGGTTCCAGGACCTCTGTGGATACCAAACTCCATAGATGTTCAGGTCCCTTATTTAAAGGGGCATAGTATTTGCATATAAACTAAGCACATTCTTCTGTATACTTTAAATGATCCCTAGATTACTTATAGTACCTAATACAATGCCTATGCATCTCATCACTTGCATGGATTCAACATAGTAGTCAGTGCACAGAAAATTCAAGTTTTGCTTTTTGGAAGTTTATGGGAATTTTTTTTACCTGTAGTTGGTTGAACCCATGGATGCAAAAGCTATGGATATGAAAGAGCAACTTTAATTGAAATGGCATATTTAAGCATTAACATATCAATAATTACCTTAAATGTAAATTTTCTAAACATATCAACCAAAACACAGAGACCGGAAGAAAGGATTGAAAAAATAACCCAACTATATGCTGGAAAAAGATATGTTACACACAAAAAAAATCTAAGCAAGAGACTATATTAATACCAGCTAAGTAGACTTCAAAATAAAGAAAATTACTAGAGGGACAGAAAATTATTAAATAATGATAAATAGGTCAATCCACCAGGAAGATACAACAATCCTAAATATGTATGCACCAAACAACAGAGCAGCAAAATACATGAAGTGAAAAACTGCTAGAGCTGAAAGAAAAAACAAATTCATGTTTATAATTGGGAACATAAATAACTCACCCTCAGAAACTAATAGAAATGCTACACAGAAAATAATTCAAAATATGGAAGAACTGAACAACACTGAACCAAAGGGATTTAATACACATATATAAAACACTTCACTCCAAAACAGGAGAATACAGTTTTTTTCAAGTTCCCATGAAAGATTTACCAAGATGTATCATATTCTGGGTCACAAAAAAAATTCCGCAAATGTAAAAAAATAAACTCATACAGAGTATGTTCTTCAACTATAATGGAATAAAGTTAGAAACTAACAGAAAGACAATAGAAAAATCTCTAAATGCATGGAAATTAACCAACATACTTCTAAATAGTCTATGGGTCAATGAAGAGGTCTCAAAGTAAATTTTAAAATATATAGAACTGAATTTTAATGAAAATGCAACACATAGAAACATATAGGGTGCAACCGAAATATAACTGTGACAAAACTTTATAACACTAAATGTTAACATTGGAAAAGAAAGGAAATCTCATATCAACAATCTAAGTTCCTACCTCAAAAACACTTGCCAAAAAAGAGTAAAATGCATCAAAAGAAAGCTTAAGGAAAGAAACAATAAAGATCACAGAAGAAATCTATTGAGTTAATATAGGACAATACTAATGAAAATCAAAGGAGAAAAGGCTGTTTCTTTGGGTAAAATCAGTTAAATTGACAAACTTCTAAAAAGACTGACCAAAAATTAAAGGAGAGAGACACAAATCACCAATATCAGGAATGAAATAGGAAATTTTACTACATATATTTCAGACATTAAAATGATAATAAAGGAATATTATCAACAACTTTACGCTCACAAATTTGGCAACTAAAAAGAAACAAACCAATTCCTCAAAAAACACAAAGTATGAAAACACAGATAAAATCTATAATCTGAATAGCCCTTTAGCCATGAAAGACGTTGAATTATTAATTTGAAAGTTTCCTTTTAAAAAAAGATTCCAGACTCCTGGTTTTATTGCAGGAAGTCAGGGACCCCAAATGGAGGGACCGGCTGGAGCCGTGGCAGAGGAACATAAATTGTGAAGATTTCATATTAATATGGACATTTATCAGTTCCTGAATAATACTTTTATAATTTCTTATGCCTGTCTTTACTTTAATCTCTTAATCCTGTTATCTTCATAAGCTGAGGATGTACGTCACCTCAGGACCACTGTGATAATTGTGTTAACTGTACAAATTGATTGTAAAACACGTGTGTTTGAACAATATGAAATCAGGGCACCCTGAAAAAGTACAGAATAACAGCGATTTTTATGGAACAAGGGAAGACAACCTTAAGGTCTGACTGCCTGTGGGGTCAGGCAAAAAGAGCCATATTTTTCTTCTTGCAGAGAGCCAATAAATGGACGTGCAAGTAGGAAATATATCACTAAATTCTTTTCCTAGCAAGGAATATTAATATTAATACCCTGGGAAAGGAATGCATTCCTGGGGGGAGGTCTATAAACGGCCACTCTGGGAATGTCTGTATTATGCAGTTGAGATAAGGACTGAGATATGCCCTGGTCTCTTGCAGAACCCTCGGACTTACTAGGGTGGGGAAAAACTCCACCCTGGTAAATTTGTAGTCAGACCAGTTCTCTGCTCTCGAACCCTGTTTTCTGTTGTTTAAGATGTTTATCAAGACAATACGTGCACCGCTGAACATAGACCCTTATCAGTGGTTCTGCTTTTGCCCTTTGCTTTATGATCTTTGTTGGACCCTTATCAGTGGTTCTGCTTTTGCCCTTTGTTCTGTTCCCTCAGAAGCATGTGATCTTTGTTAGACCCTTATTAGTGGTTCTGCTTTTTGCTCTTTGATGCATGTGATCTTTGTACTTACTCTCTGTTCTTACACCCCCTCCCCTTTTGAAACCCTTAATAAAAGCTTGCTGGTCTGAGACTCAGGCAGGCATCACAGTCCTACCAATATGTGATGTCACCCCCAGCAGCCCACCTGTAAAATTCCTCTCTTTGTACTGTCTCTATTTCTCAGCTGGCTGACACTTATGGATAATAGAAAGAACCTACGTTGAAATATTGGGGGCAGGTTCCCCAATACTGTTTCACTAGAAAATTCTACCAGGCCTTTGTCTCCCACTCCCACCAGAGCTTGGGATTTATCTCTACTGTTCCATGTCCACCACCTCTGGAGCCCCCAGTGACTTTGTCACAGCCTCTGTTGCCCTGTGATCTGCAGGTACTGGGAGACGCATAGCTAAGATGCCAGGACATCCTGAAAGCTGGGAAATGAAACTGTTTACATTCAGGAATGTGGCCATAGAATTCTCTCTGGACGAGTGGAAATACTGGAACCTGCTTAGCAGAATTCGTATAGAGATGTGCTTTAAAAGAAGGACAGAAACCTGATCTCTGGGTCTTGATGTCTCTAAGCTAAACCTGGTGACCTTTTCGAAGGAAAGAAAAGAGTGAGGAGACAGTAGCCATACAGCCAGGTGTGATTGTATATATCTGCTAAGCATCTTAGTGATTTGACTCTCCTGCTTCAGCCCAGCCCACAGATGAGATTGTGACATATTGACTCTGCACCTTGAAGATGTGACTCTCTTTTCCAGCCTTGGTGCTGCCCACAGGTGGCATTGTGACATATGGCTGGGCCTTTCATCCAAATGATGTGTGATTGTGACGTACACCTCTGTCTGGAACCTGAATGACTTGACTTTTCTGCCTGGTCCCAACCCAAAAGTCATGTGACTCTTCTTCAGCCTGCACCCTACCACAAAAGGATTGTGATGCATCACTGCACTCAGCACCTAGATGATGTAACTCTCACCTTTTGCCTGGACCTTGCATATTTAAGGTTGGATTGTGACATATACTTTAGCCCAGCTCAGAGTTGTGATGATGACACTCATACCACAAACCAGCCAACAGAAGAGATGCTGGCATTTGTAGCTAGACTTAGAGAAAGGAATAAATTCCTGGGTCTTCTGTAGGCAATGTAACTCTCCTTCCTGGGTCCTGCCTATAGGAAGCATAAGGACCTGTCTGTGTATCCATCACCCAGCTGTTGTGACTCTCCTTTTTTGACTGAAACCTGCCACAAAGGGTGATTGTGACATATCACTGGGCCCAGAACCTAGTCTCTGGTGTGTCTTTATTAGCAGTGTGAGAACAGACTAATACAGTAAATTGGTACCAGCAGAATGGGGCATTGCTGAAAAGATAGCCGAAAATGTGGAAGCAACTTTGGAACCGGGTGACAGGCAGAGGTTGGAACAGTTTGGAGGGCTCAGAATACAGAAGAATGTGGGGAAGTGTGGGACTTCCTACAGACTTGTTGAATGGCTTTGACCAAAATGCTGATAGCGATATGGACAATAAAGTCCAGGCTGAGGTGGTCCCAGACGGACCTGAGGAACTTGCTGGGAACTGGAGCAAAGGTGACTCTTCTTATGTTTTAGCAAAGAGACTGGTGGCATTTTGCCCCTTCCCTAGAGATTTGTGGAACTTTGAACTTGAGAGAGATGACTTAGGGTATCTGGAGGAAGAAATTTCTAAGCAGGGCAGGTCTCTGTTGATCCATGGATGGGGATCTCTGTTCCGCAGGATGGGGTTTGTAAAGTTGTTAAGAATAAAGCCTACTTTAAGAGATATCAAGCGAAATTTAGAAGACGGCAAGAGGGTGAAACTGAGTATTATGCTTGGAAATGCTTGGTGATACAGGACAAAAATAAATACAACACACCCAAATACAGGATGATAGTTTGTGTAACACACAGAGATATTATTTATCAGGTTGCTTATGCCCGTACAGAAGGGGATATGATAGTACGCACAGCATATGCATGTGAACTACGAAAATATGGTTTGAAGGTTGGCCTGACCAATTACGCTGCGGTGTATTGTACTGGCCTGCAGGCTTCTCAATAGGTTTGGCATGGAAAAGATCTATGAAGGCCAAGTGGAGGTGACTGGCAAGGAATACAATGTGGAAAGCATTGATGGTCAGCCAAGTGCCTTTACCTGCTATATGGATGCAGGCCTTGCCAGAACTACCAGTGGCAATGAAGTTTTTGGTGCCCTGAAGAGAGCTGTAGATAGAGGCTTGTCTATCCCTCACAGTACCAAATGATTCCCTGGTTATGGTTCTGAAAGCAAGGAATTTAATGCAGAAGTACACCGGAAGCACATCATGGGCCAGAATGTTGCAGATTACATGTGCTACTTAATGGAGGAAGATGAAGATGCTTACCAGAAACAGTTCGTTCAATACAGGAAGAACAGTGTAACTCCAGACATGATGGAGGAGATGTAAAAGAAAGCTCATGCTGCTATATGAGAGAATCCCATCTAGGAGAAGAAGCCCAAGAAAAAAGTTAAAAAGAAGTGGAACTGTCCCAAAATGTCCCTTGCTCAAAAGAAAGATTGAGTAGCTCAAAAGAATGCAAGCTTCCTCAGAGCTCAGAAGTGGGCTTCTGAGAGCTAAACCAAACAATTTTCCATGAGGATTTTTCAGATGAAGATCATAAACTTATTGACAGCAAAAAAAAAAAAAAAAAATGAACTTTATAAGCAGCAAAGCATTCAAGAGGTGACTTGGGTTCTGTTAAAGGTATTCAGCTTTAAAAAGAAAACAGAGCATAAAAGTTTGGAAAATTTGCAGCCTGACAATGCAATAGAATAGAAAATCTCATTTTTTGAGGAGAAATTTAAGCCAGCTGCAGAAATTTGCATAAGTAATGAGAAGCCGAATGTTAATTCCCAAGACAATGGGGAAAATGTCTCCAGGGCATGTCAGAAATCTTCTTGGCAGGCCAGGCGCAGTGGCTCACGCCTATAATCCCAGCACTCTGGGGGGCCGAGGTGGGCGGATTACGAGGTCAGGAGATCCAGATCATCCTGGCTAACACAGTGAAACCCTGTCTCTACTAAAAATACAAAAAATTAGCCGGGTGTGGTGGTGGGTGCCTGTAGTCCTAGCTACTCGGGAGGCTGAGACAGGAGAATGCAGTGAACCTGGGAGGGGGAGCTTGCAGTGAGACGAGACGGTGCCACTACACCCTAGCCTGGGCGACAGAGCAAGACTCCGTCTCAAAAAAAAAAAAAAAGAAATCTTCTTGGCAGCCCATCCCATCACAGGCCCAGAGGCCTAAAAGAAAAATATAGTTTCCTGGGTCGGGCCCAGTGCCTCCCTGCCCTGTGTAGCCCAGGGACTTGGTGCCCTGCATTCCAGCCAGTCCAGTCATGGTTATATAGTTTCCTGGGTCGGGCCCAGCACCTCCCTGCTCTGTGCAGCCCAGGGACTTGGTGCCCTGCATTCCAACCAGTCCAGCCATGGCTAAAAGGAGCCAAGGCAGAGCTCGGGCTGTTGCTTCAGACAGTGGAAGCCCCAAGCCTTGGCAGCTTTCACGTGCTGTTGAGCCTGCAGGTGCATGGAAGTCAAGAATTGAGGTTTGGAACCCTCCACCTAGATTTCAAAGAATGTATGGGAACACCTGGATGTCCAGGAGAAGTTTGCTGCAGGGGCGGGGCCTTCATGAAGAACCTCTGCTAGGACAGTGCAGCAGAAAAATGTGGGGTCAGAGGTGCCACACTGAGGAGTCCCTACTGGGGCACCACCTAGTGGAGCTGTGAGAAGCTCCCAGATCCCAGAATGGTAGATCCACTGACAGCTTGCACCGTGCGCCTGGAAAATCCGCAGACACTCAACACTCAACCAGCCCGTGAAGGCAGCGGGGACGGAGGCTGTACCCTGCAGAGCCACAGGGACCGAGCTGCCCAAGACCATGGGAACCCACCTCTTGCATCAGCATGACCCGGATGTGGGACATGGTGTCAAAGGAGGTCATTTTGGAGCTTTAAGAAATCCTGCTGGATTTTGGACTTGCATGGGGCCTGTAGCCCCTTGGTTTTGGCCCATTTCTCCCATTTGGAATGGCTGTATTTACCAAATGCTTGTACCCCCATTATATCTAGGAAGTAACTAACTTGCTTTTGATTTTGCAGGCTCATAGGCGGAAGGGACTTGCCTTGTCTCAGATGAGACATTGGACTGTGTACTTTCGAGTTAATGCTGAAATTAGTTAAGACTTTGGGGAACTGTTGAAGGCATGATTGGTTTTGCAATGTAAAGACATTAGATTTGGGAGGGGCCAGGGTGAAATGATATGGTTTGGCTGTGTCCCCACCCAAATCTCATCTTGAATTGTAACTCCCACAATTCCCACAAGTCATGGGAGGAACACAGTGGGAGGTGATTAAATTATGGGGATGGGACTCTCCTGCACTGTTCTCGTGATAGTGAATGAATTTCAGAATATCTGATGGTTGTAAAAACAGGAGTTTTCCTGCACAAGCTCTCTCTTTGCCTGCTGCTATCCATGTAAAATGTGACTTGCTTCTCCTCGTCTTTTGCCATGATTGTGAGGCCTCCCCAGACACAAAGAACTGTAAGTCCATTAAATCTCTTTCTTCCCTGTCTCAGGTATGTCTTTATCAGCAGCGTGAGAACAGACTAATAAAGCCAGTAACTGAATAAAAGGTTGAATTATGGATCATATGGTAGGTAAAATAAATAAAAGTGTGCAAAAAATACTTGGGCTTTATTTGGGCCCCATTCTTTACATTGTTGTGACTTCCAGTGTTTTCACCTGAAGGGATATTTATGAACAGAAGGGTTGTTATTATTATTTGTATTTTTTACCTTGCTAAAAATACATATTAATCTCTTAATAAAATTATCCTAGCAAATCTTAAACAACAAAATAAAAATTCTACTGAACATGTAAAGAACTAGCATCAATTCTATATAATCTTTTCCAGAAGATAAAACAGGAAGGAACACTTTCCAACTCATTTTGTGAAGCCAAAATCAGACAAAGCTAGCATAAAGGAAACTATAGATCAATATATCTCATAAAGTTAAAAATCCCCAACAAAATGTTAGCAAACTGAATCCATGAATACGTGAAAATAATTATACACCATGACCACAGGGGATTTATTTCAGGTATGCATGGTTGGCTCAATATTTGAAAATTAATCAATGTAATCTAACCATATCAAAAGGCTAAAGAAGAAAAACCATATTATTTTCTTCTGAAGCTTCCAGAAGTAGCACAGCCCTCTCTAATAGACTGAGTTTAGATTTCTGACCTCCAAAAATGTAAAAGAATAAATTCGGGTTAAGCCACTCAATTTCTGTTAATTTGTGCAGCAATAGGAGATGAACACACATGATAATAGGGACTTTGCTGATGTGATTAAGTTGAGGACCCGGAGAAGGGGAAATTATTCTAACCAATAGAGGTGGGCGCAATCCAATCACAAGGGCTCTTATGATTATTTTAGAAATTTATGATTAGGTTAGAAATCCTATGATTAGGTTAGAAATGTTAGAAACATTTTACAAATAAGGATTTCCTTTTCTTTCTTGTAAAGCTTCAACCAGCCCCATCATTCACTGATGTACAGAATTCCTTTTCCAGTCCTTGGTTTCTCACTCAGTTCCTTTGACAAGGAGGTTATTCTACAGCGAAGGCAGTGCATCACACCAGAACTCACTGGTCGTACCATGTGCTCCATTACCCAGAAGCAGCTGACTTGATAGAACAGTGGCCTGCTAAAGCTTCAGAGGTACTATTTGCTGCAATCCAAAAGTCAGCAAAGTTGGGGTGCCACCCTACAGCATGCAGTATGTGCTTAAACAAATTACCAATGAATGTCACTATCTCTGTCACAGCCCACTGGGAAGCACTGGTGTGGGAAACAAAGGAGTGAGATAGGAGCACTCCCTCCCTTATTACTATACCCAGTGACCCACTTCAGCAATTTTTGCCCCCTGTCTTAATTATCTTGAGCTCAGTGGATTTGCGGGTCCTAATATCCAAGGAAACACAACTAATAAAGGTACCATTACCTTTATTACCTGAGGTGGGATAGGCAGTCAAGGCAGTGACTATGTTCTCAGGATGCGGCAACCATGGTGACCGTGCAGTCAACAAAATAAGCCTCAGCATTTGCATTGTAATTGAGCTATTCAAGCAAAGCTATCTTCAGTAGGGACTTTCCCCTCTAGAGAGCATGTGCAATTTGACTTTACCTGCCCTCATTATAATAGCAAAAAACATACCCCTGGGTGGAGATTTAAGATGCTAATGAGACATATGATATATGAACAAGCATGTACAGCTACTGCGCACATGCACCCAGAGGAACACCCAGAACATTCTTACTAGCAACACCTCTCCCACCTCCTTATAAATAATCATGTAAGACTCCCATACTGGGAGCCTCCCTAGTGCTGGTCTTTGTTGTCTCATCCTTATGAGCGGCCCGTCCTGAATTTCTCTCTCTCTCAGGGTGTACTGCCTATTCTGCACCTAACTTTCAAAGTATTCTTTTTCTTTTGCAATACTCTATGCTGCACTTCTTTTGCTATGTGTCTCTTGTTTAAATTCTCTTAAACCAAGAAGACAAGAACCAAGGTATCACAACAGGTGTCAGCATTTCATTGGAAGCTGAGAATCCTCCCTGGCCATGTGAAGCTCCACATGTCTTGTGACCATCAAGCAGACAAGGAGAGTCCCTCTACTGTCCAAGATAACTGCTTTCAATTCTCAGAGGGAACTAGGTTGCTGCTTCCTCATGCTGGCAAGAACTGGCCGGGAGCTGGGCATTCACAGGTGTGCCTCCTTACATTCCAGTAGTCCCAGTTCATGCACACCTTGGCACTCGAGTACAGACACAACACCAAGGTCTCAGGTCCTATGAGAATGATGGTTTGGGTCACCTCAACAGTGGATAAAAACCACGTATCTGAAGTGGTGGCAGAGGTCAGGGGAACGTGGCATTAAAGAAGTGAGTTAACTAACAATTCAGACTTCAGAATCAGCTCTGGAAGCCGGGGCTATAGCAGCTCTGTTTTATGGTATTTTGTTGCTTCTCTTCCCCCACTTATTCTCCATTGTCATAATAGGAAGAGCATTGGGATAGCTAACATTTTAAGTTTCAGGTGTTACTGAACCAACATCACCCCATATCACACAGTAGCTGATGGGATATTGTACAGCTCTTGTTTTGAGGACAAGTGATTTTCTCTTGGACTGGACAAACGATGTTTTTAAAATCCTAACAGGCACAAGTGGAGGACTGTCTGGGGCTATCCCTCATTGCCCTTTAGTCCTGCCCCTGGTCTTCTCCCCAGCCTTCTCCCCAGCCCTGCTGCTGGCAGCTCTCCCATCTTCTGGAATCCAGGTAAGTCTGGCCAATGGGAGACACTGGCAGGACTTGATGGGTGGGAGGAACAAGGTCACTGAATCTCCTGGCTCCTCTGGCCAGGCCACAGGTGATCACAGGCCACTAGAGCTCCCATCTCCCCTTTGCCCCTCAGGCCCATGAGGTCGTGGCCTCTTTTCTTCAGGAGTTCAGCACACCCATTCTTTCCCCAAACCTGACCTTTGAGCACATAATCTCTTTCTTTCCTGAGAAAGACCCTACCTCGCAAGGAGGGTGGAAAATAGTCACCACCCAATGCTCAAAGATGTTCCTTACATGACTGTTTCAAGAGGAAAAAGATAGACAATAACCTAAATGTCAACAAAAGGGGAAAAGCTGATGATAGCCTATCCACTTACAATGTAACATTGCACAGATTTTTAAATGATGATACAGAAATACATGCACATGTAAGTCCCCAGACCTAAGTCCCCAGACGTAGCAGGTCACAACTGTTCAACCCAATAGGGCCCTGCTCACCTGGAGTATCCAGGGCAGCCATGTGAGGCTGGGGACACAAGACTTCAGCGAGTTGTGCCCAAGGAGCCAGGGGTTTCTGAGAGAACAGGGTTGCCCACCCAGAGCCACTGTGACCAGAAGGGTCCTGGCAGGGGGCGGAGGGGGAGAGCACTCAACTCATCTGACCTCTGAAATGTATTCATAAAATGAAAGGATTTGATTAAATAATGTCTAATATTCCCTCTGATGGAAATTCCATCATCATGCAGTTTCCAGGCTGCAGTCCTGAACTACGGTGTGGAAAGCATGAGAAACCCCACTGATTCCTTCCAGGCACAGAATATCTGCAAATTTTGAAGTCATGAAAAAAAAGTTGTTGTTGTTGTTGTTTTTTTCTATTTTTAGCAAAGAAGGACTTCTGGGGAAAATTTAAATACGTGAAATGCTTTCTTTTTATGAAGCTTAGATGATTTCCTAACTTTGGGAACACTAAGATGTATCAACGATTTGATTTACTCAACAAATTATTATGCTTGGAATATTATATTTAAGTGGAACTTATTCGTATCATAATTATAGATTGACTAATTAAATTTATTTTTGAGTGCTTTTCCTTTTCCCAAATTAAAGTATAAATTGGTAAATTTGAAGAAATCCAGTTCCTGGGTTGTTTCAGTTAACTTAAAAATAAACAAAAGACATCGCCAAGCCTATGGTAAATCTTGCACTCCTAAAACGTCTCTGAGCACGCACTGAATCCCAGGTTCCCAGGACACGCAGGGGCCTCTCCTGGCAGTGACTGTCCATCTCTGGCGAGTCC
The DNA here is from genome assembly GCF_000001405.40 of Homo sapiens. NCBI lineage: Eukaryota > Metazoa > Chordata > Mammalia > Primates > Hominidae > Homo > Homo sapiens. The sequence goes on from NW_011332701.1 coordinate 36,939, forward strand.
CACCTCACACAAAGAGCTAGTGTGAAGTGCCACCAGGGAAACAGAGGGACTTTGGAGATTTAGGAAAGGCTTTGGGAACTCTTCCTCTGCAGGCTGGGGGCGGGATGGCCACAGGGAGATGCACCATACGCGGAAACACTACGTGCAGCCGACCTGGCCTTTGGGGAGGCGGGCAGGCGCAGAGGGACAGAGTCAGAGTGTTCCAGGCACAGTGCGTTCCTCCAAATCACGCTGACGCACACGCGCGTCCCTAGCTGACACCTGAGCACGTGGGCGCTGGCTGGGCGGCCTGCAGAGCTCACATCCTCCACCCCGACCTCGATCCCCTCGGGAGCACCCACAGGGCACCCGGGTCAGGGAGGCCACGAGGGGCAGTCACCCCGCAAGGAAGGAGGCCAAGGGGAAGGAGAGGAGCCCTCTGTGACCCTGAGAGAAGCCCCGAGATCTGCGGGGGTCCCAGCGCTCCTGCGCCCCCTCTCCCCTGGGCTGCTGTGAGGCTGGAGACAGGCTGCAGTAAACTCCACCTTTGTGTCGCCGGCGCCGTGAACCCTCAAAGCAGGCTTTCGCGTAAGTCCCGACGGTCTGTCCTCACCCAGCTGTGTGTGTTTCTCACACAGCTGTTATCTTGTGCTCCGAAACCCCAAGCCCGCCACGGCGGTGCTTCCGCGGGCCCACAGCTGCCCTCCTCTCCTGGCACCGCCAGCCACCCCTCCCGCTCCAGGACGCCTGTGCAGGGGACCCTGCCTCAGAAAGTGTCGCTTGGGAGATGGAAATGAAGACTGAAGGAACTTCCAACTCCCACCTACTCTCTAGGAGGCACTTTCTTTTTGTTTTGTTTTTGTTGTTGTTTTGTTGAGATGGAGTCTTGCTCTGTTGCCCCGGAGGCACTTTCTATTACTGAGAAGAAAACCCTGGAAAGTCCCGGGCTTCCCCCAGGAGCTTGGAACTCCCCTCGCCCCCTGCTTCCTGCCCTCCATCCCCCAGGAGCGGGTCCCTGCGGCCTAGCGGGAGTGGAGAGCGAGGCTTAGGTCCTTAGTGATGGCTTCAAGGCCTGGGAACCCCAGGTCCTGGTTTTTAAACTCTGGACAAACTGCACTCGCATTACCCTGGCTCACTCTTGTGCTCAGGAATTAATTTTTAATATCTGCATAGCATTTCTTACCTATAAGAATGTGTCTTCTTGTTCTAAAAGAATTTTTACATGAATATTTCATGTGATGGTATTGTATAGTATTGTAAGTCACTTTTCTTCTTTTCTCATTAGAATAACCTGTAGCATAGAAACTCTTCCATATGTAAGAAATTGGTCTTAGCTTTTAATGAGGGGATTTTTAAAAATAGTGCAGTGTGCTGGCTATTTGTCAAGAAAACATTACATTTAACATGATGCCTGCAGATAAGTTTAAACTCTCTCCTTTCCCTTTATTCAGCTTCCCTGTGAATCCAAGTCATAGCTCCCGTTCTCATTTCCTTTCGCCTCTGAACCTTTGTGGAGATACCGTCCTGCCGGAGCAGCAACAAGGGAAGCCAGCCCACAGTGCATTGTTCAGCTCCCTCGCTCGCTCCAAAATCCACCCGACCCAGCCCCAGGAGGACCAGAGCAGGGCCCACTGCAGCAGATTCAGGTGGACGGGGCAGAAGTGAGCAGTGCTGTTGGCTGGGAGCGCTGGGGGACAGAGAAAGACTCCCGACCATGCTGGGGCCTAAGAGAACCAGAAGAGATGCGCAGATGAGCTTTGGAGGACGGAAGAACTGCACACTACAGTGCGGGGTGTATCCTTGGCCCAGACACAGGGCAATTTCAGGGAACTCTACTAGGGAGGTGCGGGGGTGGCTGAGAATGGCAGCCCCAGAGAAGAAGAGGGAGCTCAGTCCTACCTGGGCCAGCTCAGTGGCTGGGCTGGAGACACGAGCTGACACATGGAGCAGCAGCTCAGCCCCTCACTGATCATGGGGCTTGGTTAAGTGTATAAAGTTCCTTCTACTGCCAACAGTCTATCCTCCCCAACTCCTGGGGATACTCCAGCACAAACTGGGGAACACCAAGTTGCAAAGTACAAGGACAAGGCCAGGAACCCTAGGCAACAACTCCTCATATTCCCAGCACCCCCCACCTCCTCAAGCTTGCCTGGGTAGGCCTCTGAAATCTCCATGGACCTGGCCTGTGGCCACCACAGCACAGTTTGTTGATTAACATACAGTGGTTCCCTTTTAGAAATCGGCAACACGGGGCTGGGCATGGTGGTTCATGCCTGTAATCCCAGCACTTTGGGAGGCCAAGGCAGGCGGATCACCTGAGGTCAGGAGTTCGAGACCAGACTGGCCAACATGGCAAAACCTCGTCTCTACTAAAAATACAAAAATTAGCCGGGCGTGGTGGTGGGTGCCTGTAATCCCAACTACTCGGGAGGCTGAGGCAGGAGAATTGCTTGAACCCAGGAGGCAGAGGTTGCAATGAGCCAAGATCGCGCCACTGCACTCCAGCCTGGGCAACAGAATGAGACTCCACCTCAAAAAAAAAAAAAAAAAATTGGCAATGTGGACAGCTGAGGACAATGGCAGTGGTATAACTGCTTCTATCCCAAAATTTCCTCCCAAAAGACAGAAAAAGAAAGAAAAGAAAGTAAAATCTACACAAAGCCATGCCTTCCACATAATGTGAAGGTAGAGAACCCCAAAAGTGTAAAATATCTGAACTGAAAAGAGAAAAGTGAAAATACCACCAAACCCCCAGCCTGCTCTCTCTCTCACTGCTGTCCCAGCAACAAAGCTTTACAGCAAATGGACAGAAAGCCCTGAGGGAAGACAGAGGGGGTGCTGAGGTGATCAGAAGGTCCACCAGAACGGGCCAGGGGGAACTGGGCCCTGGGAGGTGCTGTGAGAGGAGCAGGAGCACAGAAAGGGCCCATCTGGGGGCATGCAGCCTTGGGGAGGAAAGAGCAAAGAGGAAGGGAAAGCTCCTTTGGGCAACCAAGTGGTCAAGTGGAAAAGAAAAGGAGGTAAAAGCGGGGTTCCGCAAGGCAGGAGTCGGAGGACTGTGCTCTGCCCGCAGAAGAGCGCCAGGAATCCTACAAAACACAAACAAGCCCAACGGCATTAAATGAACAAGAGAAAAATGAAGTCACACCTACAGAGCTAGTGCAAACGCTATCAGGAGCGGAAATGTCACATGTATCAGCTGAGGAAAATCCCCTCTGAAAATAACCATGAAGCATGTAGAAGAAAACTACAAGCCCACACTTCAAAATGAATTCGCCATGCCCACGCCTCAAGCAAGCATCAAAAATACAAACCCACCTTAAATCAGAGATTTGAAAACAGAAATGGGCAAATAACAGGGAGAAATAAAAAGTTGATTGAACTCAAGGATGAGGTAACCAAGTTTTCTCAGAAATAAGGGGTTGTTTAATGGGTACAAAAAATAGGGTTAGTTAGAAGTAATAAGTTCTAGTGTTTGATAGCATGATAGGGCCACTATAATTAACAATAACTTATTGTATATTTTAAAATAACTGGAAGAAAGGACTTGGAATGTTCCCAAAACAAGTAACAATAAATGTTTGAGGTTATGGATATCCTAATTACCCTGATTTCATCATTACATATTGTATTATTGTATCAAAATATCACATGTCCCCCATAAATATGCAACAACTATTATGTACTCAGAGAAATCACTTTACAAAAGAAATGAGAAATAAATTAAAAGATGCCCAAAAGACAATAGACAAAAATGAAAATATAACAAGGGTCACTAAATAAAGATATCAAAGCAAGTAAGAGAATAAAAATGAATAAGTAAATAGATAAATTAAAAGGGCAGAGATAGTAGTGGAAATGGAACCCGGGCAATGAAGGAATAATATTTGTTTATTGGAGTCCTTAAGGGAAAAAAACAAATAGTAGAATGAAGCTAATATTTAAAACTAAAATCTCTGTTACATGTTCTAGTAAAACTATAAGATTTCAAGGAAGAAGATAAAAATCATCAAGGCCGCACGCAAAACAATCAGACTGACATCAGGTCTTCCAAAATCAAGATATAAACAAAACGACAATGGAGCAATATTTTTAAAAATAAGTCAATGAAAAAAAAAAGTGTAACAAAGGATTCCAATCCAGCCAACTTACAAAGAACAGTTTATTTGGCTCATGGTTCTGTAGCCTCTGAAAGTAGAGGCAGACACCAACATCCACTCAGCTTCTGGTGAGGGCCTCAGGCTGCTCCCACTTGTTGGGGAAGGTAAAGGGGACCCAGGGCATGCTGAGATCACATGGCAAAAGAGGAAGCAAGAGAGTGGGAGGCGCCAGGCTCTTTTAACAACCAGCTCTCACAAGGACTAATAGAGTGAGAACTCATTACCACAAAGATGGCACCATGCCATTCAGAAGGGATCCGCCACCATGACCCAAACACCTCCCATCAGGCCCCACCTCCAACACTGCGATCAAATTTCAACATAAGGTTTGAAGGGGACAAATATCCAAAACATAGCAATTAATAACTTCCGTAAAGTAGAAATATTTTGAAATACAAAAACCTCTTTGCTGCCAGTGCAACCAAGCTAGAAAATTACTAAGAAAAACAAAAAACAGAAAGGTCCTTCTGCCAGGAAAGTTAAAAATGTTCTATTGAAACAATTCTTGTGGGAAATAGAAACAGAAATTACAATTTTTAAAAAATGATGAAAACACTACATATCAAAATTTAAGGGATGCATTTAAAGCAGTAATCAGAGGAAAATCATTGCACAAAACACATTTAATAACAACACTGAAAAAAAGATTAAATATCCAATTCTAAAAACTAGAAAAAAACAAAGTCCACCAAATAAAGGAGGGAGATAATGAAGTTAAAGCAGAAATTAATGACATGGAGAATATAAAAACAGTATATTAATTAACCAACTCCCAGTTGTTGTTTTGAAAAAAATTAACAAGATGGACAAACCACAATCTAACTTGATTAAGGGGAAAAGGGGGAAAAAGCACAAATATTCAAAATAAGAAAGAACAACAAGGAAATAATCATTGAAACAGAAGTAAAATTTAAATCATAAATGACTAATTTGGAAACTTCTGTGAAAATAAATTTTAAACCCTAGGTGAAATGGATAGTTCCCTAGAGAAATACAGATTGCCAATATTGACCCCATCTGATTTAGAAAGCTTAAACAGACCTATTTCCAAAGAAATAAAAAGTTATTGAAGAAATAACTAGCCCACTCCCAAAAAAGAGCCAGGCCAAGATGGTCTCACAGGGGAATTGTATCAAGCCCTCAAAAACCAGATAGTCACAATTATCTATAAATTATTTCAGATTATTGAAAAGAAGGTAAATTTTCCTAACTCCCTTTATGAAGCAAGTGTGACAATGATACCTAAACCACGTAAAGACTCATTAAGAAAAAAAAAGAGTACTACAGAAAAGTATTACTTATGAATATCATGAATTACTAATAAATATCAATGCCAAATAGAAAATGAAATATTAGCAAAAAGACCACCACATTAAGAAAATAATAAATCATAAAAAAGATAATTCATTCCAGAATTCAAGGTTGGTTCAATATTAGGAAATTCATTAGTACCATACACTCTATTAATAGATCTAAGTGAAAAATAATATGATGATCTCCATAAATACTAGGGGGAAAAAATCTTTGTCAAATTTCAACACCCATTCTTGCTTAAAACACTCAAGAAAGTAGGAATTGGTGGATACTTTGTTAATGTGATAAAAAATTACATTAGGTATATATATCTAATCCTAAAGCCAGTATCATATTTAATAGAGAAATACTAAAGGCATTTCCACTATGTCAGTGTGTCAGAATCTCCAAGACCATCCTGACACTTGGAGATTTTCTAGAGGAATTCTGCGAGTCAGCATGCAGTTGCACACCTGACTACCATTCATTACAGCCATGAAGTAAGGACACACAGCCAGATCATAAGGGGAAAAGACGAATGTGGAGTCCACGTGAGTACAGATCCATGTGAGGCTTCCTTCTCGCTCTTCCTCCCATGGTGGGGGCTCACAGAGTGCCCCAGCAATGAAAATGTAGCAACATGTGTGTGATGTTCCTGCCCAGAGAAGCCCATTAGAGACTCAGGTTTTTATTGGGGTCTGACACATAAACATCCTCTGCCTAACATATACCAAAATTCCAGACTCCCAGAAAGAAAACAGGTGTTTAGCATAAATCAAATTGTTTGCATAAACAGTCTAGGCACAGTAAACTGTCCTTATTAGTTAGATAATGGTGGGAATACTTCTGAAATTTGAGTTCCCAGATGCCAGCCAAGGACTAACCTGGCAAGTAGACCTTTCTAAGCATGGCATTCATAGGCCTGCTGTGTTTACCCTTTATTTCTGCTACTATTTAACATTAGACAGGGATATCAACTAAGGATAAATTAACTTATAAAAACCAATGGCCTCTATATACACAAAAAAATAAACAGTAGAGAACTTACTGTCAAAGAAAACCACATGCATAATATCAACAAAGATTAAATATTTTATAATACCTTTAACAAAAAATGTGCAAAAATTATACAACACAATTTTAAAACATTCCTGAAAGACACAGAAGTAGACTTGATCAAATACAAAGACACATCCTGTTCTCAGATTAAATTAATTAACAATATATAGATGACAGCTATTGCCACATTAATGTATGAATTCAATGCAATCTTGATCAAAAATGTCAGCAAGCTATTTCATAATTGAGTTAGACAAGTTGATACTAATGTTCATAAGAAAAAAGAAATATTAAGAATATCCCAAAAAGCACTGAAAAAGAAAAACTAAAAAGGGGACATAACTAGCCCTACCAGACATTAAAACATATTATAAAGCCTCAAACAATTTGATGCTGGTCCATTAACAGACAAATAGACATGTAATATAATAGGAAGTTCAGAAATAGGACCAAGGACATATGAAAAGCTAATGTAGGATAAAATTGACATCTCAAATCACTGGAGTACAAGTGTCCAGTTTAATAAATGGTACTGGGACAACCAGGTAGTCACTTGGAAAAATAAAATAAAATTAGATTCCATATTTCACACTATATGCAAGAAAAAAACCCAAATGTATTAGAGATTTAAATGTAAAATAAGATAGCATAGAAGTAATGGGTGATTTTCTATTTAGCCTTTCTATATAAAACTGAAAATCCAGAGACATAACTAGTAAATCTGTCTACATAAAGTGTCTTAAAATTACATGACCAAAATAAACAAAGACACACTATAAAAAGTCACAAAACAACTAACTAGGAGTAAATAATTGCAGTCTATACCACAAAGAGCTAATATCCCTAATAAATAAAGAACCCTTGAACAGTGTGAAACAAAGACGCAATCGAAAAACAGGACACTGACATGAATGCACAATTAACCAAAAAGGATTCAAAAATGGCCTTCAAACATGAAAAAAAAAAGTTCAAATTCACTTATCATTAAAGAAATGCAAATGAAAACAGCACTGAGATACTATTTTCATAAAACTGACAAAATGAAAAATTATGACATTCTGTCAGGCAGACTAGGAAAATGGCCACACTCACATAATGCCAGTGGGAGTATAACCCAGCACAACTCTTGCAGAGGGAAATCTGGCAATGAAGAATAAAACATGCACTTACCTTTGACTCTGTGATCTGACTTCTAGAAATATACCCTGAAGGTACACCTCTAACAATACAAAAATATTCACCGTAGTGTTGTTTGTAATCACAAAAGACTGGAGACAACCTAAATGCCTCTATGTAGAAGGAAGGTTGAATAAACGATGGCACATTCACAAAATGGGGTACTATATAGTTATAAAAAAGAATTGGGAAGATTTCTGTGAACTGATTAGGAGTGATTTCCAAGACATAACATTAAGCTTATAAAAAGCAAAATGTGAAAGATTATCTACACTATGTTATTCTTCAAGTAATAAAGAAGGGGATACAAAATAAACAGTTGTATGTGCTTATTTATGTTAAAAAAAAAAAACATACGGCTGGGTGTGGTGGCTCACACCTGTAATCCCAGCACTTTGGGAGGCCGAGGCAGGTGGATCACAAAGTCAGGAGTTCGAGACCAGCCTAACCAATGCAGTGAAACCCCGCATCTACTAAAAATACAAAAATTAGCTGGGCATGGTGGAGGGCATCTGTAGTCCCAGCTACTCAGGAGGCTGAGGCAGGAGAATCGCTTGAACCCAGGAGGCAGAGGTTGCAGTGAGCCGAGATCATGCCACTGCACTCCAGCCTGGGCAACAGAGTGAGACTCCATCTAAAAAAAAAGAAAGAAAGAAAAAAAAGAAAAGAAAAGAAATACAAGACAGGTACATCAGCTACTTACAGGAAAGATCTAGGTAAGGTAGAAAGATGAGCAAAGGAGAACAGGATAGTAAGCATGAGGAGAGAGTGATACTTCCTTTCATATACATTTCTGTATGGCTTTGATTCTTAGAACCATGGTAATGGTTCAAATATCCCATCTTAGTCCATTTATGATGCAATAAAGAAATACTTGAGGCTGGGTAATTTAAAGAAAAGAACAGCCTGCGGGCAACATGGCAAAATCCTGTCTCTACAAAAAATACAAAAATTAGCCAGGTGTGGTGGTATAAGCCTGTAGTCCCAGCTACTTGGGAGGCTGTAGTTAGGAGGATTCCTTGAGCCTGGAAAGGTTGAGGCTGCAGTGATTGTGCCACTGCACTTCAAGCACAATAGAATGAGACCCTGTCTCAAGAAGAAAAGAAAAAAGAAAAGAGAAAATAAAAGAGGTTTATTTGGCTCACAGTTCTGCAGGCTGTAGAACAAGCATGGCACCAGCATCTGCATCTGACGAGGACCTCCGGCTGCTTCCCCTCATAGTGGAAAGCTGGTGTGCAGAGATCACATGGCAGGAGCAGAAGTGAGGGAGAAAACAAGAGAGAAGGGGGAGGTGCCAGGCTCTTTTAACAACCAGGTCTCTCACGAAGTAATAGAGTGAGAACTCATTCATTACCATGAGGATGGCACCAAGCCATTCTTAGAGGATCCACCCCCCATGACCCAAACACCTTCCATGAGGCCCCACCTTCAACACTAGAGATCAGATTTCAACATGAGATTTGGAGGGACAAGTATCCAAATCACAGCAATCCCAGCCCCAATAAGTGCATTACAAATAAATAACATAAACATACTGAAGGCTATGGAGAAGAAAAGAATTAATTTAAGAAATTTCAGAAAACCATATTTTGACAGGCTACTGTAAGACTAAAGACAAAAAGAAGTCTACACAAATACTGTAGTTGAGTTAGTAAATCTATTTCTCACAAATATATGAGTTAGCAATTCTGTAACTACTTTAGGTGTATGCTAGGAATTGAACAAATAAGTGAGTATATATTGTAGACAGTGAGAGCAAGAGGCAAATCTTATGGTGCTGGATTGGAATTCAGGGAATCAATATGATCTGAAGGTTTTAAACACATAGACGAGTAAATTAATATATAGATACAGATATGGATGTGTGGATATGGGTGTTGGTATACAAACACATATGCCCAACTATGCTGATTGCGGAGGCCTAGATTCAGCGACATCTAAATTGCTACACACACACCAAGCATCCAGATTTTGATTTCTAAACACCATTCCCCAATACAAGGAATGAGAAATCTTTTGAGAGGCAGTTGATTCCAGGGCAAGAGCAGGCAAAATGCAAAATGATTCAGGAACATTTTATGATGTGAGAAAATGAAAAACTGATTGAAAATTGATGAGGATGTGTCTAAAGACGACAGGAGCCAAATGGACACCGAAGCTGCTCCCAGTGGTCAAAACTGGAATAATCTGAGCAACAAAATAAATAACAATAGTACCGACTTACAACACATAGAATAAAATAAACATCCATGAACTTTTACAAATGTAAATAAATAAAGGAGAAGGATAGCTCTTCCTTATAGATAAGCTCCAGTTAATAAATGTATTAATAGAAGCAATAAGGATAATACAAAATCATCATTAGGCAAACTCTACAGTCATAATGATTAGAGGCAAAGAGCTACTGACAAATGCTAAAATCAGTAAGAAAATGTTTGAGGAAAAACACAATGTTAGTATAATCTCAAAGTATTTCCCCACAAGATAATTTGCCAGGGCTCCACTTCACAATACAGAAACCTGGCAGACACCACATGAGCCAAGTGATCGATGTTAACACTTTCAGTAATAGGACATGCCAATGTTTGTACCCCAATATGATGCACTAGACAAGGCACATCACCTCTGTGATCTCGCCAAAACTTCATAGCCTCAAAACTGTCATGAGAAAACATGAGACAAACCCAAACTGAGAAATCTCTACAAGGTAACTAACTAATACTTTTCAAAAGGGTCCAGATAGACTAAAGAATTTAGACGAAATTCAAGACATATGATAACTAAATGAAATGTGGGATTCTGGATAGAATATTGGACAGAAAAAAAGTCATTAGGAAAAAACTGAAGAAACTGAATAGTATTTGTAGTTTTAGTAATATTCTACTAATGTTAATTTTCTGGTTTCGATAGTTTTATCACGGTTGTATAATTTTTAACTTAGGGGAAGTTGGGTGATGGGTAAATGTGGACTCTCTATACTTTTTTACGATATTTATGTAAGCCCAAAATTCTTTCAAAAGAAAATTTCCTTGTTTCCTTGTTTTTGAAAAAAAAAAGCATTTCAAAAGAAAGAAGGGAAAGATTAGATATATCAAATACATCATCTTAAAAGTGTTATCCATCATTCTCAAATTATTATAATCCAAAAATGTCTTGCTTGCTCTCATTCATGATAAACTATTTCTCCACGTGTTTTGCAATTTTAGATTGTGAGCTCATATATGTTGGTTCTGTCTATAGGAATACTGAAGAGAGGTTCCCCTTATGCTGCTAAATCCTTGTTATAAGAAGAGACTGCTACAACCTGAAAGAAAGTGGGGCCAAAACTGCCATGAAAATCTTCACATACTGTATTTAATGTGCCCATCAGGTCAGATGAAGACATTTTCTAAAGATGAGCTGGTACCATTCTATGAGATGGCCTCAAAGAGTGAATTAGAGAAGAGTCCCTCCTCTTCTGATACCAAACCTAGCAGAGACACAACAAAAAAAAAAAAGAGAAAGAAAGAAAGAAAGAAAGGAAAGAAAGAAAGAAAGAAAGAAAGAAAGAAAGAAAGAAAGAAAGAAAGAAAGAAAGCAAGCAAGCAAGCAAGCAAGCAAGCAAGCAAGCAAGAAAGAAAGAAAAAAATTTCAGGCCAATATCCCTGATGAACATAGATGCAAAAATCCTCAATAAAATACTAGCAAATTGAATCCAGCAGCTCATCAAAAAGCTAATCCACTATGATTAGGCTCTATCTCTTAGATGCAAGTTTGGTGCAACATATGCAAATCAATAAATGTGATTCACCACATAAACATAATTAAAAACAAAAACCACATGATCATCGCCATAGATGCAGAACAGGCTTTTGATAAAATTCAACATCCCTAGGTATCAAAGGAGCATACCTTAAAATAATAAGAGCTATCTATGACAAACCCACAGCCAACATCATACTGAATGGGCAAAAGCTGGAACCATTCCCTTTGAGAACTGGAACAAGATAAGGATGCCCTCTCTCACCACTCCTATTCAACATAGTACTGGAAGTCCTAGCCAGAGCAATCAGGCAACAGTAAGAAATAAAAGACATCCAAATAGGAAGAGAGGAAGTCAAACTATCTCTTTTCACAGACAATATGGTTTTATACCTAGAAAACCCCATAGTCTTGGCCCAAAAGCTACTTCAGCAGATAAACAACTCCAGCAAAATTTCAGGATACAAAATCAATGGCTGAAAATCAGGAGCATTTTCAAACACCAACAACATTCAAGCTGAGAGCCAAATCAAGAATGCAATCCCATTTACATCAGCTATACAAAAAATACAATACCTAGAAATGTAGCTAACCAGGGAGGTGAAAGAGCTCTACACCAAGAATTATAAACCACTGCTGAAATAAATCAGTGATGACACAAACAAATGGAAAAACTTTCCATGCTCATGGATAAGAAGAATCAATATTATTAAAATGGCCATAATGCCCAAAGCAATCTACAGATTCAATGCTATTCATATCAAACACCAATGATATTCTTCAGAGAATTAGAAAAAAACTATTGCAAAATATATATGGAACCAAAAAAAGAGCCCAAATAGCCAAGGAAGTTTAAAGCAAAAAGAACAAAGCTGGAGGCATCACATTACCCAGCTTCAAACTATACTACATGACTACAGTTAACCAAAACATCATGGTAGTGGTACAAAAACAGACACATGGACCAATGGAACAGAATAGAGGACCCAGAAATAACACACCTACAACTATCAGATCTTTGACAAAATCAACAAAAACAAGCAATGGGGAAAGGACTCCCCGTTCAATAAATGGTGCTGAGATAACTGGCTAGTCATATGCAGAAGATTGAAACCAGACCCCTTCCTTCCATCACATACAAAAATCAACTCAAGATGGATCAAAGATTTTAATTTAAAACCTAAAACCATAAAAACCCTAGACAAAAACCTAGGACGTACCATTTTGGACACAGAGCCTGGCAAAGATTTCACGACAAAGACCCCAAAAGCAATTACAACTAAAACAAAAGTTGACAAATGGGGCCTCATTAAACTAAGGAGCTTCTACATAACAAAAGAAACTATCACCTCAGTAAACGGACAACCAATGGAATGGGAGAAAATTTTTGCACACTATGTATCTGACAAAGGTCTAATATTCAGAATCTATAAGAGACTTAAACAAATTTACAAGCAAAAAACAACCCTGTTAAAATATGGGCAAAGGACATGAATAGCTATTTCTCAAAAGAAGACATACACATGGCCAACAAGCATATGAACAAATGCTCAACATGGCTAATCATGTTGCAAATCAAAACCGAAATGAGATGGCATCTCATGCCAGTCAGAATGGTTAGTATTAAAAAGTGAAAAATAACAGATGTTGGTGAGGTTGCAGAGAAAAGAGAATGCTTATACACTGCTGATTCTGCTGATTAGAGTATAAGTCAGTTCAGCCAATGTGGAGAGCAGTTTGGAGATCCTCAAAGAATACCATTCAGCCCACCAATCTCATTACTGTATATGTACCCAAAGGAATATAAATCATTCTACCACAAAGACACATGCATGCATATGTTCATCACAGCACTATTCACAATAGCAAAGACATGGAATCAATCTAAATGCCCATCAACAGTGGACTGAATAAAGAAAATGTGACACATATCATGGAATACTATGCAGCCATAAAAAAGAATGAAATCATGTCCTTTGCAGCAACATGGATGCAGCTGGAAACCATTGTCCTTAGCAAACTAATGCAGGAACAGAAAACCAAATACTGCATGTTTTCATTATTATAAGTAGGAGCTAAACATTGAGTACACATGGACACAAAGAAGGGAACCATAGACACTGGAGTCTACTTGAGGGTGGAAGGTGGGAGGAGGGTAAAGATCAAAAAACTATGTATCAGGTCCTACGCTTATTACCTGAGTGATGAAATAATCTGTAAGCCAAGCCCCCATGACATGCAGTTTACCCCTGTAACAAACCTGCACATGTACCCCCGAACCCAAAATGCAAATTGGAAAGAAAAAAAAGACATTTCCTGCCTAACAGTTTCATTCTAAAATTTCTTCTTCTAAGGGTAAACATGTTTATATTGATGTTATGTACTCCCTATATCCAAGAATCATCCAGAAATTTTTAAACATGAATTTAAAGGACACTTAGCATTTCAAATCCCTATAAAACAAAAGGACAAGTAAAATAACACTCCTTAACACAGGTTATTCATTAACTAACTTTGAAGCCCTTCTAAATCTGCAGAAACATGCTCCATTATCCAAATTTAGAAATACTCAAAATTGATCTTGAATTTCAGGGGACAAGATGCCTACAGTTTTCATTGTACCAACTACTCTATGGTTTGACCAAATTTTCTAGAAGACAATCTGACCTCAGTAACAAAAGTCAGTGCAACATAAATCAATAGACCCAAATGTCTCCAACTGTTTTCCAAAAAATAGAACACACCTGACCTACTGTATGTGCTTCAGAGTGGGGCCTGTTTCAGAGCCACTGCAACATGACAGAAGAAGGATTTGACCCAAAACGTACGCTGGAGAACTCAGGTCCAAAATGGCAGGAAAAGGGCCAGGAAGCCCTCAAAATGTGGAAGAGGTCTTAGGTAGGTGTAAGATAGCAGATGCAAAACGAGAGATGAAAGCCCAGGGCGTGAAGATGAAGGCAGGCCACTCTGAAGGGAATGGCTGCTTGGGGTAGGGGAGCTGGGTGTGTGAGATCTGTGGGGCCCAGAGAGTTTGCCTAGGACCTCTGTATACAAACCTTACTCTCTTCTGGGCTAACAGTGAATAGTTTGAACATGAATAGGTTGAATTAAGCTTTTGAATCAAATTATTACTAAAAATGATAATAATAATAATAGGCTATAGCACTTTTTGAATGCCAACTAGGAGCTCAACATGGAGCTCAGTACTTCTATATGATCTTCTTGGTTCTCACAAGCAGCGTGATTAATATTAATAGACTATTCTAAAGATAAGAAAATTGAGGCTCAGAGGTATTAAGTAATTTGTCTAAAATTTTAGAACTAGGAAGTAGCAAAGCTGAGCTTTGAACATGGATCCATCTGATGTGAAAGCCTGTGCTCATAAACATCATGTGAACTATAACCTGTTCGCCTGAATTGGAAGAGTCCTTCCTGGACTGGTGCGCAGATCTCTGAGCATCCCCACTGGAGTGCTCTCATGGTCCTGTGATATTCATGGCACATGAGAAAGCTTCCAACCCATCCATCTCCCCATTATGCCAGAGGCTGCATCCAGCTGCAATGAGGTCTGTAAGCTTGATGATGATGGTCAGACTGCTCATAGAGGGGGGAAGCAAGGTGAGGACCTGTTACATAAGGATGAGTGGGAGCAAAATGAACAGGAACATCTGAGGATAAAATAACAGAGTTGAAAGCATCCAGGCCTTAAAATGGCTCCTAATAGGGCTTTTCCTACTTCAAAAAGGACGGTCAGAGTATCTTGCCCAGTTGATTGTCCCTTTTGGGCCGAAAAGTCTAACACTTTTCAGAAAGAGTGTTAGGCTGCCCCTCAGGGAAGCCTGGGGAAGGCAAGCATCTGAACTGGCTTCCTTAAGGTTACACCTCATGAAGATTCCATTGTTCCTCAACTCCCCATATTTTAGACTACTTAAGTTGGAGAATTATTGAACATCTTGCAAAACCACAATTCATACAATGTTACAGGACAAGCAAAGTTAATGCAATAATAATAAGCTCAGCTCCCTCTTGATTTTTTTTTTTTTTTTTTTTTTGAGACAGAGTCTCACTCTGTCACCTAGGCTGGAATGCAGTGGCATGATCTCGACTCACTGAAACCTCCACCTCCTGGATTCAAGTGATTCTCCTGTCTCAGCCTCCCGAGTATCTGGGATTGGCTAATTATTGTATTTTTAGTAGAGACAGGGTTTCACCATGTTGGCCAGGCTGGTCTCTAAGTCCTGGCCTCATGATCCACCTGCCTCGGCCTCCCAAAGTGCTGGGATTACAGGCGAGAGCCACTGTGTCCAGCACCTCTTGAGTTTCAAGAAGATATAAGTAATTATGATAGATTAATATATTCTGCTGAGGACCCAAATAAAAACATGAAGGTTGGAAACTGAGGCAAGAATGCATCCCGTAGTTGTAGTCAGAAATCCTTCCTGTTGGTTTCTGCACAAAAAGTGCCTCTTTCAATTAACGTCCACATCAACAAAGCAGCAACTTTGTTGGGTTGGTTTTGTTGACATTAGTTTCAGTCACAAATGAAAATTCTTTGTTTTGTTCTAGTTGAAAACATATTATATCCCTATAGTTTCCAGAACTTTTTTTAATCAACAGAATGAAATTTTACAAAATTGTATTCTGACTTATCAATATGAATAAAACCAATGCTACATGTACCTGCACTATTGGATACAGGTCCTAAAGGAAGCAGCTGGATAAATTGTCCCATTTTAGTGCTCACATGATGAAACTGCCTGATACTTATCATTGGGATACTGCAGCATAACAACGAATAGAATGAGAAGACAGACAAAAGAGACTTTCCCAGTGTCAAGGTAACTGAATCAATATTTTCAGTTTGGTTCCCCTAATTGCCTAGGTTAGTACAGATAAAAGAGAAAAATATTAAGAAGCAATTAGGGAGAGTGAAATAAGCTATAAAGAAGATATACAGAAAAAATTTAAAGAAATCCAACATGATGTATAAATAAAATAGCCAAGACAATAAACATCATATAGTTCTCCTCAAAGAATCATGATTACTCTCATACCCACAATTATATGAGGAGGTGCTAGGTATTGGGTAGTAAAGACACACAAGAATAGTCCTGATCGATCCCATAAGCTCCTGGAATATATGCTGAGGACTTCAGCAACTTGGGAGTGCTCTAGGTGGTGCAATTATCCTCTGGCCATAATCCTTCATATTTACCCAAACGATTTGAAGACTTAGGTCCACACAAAAAGTTGCACATAGACGTTCGTAGCAGCTTTATTTAAAATTGCCAAAACTTGGAAGCAGGCAAGATGTCCTTAAGTCATGGTGGGTGGACAAATAAAGTGTGGTACATCCAGACAATGGAATGGTATTCAGAGCTAAAAAGAAATGAGCTGTTAAGCCATGAAAAGACAAGAAGGAAAGTTAAATGCATATTACTAAATGAAAGAGGCCAATGTGAAAAGACCACATACTGTGCTCTTCCAATTATAAGACATTCTGGAAAATTCAAAACTATGGAGACAGGAATAAGATCAGTGATTTCCAGGGGCTGGGGGAGAAGAAGGGATGAACAAGTGGAGCACAGAGGAATTTTAGGGCAGTGGAACTACTCTGTATGATACCATAATGATGGATACATGTCATTATACCTTGTCCAAACCCACAGAATGTACAACACCAAGAACCAAGAATGAGCACTAATATAAACTATGGACTCTGGATGACTATAATGCATCAATTTAGGTTCATAAATCATAACAACTGTACCACTGTGATGGAGGAAGTTGATAATGGGGGAAGCTATGCATGTGTGGGGGTTGGAGTATATGGAAAATCTCTTTACTTTCCCCTCAATTTTGCTGTGAACCTAAAACTATTCTTAAAAACTTAAGACTTAAATAGAGCAATCAACTGGGAATTAGTGAAGCCTGAAGGTTGTATGTGATATCAGCAAAGACAGATGCCTTAACAGAGAGGCCAGGGAAAGAGACAAAGATAAGGAAAAAAACAAATAGAAAAATGTCAGATATAAATACTACCTTCTTAGCATTTACATAAACTGTAAATGGAATAGACATACCAATTAAAGGGCAGATATGGGCTAAATAGATTTTTTAAATGTGATTCAACTGTATGCTGTCTACAAGAGCTTACTGCTGTCACATTAGATTAAAAGACCCAAATAGATTGAAAGGAAAAAGATGGAAAAAGGTAGACCACACAAATAGTAACAACAACAACAAAAAAAGAGCTGGAGTAACTATGCTAACATCAGACAAAACTGACCTTAAGACAAAAATTGTTTTTAGGGTCAAAGAAGGACATTTTATTATGATTTCATATAAATGAAATCAATAACAAATTCAGGGAGATAAATCAGCATCTACAGTTGCTAAAATACATTATCTAAAATTTCTAATTTTTTACAAAAATTATAAGATATGCAAAAAATAAAGGAAAGTGTGACCCCTGCTCTGGGGTAAAAACTGCCAATAGAAACTATCTGTGAGGGGAGCCTGGATGCTGAAGTTAGGAAAGACTTCAAAGCAGAATTTTAAATATGTTTAGAGAATTAAAGAATCATGCTTTAAAAATTGAAAAATGATAACAATGATGCATTAAGTAGAGAATATCACAAGGAAATAAAAATTATTTTTAAGACAACAGAATAGAAATTCTGGAATTGAACAATACAAGTGAAATAAAAAATTCACTTACATGAGGGACTCAATATAATATTTGAGATGACATAAAATTGAGATGACATAAAAATTACTCATCAAAAATTAAAATAGATCAATAGAAATTACTCAATCTGAAGAACATAGAAGAAAAAAGAATGAAGAAAAATGAATAAAGTGTCAAAACCTATGGGACGCAATCAAGCAAACCAACATGTCTGTAATAGGAATCCCAGAAAAGGAAGAGAATAATTTTTTTTAAAAAAAGAGAGAATAATATATGTGAAAAATAGTAACCAAAAACTATCCAAATACCCAAAATTAATTTCAAAATTAATCTAAAGATCTTAAAAGTTAAAACTTTCAAAAAACATACACGTAAGTAGGAGAAACACAAAAAGATCCACACCTAGATGCATAATAGTCACACTATTGAAAGACAAAGTAAAGCCTCAAAAGCAGTAACAGAAAAATGACTCAATGCGCATATAGGGGAAACAATGATTAACAGCTAATTTCTCATAAGAAGCAATGGAGACCCGAAGTCAGAATGACAGATTTGGACTGGTGAAAGAAAAAAAAACTATCAGGGATTCTATATAAGTGAAACAAAACTGTATTTTAAAAAGACAAAATAAAGGCATTCACACATAAACAAAGAGAGAATTTGTTTCCAAAAGATTTGCTTTACAAGATCTACTAAAGGAAATTCTTCAGGCTGACATCATGTGGCAACTTAAATCCATACAAAGAAGTAAAGAATTGTAGGAAAGATACACACAAACACACACACACACACACAAACTGACCCTCAAACATTGTGGGTTTTAGGGGCACCAGCCCCCTACAAAGTCGAAAATCCGTGTATAAATTTTGACTCCCCCAGATCTTAACTACTAACAGCCTACTATTGACTGGGAGCCTTACCAATAACATAAACAGTCAATTAACACATATTTCATTTTCTTTTGTTTTGATACATGGTCTTGCTCTGTCATCCAGGCTGGTGTGCAGTGGCACAATCGTGGCTCACTGCAGTCTCAACCTCCCAGGAGCATAGTGCTCCTCCCACATCAGCCTCCTGAGTAGCTGGGACTACAGGCATGCACCACCATGCCAGCTAATTTTTTAATATTTTTATAGAGATGAAGTCTCACTATGTTACCCAGGCTGGTCTCAAACTCCTGAAACATGTATTTTGTATGTTATATGTCTTATACACTGTATTCTTACAATAAAGTAAGCTACAGAAAAGAAAATGTTATTAAGACAATCATAAGAAACAAAAACTACATTTACAGTACTGTACTGTGTTTATCGATACCATAAGTTTACATCGTCTGTTTACAAGGTGAATCATCTGTCAGAAATAGTAGGCAACTGCAGCTGCAGACCGCAATCTATGGTACATATCAAGCAATCCAACTTTCTCCTGTAATGTTACGACCTTTCTCTGCTTCTTTAGAGCACTTCCAGCATCACTAATGGCACTTGCTATGGGTCCCATGTGTCATCCACGGTTTAAGCATTGCAGTAAACCAAGAAATACATGGGAATTGAGAGATCACTTTTTACTGCAATAGGCAATTTACTGAAGGGATTAACCACTCATGGAGATGATCAGCACCATATAGCATCTTAAGTAGATCCTCACTCACTGCAATGGCAACAGGAGGTGGCTGTGAAATTATTACAGTAGCACAGTATGTACCACAGTTAACTTTACACAGTTATGATTGAATCCTGCATCTTTACATTTGTTTACATTTCCCTTGGCTGTGAATGGTACCATGTACTGTCTGTGTTTGTGTAAGCTTTGATACATTTTAACTTTTTATAATAGATTTGTGTATATTTTATAGGAGTAAATAAGATAGACTAGTATCTACAAAAATTTTATGCATTCATGACATAGCTTTTGTGGTTTTTTGTTTGGGGTGTGTGTGTGTGTGTGTGTGTGTGTGTGTGTGTGTGTGTGTTTCTGTGTTTGTTTCTCCCATGTGCTTATTTTGGCCCCTGGCCACTCACAACCCACCATCATTTTTTTTTTAATAACTGGTTCAAAGGACAATTTTTTTAACTTTTAAGTCCAGGGGTACATGTGCAGGTTTATTATATAGGTAGACTCATGTCACAGGAGTTTGTTGTACAGATTATTTTGTCACCCAGGTATTAAGCCTAGCACCCATTACTTATTTTTCCTGATCCTCTCCCTCCTCCCACCTTTCATCCTCCAGTAGGCCCCAGTGTGTGTTGTTCCCCTCTTTGTGTCCATGTGTTCTCATCATTCAGCTCCCACTTATAAGTGAAAACATGTGGTATTTGGTTTTCTGTTCCTGTGTTAGTTTGCTAAAGGTAATGGCCTCTGGCTCCATCCATGTTTCTGCAAAAGATATTACCTCATTCTTTTTAATGGCTGCATAGTGTTCCATGGTGTATATGTTTATACATATACTTTACTTTATCCAGTCTACCACTTTATCCACTTTTCTTTATCCAGTCTACCACTGAAGGACATTTAGATCAATTCCATATCTTTGCTATGGTGAATAATGCTGCAATGAACACACATGTGCATATGTCTTTACAGTACAAGAATTTATATTCTTTTTTTATATATACCCAGTAATGGGATTTCCTGAGTCAAATGGCAATTCAGTTTTTTAGCTCTTTAGCTCTTTAAGGAATCACCACACTGCTTTCTACAATGGTTGAACTAATTTACACTCCTGCCAGCAGTGTATAAGTGATCTCTTTTCTCTGCAACTTCATTAGCATGTGTTATTTGTTGACTCTTTAATAATAGCTATATGACTGGTGTGAGATGGCATTGCATTGTAGTTTTGATATACATTTTTCTAATGATAGGTGATATTGAGCTTTTATCATACACTTATTGGCTGCGTGTATGTCTTCTTTTGAAAGCATTCATGTCCTTTGCTCACTTTTTAGTGCAGCTGTTTGGTTTCTTTTTCTTGTAAATTTGTTTAAGTTCCTTATAGACTTTGGTTCCTATTAGACCTTTGTCAGAGATGCATAATTTGCTAAATTTTTTTCCCATTCTGTAGATTGTTTACTCTGTTGATAGTTCCTTTTGCTGTGCAGAAGCTCTTTAGTTTAATAGATCCCATTT
This sequence comes from Homo sapiens, assembly GCF_000001405.40. NCBI lineage: Eukaryota > Metazoa > Chordata > Mammalia > Primates > Hominidae > Homo > Homo sapiens. Next base: position 58,164 of record NW_011332701.1, read on the forward strand.
GTCAATTTTTGTTTTTGTTGCAATTGCTTTTGGCACCTTTGTCATAAAATCTTTTCCCGTGCCTATGTGCAGAATGGTATTGCCTAGATTGTCTTCCAGGGTTTTATAGTTTGGGGTTTACGTTTAAGTCTTTAATCCAACTTGAGTTGATTTTTGTATATGGTATAAGGAAGGGGTCCGATTTCAATCTTCTGCATGTGGGTAGCCAGTTCTCCCAGCACCATTTATTGAGTAGAGACTGCCTGCCCCACTGCTTGTTTTGGTCAGCTTTGTCGAAGATCAGATGGTCATAGGTGTACAGCCTTATTTCTGGGCTCTCTGTTCTGTTCCATTGGTCTATGTGACATACCTAACTTTGACTTAATTTTTTTCAATATTTCTAAGCTATGCAGTTCATCTGTGTTTTTTCAAATTATCACAAATCTCCAAAAAAAATTCCCATACATTTATTGAAAAAGATCTCCATATAAGTAGACCCATGCAGTTCAAATCCATGTTGTTCAAGGGTCAATTGTATGTCTTTTTTTTATCATTTTTCTTTTTTCTCTTAATATAAAATACATTGCACAAAATAATTGAAATGATAAAACTATTATATATGTTAGGCATATAACGTAGAAGTACAACATACGTGACCATCAAAGCACAAACAAGGGAGGACAAATGGAGCTCTACTGGAACACAATGTCTGTATTTTCCACGAGATAAGTTAGTATTAATCCAGCACAGATCATATTAAACTAAGATGTACAGTTTAACCCTTAGAGCAATCAATAATAAAATAACTCAAAAACACAGTTTTAAAAATAGAAACAAAGAAGAGAATTAGTATACAATAAAATGTAATTTAACACAGTAAGAAAGCAGTAAAAGATAAAGAGAGGAAAAAAGATATGAGATATAGTGAAAATAGCAAAGTAGCAGACGTGAAGCCAAGCGTATGAATAAGTATTAAATGGGGGTGGATTGAATATTTCAATTAAAATGTAGAAATTGTCAGGCTAGATTTTATCATTTTTAAAATGATAAGTCATGCAAACAGTAAACAAAAGTGGGCTGAAGTGGCTATACCAGTATCAGGCAAATAGACCCTAAGACAAAAACATTACCAGAGAAAAAGAGACATTTAGTAATGATAAAGTTCAATTCATTTGGATGATGTAATAATTATAAAAGTATATACACTTAACAACCGATCCTCAAGATACATGAAGCAAAAGCTGACATACTTGAAAGGAAAAATACCCAATCCAACAAAATAGTTGAAGACTGCAATACCCCACTCTCAATAACTGATAGAACAGTTTCACAGAATATCACTAATAATGTGCAAGAGACAAACAGAACTGTTAACAAGCAAGACAAATCTAACACTGATAGAATGCTCCACAAAACAGCAGCAGAATACACATCACAAGTAGAATATTCTCCAAGACAGATCAAATGCTAGACCGTAAAACAAGTCTTAATAAAATTAAAAGGACTGCAATTGTGCAATGTATGTCCTGTGACCACAACTGAATTAAATTAAAAGTCAAAAACATAAAGAAACATGGGCAATCCACAAATATTTGGAGCCTTCAAAACATACTTTGAAATAACCCATAAGTCAAAAAAAGAAATTATATGGAAAATTAGAAAATATTTCTAGCTTAATGAAAATGAAAGCACGTTACATGTTAAATTGAAGAAATGCAAAGAAGTGGTGCTGGGGGCATGGTTTGAGGAGTAGTATCTTTCTGTGTTAGTAAACCTTTCTGTTTGAGGAGGACACAAATTTATAAATGAAGTCTCAAGATTTTGTGAGTAATTTTGTAACAACAATTGTAATGGAAACAATACATATTACTGATGTAGTCTTTTCCGTGATAACGGAAATGTTACTCAAATATCACACAAAATGAAACAGATCATCAAGGTCACACTACCTCCTAAACTTGCTGTTATAAGTAATTTAGCTCCAAACTCAACTTATAGTAAATTATATTTTATAGAAAATGAAATTAGAATGAGTTTACAAACCACAAAGATAATTCAAGAAAAAAAACAAATACGCAGTGCTGTCAGAAATCTCTCAGTGGCTAAGGTAAAGCTGGTTAACTTAAAATAGTCCAATTACAACCTTCATTGTTTTCCACTTAGAGAATATAAGGAAAGATTAATAGATGTAGGCTTTCTTCATTCACCAAATAAAACATGAAATACAAAAATCAGGTAAAATGCCATATGGCAAAAGTTCTAAAATCTTACCTCCATCAGAACAAAGAGCGCTGCAAAAAACAGAAGGGTTGCCCATTCCACTCTGTGTAGAATTATCTCAAAATCATGAATATCAGCTAAAATTAGCAACCAGATGGCACCCAGAATAGCAATCCATCCTGAAAATAAGTAAATAGACATAGAGATATAGTTCCACTGTTAACACACCGATTCATTTCTTTAACCTCTGGTTGCCTTTTTCTTTATCAAGAATAATTGTCATACTACAAACCGCATATATGTAAAATGCATATAATTTCTATTTGGTTATGTGTATACTCATGAAACCAACACTGTAATCAAGATAATGAACATGCCCATTGACCCACAAGTTTATTCATGCCTATGTTCTTGTACCTCCTCTAGCTCCTCTTGTCAACCCCCACACTCCCAGTAAACCATTCATCTCTTTTCTTTCACTATAGATTGGCTTAAATTTTCTATAAATGCAGGTTTTCTGTAAATTGCACCATAGTTTTTTGTTGTTGTTGTTTTGGGGGCCTTTTTGAGACACAGTTTTGCTCTGTCACCCAGGCTGGGCTGCAGTTCAGCTCACTGCAACCTCCACCTCCCAGGCTCAAGCTGGGGAGCCTCAGCTTCCCAAGTAGCTGGGATTACAGTCATGCACCACCACACCCAGTTAACTTTTTCTATTTTTAGTAGAGATGAGGTTTCACTATGTTGACCAGGCTGGTCTCACACTCTTGCCCTCAAGTGATCCGCCCACCTCAGACTCCCAAACTGCTGGGATTACAGGCATAAGCCACCATGCCCCACCTGTTGTATTTTTTGTCTGACTGTTTCTCAATAGACAGATCATCCAGACAAAAAAATTAATATTCAGCATAATCATGTTAAGATCCTTCACTGTTGGCCGGGCCCGATGGCTCACGCCTGTAATCCCAGCACTTTGGCAGGCCCAGGCAGGCAGATCACCTGAGGTCAGGAGTTCGAGACCATCCTGACCAACATGGAGAAACCCCGTCTCTACTAAAAATACAAAATTAGCTGGATGTGGTAGCACATGCCTGTAATCCCAGCTACTTGGGAGGCTGAGGCAGGAGAATTGCTTGAACCTGGGAGGCAGAGGTTGTGGTGAGCCGAGATCACGCCATTGCACTCCAGCCTGGGCAATGAGAGCCAAACTCCATCTCAAAAACAAAAAAAAGATCCTTCGCTGTTGGTGTGTGAGTCAGTAGTTCATCTTTTTTAATGTGTAGTAGTATGCTAGTGTGTGGCTATATTACAATGTACATACCATTCACCTATTGATGGACACATGGATTGTTTCCAGTGTCTGGCTATTTCAAATAAACATGCTATGAACATTCATATACAAGTTTTTGTATGTACACATGCTTTCAGTTCTCTTGGCTAAATACCTAGGAATGAGATGGTTGGATATATGATAGCTTAATACTATGCAATGTTATATGCAACATTTATGCTTTAGGAAACTGCAAAACTATTTTCCAAAATAATTTTATCATTTTACAATCCCACCAGCAGTGGATGAGAATTCCAGTTCTTCCACATCTTCACCAACATTTGATCAGCCTTTCTGATTTTAGACATTCCAATGGTTGTGTAGTGGGATCTTACTGTGGTTTCCAATTGCATTTTTCTCATGACTAATGACTTTGAGCATCTTTTTTTTTTTTTTTTTTTTTTTTTGAGATGGAGTCTTACTCTGTGGCCCAGGCTGGAGTGCAGTGGTGCAATCTCAGCTCACTGCAACCTCCATCTCTCAGATTCAAGTGATGTTCCTGCCTCAGCCTCCCGAGTAGCTGGGATTACAAGTGTGCACCACCATGCCCAGCTAATTTTTGTATTTTCAGTAGAGATGGGGTTTCACCATGTTGGCCAGGCTGGTCACGAACTCCTGACCTCAAGTGATCCACCCACCTTGACTTCCCAAAGCGCTGGAATTACAGGCATGAGCCACCATGCCCAGCCAACACTGAGCATCTTTTACTTACTTGACATCCATATATCTTCTTTCATAAAGTTTTTGTTTAATTGTTCTGGTTATATTTTTCCTTACTGGTTAGAGCAAATGAAACCCAAAATAAGTAGAAGAAAAGAAATAATAAAGACTGGAGTAGAAATCAATGAAATAGAAAATGGAAAAAATGTTAGAGAAAAGCAATGATACCAAAACTGGCTTCTTTCAAAAGCTCAGTAAGATCAGTCAACTTTTAGCCAATCTGAATAGAGCAAGTGAGAAAACAAAATTTCCAGTATCAAGAAGAAGATCAGTGGCATGACTATAGATGCTATAGATATAAAAAGGTGTACTAGTTTTCAATTATATCATGATTTTCATAGGTCAGAGGATGCTGGTTCACAGCAGGATGTCTGCTTAGAGTCTCATGAAGTCACAGCCACAGTGTTGGCAGGGCTGCGTTCCTGTCTGGAGGCTCTAGGGGAGGATTTGTTTCTCTGCTCATTCAGGTGTTGACATAATCCAGTTCCCTGCAGCTGTAAGACTGAGGCCCCTGTTTCCTTACTGGCTGTCACCCAAAAGCTGTGCTGAGCTTCCAGAGGCACCCACATTCCCAGCCTCATGCCTCCATTCCTCCATCTTCAAAGTCAGCAATGTCCCTCTCACACTTCAAATCTCTCCTGCCTCTTCTTCTGTCACAGCTCTCTAACTGGCTCTTCTATCTTTCACTTTATTTTTAAGGGCCCTTATGATTACATTGGATCTACCTGGATAATCCAGAAAAATCTCCCTTTATGGAGGTTTATAACCTAAATCCACCTGCAAAGTTCCTTGGCTATGTAATATAACATATATGGCCATTAATATCAGGGACTACAGGGTGGACTCCTTTGAAGCAGAGAGGTATGTACGAATTAATTTGGGGAAAATTAACATTTTAACAATATAGGGGCTTCTGATCTATAAACACAATATATAGCTCCAATTATTTATGTCTTCTTTCATTTTTCCTAAGAATGTTTTGTATAAATCCCAGCACTCTTTTGTGTAGAAATTAACAAACTGATTCTAAAATTCACATAAGAATGCAAAGGACTAGAATAACCAATGCAACTTTTATAAAAAAATAAAAAAGAACAAGGTTTGAGAATATACTTTATCTCACCTCAAGATTTATTATAAAGCAACAACAATAAAAACAATGTGATATTGCATCAAAATAAATTGATCAATGGAGAATCCAAAAATATACCCATATATTTATGGTCAATTGATTTTTTTGCAAAGATTCAATGGTGGTTTAATACAGAAGGAGAAGTCTTTTCCACATATGGTGCTGGAACAGTTGGATATCCACATGCAAAAGAACTTTTACTTTGATCTGCTCACTAATCATATACGAAATTTAATACAAATGGATTATAGGTCTGAATGTAAAACACAACTATAAAACTTCTGGAAGAAAATATAGGAAAAAATCTCTGACCCTGAGTTAAAGGTTTTCTTAGACATAACAGTAAAAACATAATATATGAAAAGAAAAAAATCATATTAATTGGACTTTATCAAAATTATGAATTCCTGTTTTTCAAAGGGCACTGTTAAGTTAAAGTAGAGAAATGCCACAAACTGGGAGAAAATATTTCCAAATCATCTATCTGATAAAAGACTAATATCTAGAATATATATATATAAATTTTTAATTCTCAAATTCAACAAGTAAACAACACAATTCAAATGGGAAATATTTTAAACAGACACTTCAACAAAGAAGACATAAGATTGACAAATGATTACATGAAAAGATGGTCAAATATCACTAGCCATTAGGGAAACGTGGAGTAAAACCACAATGACATTTCACTATCTACCTTAGAATGTGTAAAATCAAAAACACTGACTAAAGTAAATGTTGACAAGGAGATGAAGGAACAGGAACTTTCAAGCACTGCTGGTGGGAGTGTAAAATGGTTCAACCATTCCGGAAAACAGCGTGGCAGTTTTTAAAAACATGATCCATACACCTACCAATATGAACCCACCATTCCACTTTCAAGTATTTACCCAAGAGAAATTAAAGCATAAGGTAACACAAAGAATTGAACACGATGTTTGCTGTAGTCTTAGTTTTGATGGTCAAGAACTGGAAACAATTCAAATATCCATCAACAGGTGAATGTGTGTACAAAAAGATGGTGTAATACTCAAACCATGGAATACTACTCAGTAATAACAGGAATGAATTATTGATGTATGCTACCACATGGATGAATCTCATAATAATTATGCTGAATGAAAGAAGCCAGACCAAATATACATATATACCATTTTTAATATAAAGTTCTAGAAAATTTAAATAGCAGGGTTTGACAAGCTATAGTCCATGGGTCAAATCTGACCCCCTGCTTGTTTCTATAAATATAATCTTATTGAAATACATCCACAGCCACCCATTTACATACTTTCTATGACTGCTTTACCACAACCCAGTCATTTAGTATTTGTGAGAGAGAGTGTCTGGCTAAAAAGCCTCAAGTATTTTCTATCTACTCTTTTATGGAAAAGCTTGCCAACTCTTAATCTACAGTGACAGAAAACAGGTCAGAGACTGCCTGAGGATGGAGGTGCTGGGAGGTCAGGAGTAAGCGAGTATCAAGAGGCTCAAGGAGCTCCTCAGTGTGGTGACTGAGCCAGGCTCTTCATCAGGGCAGGGGTCTGACACTTCATCTCTAAACACTCTGATTCCAACTCTAAGGTTCACTGAATTTTCTTAGAATATTTTTTGCTGTCTCCAGTAAACACTGTAGACAAGATGTGCTTAGAACACTAAAAGTTCAAAGAACTGGGGCATCATCAAATTAGCCAAACACGTTGCACAAACTGACATATGCCTGCTCACAACTAAATATGGATCTGATTGATAGTTATGTGTGTGACTTTCATTATAAGCACTACAGAGCTAGCCATCTCCCACTTTCAAGAGTTAGAGACTACAGTTAGGGTCCACCAAAAGATAAAGGAGTTCTCCAAGACCAGAGTGGATCAGGCCGGCTTGCAACTAGGAGAAACAGAATACTATTCAGTTTAAAAACAAAACAAAACAAAAAAAGTACTAAGATCTCAATTGTTTACGTATTTGAGGGGAAAAAAAAATCTCTTAAATAAGAATTACCTGGATGGATAACGTATCCTTTTAAACAGTTCTTGACAATTCTATACCTTGCATTTTATTTTATCTATTTATTTATTTATTTTTCTTTTTAATTTTTTTGAGATGGAGTTTTGCTCTTGTCGCCCAGGCTGGAGTGCAGTGGCACAATCTTGGCTCACTGCAACCTTTGCCTCCCAGGTTCAAGTGATTCTCCTGCCTCAGCCTCCTGAGTAGCTGGGATTACAGGTGCCTGCCACCACACCTGGCTAATTTTTTGTATTTTTAGCAGAGACGGGGTTTCACCATGTTGGCCAGGCTGGTCTCAAACTCCTGACCTCAGGTGATCCACCAGCCTCAGCCTCCCAAAGTGCTAGGATTACAGGCGTGAGCCACCACGCCCAGCCTGTACCTTGCATTTAAAAAAAAAAACAAAAATGATCTGTTCTTATTTTCTCAAATTATTTCTATTACTCTTACTCTACCTTCAAGGGCTTAAATATAGATTATTTTCTGGAAAACAATGACAGTTATTGAATACGATGTATAGAATTTGAAGAGGTATCCAAACTACCCTTTTGTCTCCTACGGTTCCTCCTGCTTTCCAAAGTATACCCACTTGTCTACTTTTGCAAGACCACTGTCTCACAATATCAGGAAACACTCCTGTTCATCTGGTCCTCACTGAATGTCCCCTAAATCCAAATTGTTCTGTATGCCACTTTTGGAAACCTGCTCTGTACCTGCCTCTGAGCTTAAGGGATACAGATGGGAATGTAAGCAAGGCACCACTTTGAATTCCAAGGGCCTCGCCGTCCAGTGGAGAACACATGTATGTAAATAACGTTATACTTAATGCAATACTATAGGTAGATGTGAACCACTGGAGAGCACCCAGAAAAAAATAACAATATATGGGGACTGAGAGAAGGTTCCACAAAGGAGGTGAACCCTGCTCCCTGGTTCAGGTAGAGAAGAGCAGCATTATTCACAAACTATTGTGAATGTCTGTTCTAACCTGGCTGGAGGGTAGCTGAGGCACTGAAGCAAGGCATTCATCTGTTTCACCTAAGGCAGAACTTAGGCCAGGAAAATGGCAGGCATTGTTCAAAATCACTGCAAGCCAAACCACAGATGCCTGGGGAAAAGACAAGCATGTAATGCGCCACCTGAGGAATAGGAGCAAAATCTGGGGAGAGTTTCTTTGTGAAACTGAGATATTCAAAAACAAACATGGGGCGGGGCAGGGCAGAGCTAGGGGGCGGTGGGGGCAGGCAGAGATAAGGAAAGCCACCTGCATGCCTAGGGAAAGGCCCATGCTCAGAAAAGACTGGAGAATTCCCAAAACTTTCAGCTTGTGCTGATGCCTAGTCTCAGTGCAAGCCTGGCTAAGTTTTGAAGGAGGGTTCTAGCACAGAGCCAATCTATAAAACAGGAAGAGGTATTTTTGTTGTGGTGGTTTGTTTGCTTTTAGCTCCTGGAATTCAAATCAATCTGTGTCAAAACACTAGCCGAACACAGTAAGCAATCACTAAGGAACAGAGATTCCAGTGACCATACATGACAAGGAATACAGTCTTTTCAAAAATAGTTTGGAAATGTCACAAAACAAACAAGACTACTACAGCCTTCGATTATAAAAAATAATAATAATAACCCCGGGGAAGGGAGTGAAACTGATTTCCAGATTTACCACAATATAATATTCAAATGTTCAGTGTTCAACCAAAAATAAATCACAAGGCATAGAAAAAAAAAACAGGCTAATGGAATAGAATATAGAGCCCCGAAATAAACACGTATGCTTATGGTCAAATGATCTTTGATGAGAATGCCAAGACTACTCAATCGCAGTCTGTTTAACAAATGGTGTTGAGGAAACTGGATATCTGCATGCAAAAGAATAAAGTTGGACCCTTATCTTACACCATATACAGAAACTAATTCAAAATCGATTAGAGACCTAAACATAAAGTCTAAAACTATAAAACTCCTAAAAGAAAACATGGAGGAAAATATTCAGTATATTGGACTTGGCAGTGATTTCTAGGCTATGACAGCAAAAGTGAAAAAAAGCAGAAATAAACAAATGTGATTACATTAAACAGACAGAAGGTAGATTAAGAGATTACCAGGGGTGGGCAGGGTGGGAGGTGAAATGGAGTCATTGCTTAATGATTATAGGGTTTCTTCTTGGGGTTAATGAAATGTTTTGGAGATAACGGTAATGGTGATTGTCACGCGTGTCCGTATGAAGAGACCACCAAACAGGCTTTGTGTGAGCAATAAAGCTTTTTAATCACCTGGGTGCAGGCGAGCTGAGTTCGAAAAGAGAGTCAGCGAAGGGAGTTAGGGATGGGGCAGTTTTATAGGACTGGGGTAAGCAGTGGAAAGTTACAGTTAAAGGGGGTTTTTCTCTTGCAGGCCAGGGCGGGAGTCACAACGTGCATGCTGGAGAGAACATAAGACTCATTGTCCAGAAGAAGAATGTCATGAGGTCGATGGATCCATCAGTTGGGACAGCGCAGGAACAAGTCATAGCGGAATGTTGTAAGGTTGGTCAATCAATTAAGACAAGAGCTGGCTGTTTCACTTCTTTTGTACTTTTCAGTTGCCTCAGGCTATCTGGTGCAGCCTTGTGCTCAGAGGCCTGACAGTGATGTAATTAATGCCACTGAGTTGTACAATTAAAAATAGTTAAAATGACAAGTTGTATGTGTTATATACATATCACATATGTATTTGATATATACATAACACATATATGTATATATCACATATGGATATATACATATCTATATACATATACATATCACATACTTTATATGCATACACAATTTTATGTGATATACATATATATCACACAAGCCTTGCCATTTTAACCATATATTTTTTTAAGCATATGATATATTATTTTTCTTACTACAACAGCAACATTTTAAAAAGGAAGATGGGGTTGGGAAGGACATTGTCATTTAGCATGTGAAGGGCAGACCATGTTTTATATCATGCAAAAATGTTGGGACCCCAGTCTTAGACAGGGAGAAGTCAATGAGATTTCTCAGCAAAGAGGCTGCAGTGGCCTAATTTCTACTTATGTTAGCTTTGTCTCCTAACCAGAATGTTACTTTTCTTTGAATTCTCCAGGGCACGTACCACACAGTTCAGAAGACAAACAGACACTTGCTTATCTGATCATCACATCTGATGGTGATTCCTTCACCGCTCCTCTAACACAGATCACCACATCTTTTCTTTAAATTCTCAGTAAGAAATAATTGCTCCAATTTCACTTCTCCTGGGTAAAGCTTTTTGACCCCAGAAATGGCATCCCTTGTTTTCTCTGCTATATAGCAATAAGAAGCTCTCTCTAAAAGTCAGTAAGAACACAAGTTCTTTTCCATGATTCTGAGAGAAATTTCAGTCATGACAAAAAGCTGGAAGGTCCTTTAGGGCTCTTTTTATAGTTCTGCTTTCTCTTATCAATTGTGGAGGCCTGAGCTTTCCTCCAGCCAAAACTCCTGCTATAGCACTCATCCATCCAACTTCAGAAAGTTTCCATAGTCACGGAGATTTGTCTTGTTAGAAAAATTCCCTGCAATAGCCTACAATCGAATGAAGACCTTGTCCCTGCAAAACCTCAATTCCCTCTTACTTTTAATCGCACTGCCTGCAGAGCCAGCGGCACTAATCAGGCTGCCGGTGCATAAGCTCGTCTGCTTGGTATTGCCTGGTCCTGCTCTGAGTCCAGACCACACTTTCCACTGCAGCCCCGGTCCCTGTGAGCAATGCTCCAGGCTGCTCTGCTCAGCACCGGCTCCTCAGGGACACTGACAAAGGGTGAGGCAGTGGTTCTTCCACAGTGTACTGGAAGCAAAAGCCACTGACGGAAACATCCCAGTTTCCAGCTTCACATTCTATTACAAATTCTAACAATGTGTCATTGAGACTCTTTTCCTAAAAATTAAAAATGCAGTTGAGTGGAGATGAATACAGATAAAAAGTACCATTTACGTGACCTGTCTTTATCCTGTGGAGCTTCTATCAAACGCTTTCCTCGAGTGGGCATTAATCTCTCACCAAGAGCTTTGCCATTTCTCAACTCAAAAAATCTGAGATAAGTGGCTCTGTACTTTCATTTGTGTCTCCAACAGAGTCAAGTTTCTATGCCGAACAAATAGCTAAAGGAGCCTCTTTTCCCTCATTCCTAAAGCCCTGGGCAACATGATTCAAAGGAAAGTAGGAAAGGGCTTTCACCAGTCCCCCAGCAGCCTCCTCCGCACAGGCATTTGCTGGGCATCTCTCAGCACCCCAGCCCAGGGGGAAACTGAGGCTCCCGAAGATGGACTGGTTTTCTCCAGGCTGCACAGCTTGCTGGGGTGAAGCCAGGATTCAATCCCCAGTCTGCAAGAATTTCCTTCCATGCTGCCACGTTATATTCCTCTGATATGCTCAGGCTTCTGATGGAATGATTTTGCTAATTATGAACAGATCTGGTTTATTTATTTCAAATCTCTTGTCACAGTGTGATTGGATGAATATACTGAGAAATGTAACTTAATTTTGTTCTATTTGAAACCTTGTCATCTTTTATAAAAGATATACTGTACAGTTCCTTGCCCTGGACATTGTGTAACTGACTTTGACCAAAGGCAGTACTGTCCTGATCAATTAAGATGAACTAACCTATGTACCTTGAGGCACACAGGATGCATCTCCAGAGAGTATCTCAACAGTTACTCATCTCATATTCATCCTTCCAAACAGGAAAACCCACAGATGGACTGTGCATACCATATACAGTACAAACCACCCTGCCTGCCACCCTTTCATGAAGTACTACATGAGTACTGGCCATCAACTGCCTGAAATAGACCAAGTAAGATCACAAATAATCAAGGACTTTCTGTTGCACAGCTACACTGTGGTTGTTCCTTGGGTAATTCTAGCTCTCTCACTTACCCAAGCACTCAACCTCCAGGGTGCAAACCCAGTGCTTCCTTGTGGGGAGCACCCACTCCACAGTTGGGTGGGTGAGTAGGACAGGGCACATGGGATGAGCTGGCTTAGAAAGTCAGAAGGAGCCGAGTGACCAGGGGGTTAAGGTCTATTATAGCACCATGCATCAGGCAGTTGCTATGGCAGCAGAAGGAGGGAGCACCTAACTACTTACTCAATTATCATGTAGACTGCACAGGCTTTCTCTCAAGAGAAAACTCCCATTCTTTCTAGTTTCCCTTTAAAATCCAGCAAAAGAAAGACCATTTTTTATAATCTTCGTGTCTTCCTGCACTGCTTGGCCATCAGCCTGAACTGTTTGTTCATATCTCATGCAATCGTGCACCAGGCACTGCTCTTCAGGCCTGTGTGTATTACCTGATTCAATCCTCACAGCAATTTTAAAGCCTAGCTCCAACACTCAGTGGCTCTTATGGGCACCTGCTGTGTGCTGCAGGACACAGGCTTAGAACCAGGAAGATTGAGCTCCAGATCTGCCCTCTCCCTCCTAGACCCAGAAAGTGGCTGTGACTGCCCAAGATACCCGCTGTAGCTGCAACACCAAAGCTCGGAGTGAAGCTAATGGCTTCCATTCAACACCTGGAAGCTTCTGCGTGGTTTCCAATCTGGCTTAGGAAATGCCTCAATTACATCAAGTGAGTCATTTAAAAGAGTTGAGGTTGGAAAGAATAAAGATTATTCTATTTCTGAGCATTTTGCCTCAAATAAAGATTTCCACCAATACAGACAGGCCAGTGGCGGGGGAGGGGACGCTGCTGACTTTCCCCTCCCTCTCTCTTCACCGTCCCCCCACATTCTCTGCCCCAGAGGCTGAATTGTGCAGACCACATCAAAAGGTTTCATGACCGAGGATGCCAGTCAGGCTCTGCCCTTCACAACCAGAGAGTAAATGTGCCTGTTTCTGAGTTCTTCATAAATGGAATCATATAGCATATACTCTTTTCTGTCAGATTTTTCTTTTGGCCAACACATTTGTGAGATCCAGTCATGTAATACGTTCATTTTTTATTTCTGTATAGTATTCCACTATATGACTCTCCCACCATTTGTCCGTTCTAGGGGTTGATATTTGAGTTGTTTCCAGTTTGGGGCTATTATAAATAGGCTGCTATGAGCATTTTCAGAGAGTCTTTTGGTGTGCAAATGTACATATTTTTGTTGGGCATACCACTGTGAACAAAATTACTAAGCAGAAGATATACATTGTTCTAAACTTTAGTAGATGCTGTCAAATCATTTTCAAAAGTCATTGTACAAATTTACAATCTTATCAGCAATGCATGACACTTCCTACTGCTCCACAATCTTTCAGCACTCAGTACTGTCAGTCTTTTTTTCTAACCATTTAGGTGTGCATATAATGGCATCTCGTTGTGGTTAAATTTTGCATTTTACTCATGACTTACAAGGTTGAACACCTTCTCATATGCTTACTAATACTTTCAGTAATTTCAATATCTTCTTCTGTGAAGTGTCTACTTAAGATTCCGTCCATTTTTCTATTGGGGGGTTCTGTCTTTTCTTATTGCTCTATAGATGTTCTTTTTATATTTTAGATATAATTTCCAAATGTGACAATGGATGCTTTTGCACACACTTTTTTCACTCTGTGGCTTCTTGTTCACTCATTTAGTAGTACACTTTGAGACATAAGTTCCTAATTTTAAGATAGTCAAAGTTATCAACCTAATCTTTTACCATTAGCACTTTTCATATCCAATTTAAAAAGCTGAGTCACAAATATAAATAAGAAAATGATGGGCCAGCTTACCCTAGTGATTGCATGTTATGCATGAATAGACTGTAAGGTATGTTGGTAAGTTATTGCTGCAATAAAGCTACATAACAAAAAAAGGAGTTGAGTCACATGGAGATGTTTGATGACATAATATGATGTGATGAAGACACTCAGCAGGATCCCTATTTTACAGAGGCCACTGAACCTTACATAGATTAGGTCCTCTTAAACCAAATGGGCACGTTGGGGAGGGAAGTGCATGTAGCTGTGCAGGAGGGGAAGAAGATACACACCTGCCTCAGCTTACGTGCCACCTAAGATCTGATGAGGGTCAGGAGGTAGCTAAGCATCCACCCTGTCTCACCAGGCGGCATTCTAGCCCTTCTGCCCACAACTTGCAGAGGCAAGACTCCAGGCTCATTGCTCACTAGACCAAGTGGGCTGATTCCAGCTTTTCATCAGCAAAAGTGTTTCAATGTATGCATTCCACCCCACTTCCAAAAATGGAAGGGAGAAAATTGTGATGGCAGGGTCAGGGAATGGTACAGCCCTACAAATATGCCATTAGAAGGCAGTAACTAAAACTTTCAGGACACTCAAGGGTTACTGTGCTTAGAGGCTGGTAAGTTTCACCAAATATGAAGACCTCTAATGAGAACACACAGACACAGACACAGAGGCAGGATTTTTGTCCTTGATAAACACAAGTACCAGTTACCCAGGCTGTCCCCTGAATGCCAGCTCATTCACATTCTAAAGCACTCACATTGTCAGAGAAAGACAGTGGCAGGCTGAGCTCCCGGGATGGACTGAGAGACAGCTGCATCGATGCACATGCCCTGAGCACACTCAAGTATGGTCTCTGTGGCCTTGGGAGTGGCGGACTGGACTGAGCTCTGCCCCGAGGACTGCACAGGCTCATGGAGAAGACAGCTCACATACAACTGCCGTGATGGACCTGTGACGGCTATGCTAGCCTCACACACCAAGGTACCATAGGGGTCTCTCAGCTAAATCCATACGCTTGCTGAGGCCATGGGGGAACCAACCAGAGCTTAACTGAACATTGGAGCTCTTCTGTGGTCTCAAGCATCTTTGAAACATGTTGAAAATCAAACAGGCTCTGAGGAGCTTCATATTCTTGACTGTTAAAACTCATGTGAACTAGAACATCTATGACAAACTCATAAAAATGTCAGCAAGAAAGGAAGGCATCATAGCTGTTTTCTTAACTTACTTTTATTTTCACTATTTTAGGTCTCAATATCAAATGATTTTCTAACCTCTACTTTTAAAAAATTAATTGAAATGTTGGCCATGTTTATGATGAGTATTATTCACCACTCCAAACAAGACTCTGCTAACATTTGTACTCAATTTCTGGTACCCTCGGGGCCTATTAAATGCAGTGATATGTAAAATATGAATATTATGCTCCCTAGATATCATGAAGGAGTAGAATTAAAATTGTGAGTGCTTAAAATGATGTCATCTCATTGTGGTTAAATTCTGCATTTTACTGATGACTTACGAGGTTGAGCACCTTTTCATATGCTCATTTATTCATTAAAATGAGTAATCCTTACACAAGAATAACTAAGCATAAAGAAATAATGCTAAATGCAGTTAAGAATTCTCATTTTGCACTTGTGCATTTGGGCTTTGTTAAAGAATCAGGTTCGTTATCACAGAGGCAGGTCAGTGCTGCAGGTGCATTAGACACGGTCAGGAATCGTGCCTCATTCACAGGTATCCCTGGTGCCTCTCACAGTGAGGAGTGGGTAAAAACACACTCAAAAATAACGAATCAACAAGTGAATGAACAAGCAGCTAAAGTATCTGCATTAAACACGGAATGCAAATTCTCAGAATGCCACACAACTTGGATCTTCTTGTAGCAAGTAACGTTTACTCCTCATTGCAGGTTTTCCTGTGGTCCTCGGGAACCACCCAGGTCACTGACTGCACAACTGCAGTGAGCTGCATTCCATGTGGATGGAGCCTGGAGAGGCGGGCCACAGAGCAGCCTGACCCTGAGAAACACACCCAGCTCTTCTTGGACATCACACAGCTTTGCCGTTGGGACTGAACCCCCTTTCTTCTCAGGCTCCTCAAAATCCAAATAGAATGCATTTCTGATTGATACATTCCATGCTCACCAGCATCCAAGCAGATTTTAGTCACCCCCACTGGTGGGCCACTATGTAATATTCTAAAGTACCAGATAAAACATCATATCATGTAAAACCCTTAACAAATCGTGTAGGAGGTGTTTTGTGTATCGGTTCACTAGTAGCTTGTCAGAGCTCCCCACACCTGTCACTCTTCTCCCTACTGGACCCCCAGAAAGGTTTCCAGCCCTGTAGTTAGGTGAAGCCACAAGACCAACCCGGCCATTGGGCCATGAGCAAATGAGACACACATTCCTAGCCTGGCATTTACAGGCAGCTGTCAGTTCTATCCCCTGTCTCTTCCTTGCCAAGATGATCCTGAAAGCTGCTGTTTCTATGGTGGCATCACAAAACGCCAGTGTCTCTGTCCAGCAGGGACCCTACTGACCAGCACTAAAGATGTCACCAAGAAAAAGTGTGGTTGTGTCAAGCTTCCAAGACAGCAGGGCCAGTGTTTCACTCAGCAAAGCCTATCCTATCCTGATACATCCGGCACAAGAAAATATCAAATGGATAGGCTATATGTCATCTGGTCTGTTTGCAAACGTTGAAAGAAAAATTAGGTCAGTCATGTTTGCAGTTGTTCAGTTTTGTTCCAATTAACTGTGTCATTCACTAGCAATGGAATACCTAATTTCCACAAATGCACATCATAAACATCACCGAAAAACTGCTTTTTATTATTAAAAGTTTGAGAAGTGAATGGCCACAGCACTATTCTCTCATAATTTATTTAAATTCTTCTTCAGATTATTAATGTTGAGGAATTTAAATGTGACCACAGTGTAGCTTCAGACAAGCAAGTGAAAATGTTGACACAACCTAACTCTTCTTAGCATTGTGACTGCAAAGTTAGGGATATCCTGAGCCCTGAAAGGAAGAATCTCTTGGTCCCAATATTTCTAATAATTCTGTAGCTGTGATTTCTCCAGACTTGGTTTTCTATAGTGAATATAAAGACTGTCTTTCTTATTAATGCTAAGGGGAAAATATAATTTACATAGAAAAATGTTAATATATATTGAGACAATGTAGAATCTTAAGGGTAATGACCAATGAAAAAATTGTAAGTAGTAATCATTCGATGTGAGAATGTTAACAATCTCTTGATGAATGCATATCTAACACCTTACTCTCCCACCCATAACTCACAGATACTTTTATTCAAATAGAGACCACTAACATTTCTGAAAATCCACAGTTTAAAAGCTAATGTGGTACTCCGTCAAAATTATCCAACCTTTTAAAAATCTCGCAGTCTTACTGTTATATGCAGACCTATGTGATCCAAGCCATTTGGAATGAAAAATGAAGTGAGAAACAGTCATTAAATGGATTTGCTCTACCCCCAAATTCATTAACCTGTGGGTACTCAATGGAGGATATTGGCTGCATTATTGAAAACATTTTGGAGCTAATAAAAGGAGACCGCAACCAACGATGAATCCCCGCATGTGGAGAATCATGACCAACCCTATGAAATGCTTCACTAGGCTCCTGGCAAGGCTGCGGTTTTAAGCAACTAGAGGAGAGACACTGGCCTTCCTCATCCTCATATGTGTGCATGATGCTCAGGAAGGGAGATTCAAATGGGCAAAAATGCTCCAGAGTTAGGAACAAATCTTCATAGCAAAAGAAGGCTGTTGTTAATGTAAATCACAGCTGAAATTTCCAAACAGATGGAAAAAACAAGTTCACATGTTATTTAGTAAAAGAGCATTTCATAAATGGCCAATAAGCACATGAAAAGATGCTCAATGTCATTCATCACTAGGAAATGCAAATCAAAGCTGTAATGAAGTACCACTTCACGCCTGGTATGATGAGCATAATCAAGGACACACACAATAACAAGTGCTGGTGAAAGTGTGGAGAAATCAGAACGCTCATGCATTACCACCAGGAATGTAAAGGTGCATCTGCTCTGGAAAAGCAGTTAGGCAGGGTTTCTAAAAGTTCAACAGAGAGTTGCATATGACCTTGCAATTCCACTCCTAGGTCAAACAGCTAATAAATGGATAAATAAATTGTGATACATATTATATATTACTATATATAATATATGATATTATATATGATATACATACGATATACATAATATATATGATATACATATATAATATACATAGTTTAATAGAAAACATATATATGAATATCATACAGCCAAATGAAATGAAGCACTAATCCATGATGCAACACGGATGCACCTTGAAAATGTTATGCTAAGTGAAAGAAGCTGGACACAAAAGACCACATGTTAAATGATTCCATTAAATGAGATGTCCAGAATAGGCAAATCCAGGAACAGAAAGTAGGATTAGTGGTTTCCAGGGTCTGGGGGTTGGGGAAAGGGGGGAAGCAGTGTGTGAGTGACTACTAATGGGTATAGGATTATTTGGGGAATGAGGAAAGTGTTCTGGAATTGGATACTGACAATGGTTGTACAACTTTGTGAATATACTAAAATACACTGAATGATATAATTTTGCAAGATAAATTTTATGTTGTGTGAATTCTATATCTCCATTTTTAAAAAACTGAGTCATTCTCTCTCCCCCATGATTTCATTTCTTCAGTGTTATGATGAAATTTGGTAATTCTACCCACGGTGAGGATAGTAAGGAAAGCAGCTAATTATTCTAATTGACTTATAAATCCAAGATCCATATTATATTACTTTACATTATGTTATATTATATTGCATTATATTATATTTATCATCATTCTGAAATAATCTCTTGGATATTTACATTCATCTAAGATGAATATTTGATGAAAATTAGAATAGAGCCATCCAGGGATGTAAATATTTTTATTATCAGGTTAACACAAACTGTATGTAATAACTGCCTTAAATAGTTTACATATATCAGGGCTATTTTCTAATATGCCAAAGCCTTTCCAGTAAGAGCTCCTCATTTCTTTTGGGGATTTCATTAGGCCTTTCATCTGTAACTTTGTAAACCAAAAACAAATCTCTAAGCCCCTCAACCAACTGACGGACCCCCTCTCAGCCAAGGACATTTCAAAGAAATCTGAAAAACTAGTTCAGGGCATGAAGGGGGTCAGCCGTGCCTCACTGTACCCCACTCCCTTTGGAATTCAGACACAACTCACCAGCATTCACATTAAAACAGGGATCTTCAGACCGATAGAATAGATGTAGCAATAAGATACCAAATTCCATCCTGACTCTAGTATAACATCACATGACAGACAGCAGGCCCTGAAAGAAATCAAAGTATTTTACCCCAAAATACGCTTCTTTGACACATTTGGAGATGGCCTTGCAAAGTTGTCTTTTGTGGGGAAAATCTATATTCTGTAGAGAATCCCCTTCCCTTTCCAAAACCTTTCCCTAAGACTCTGGTAATTTTTTAGGTCTGATAAGAGCTCTGAAACCTGCTACCTGGAGGCTTCATCTGCATGATAAAAACCTTGGTCTCGGCACACGTATACATATGTAACTAACCTGCACAATGTGCACATGTGCCCTAAAACTTAAAGTATAATTTAAAAAAAAAAAAAAAAAAAACCTTGGTCTCTGCAACCCCATATCTTAACCCAGGCTCTTCTTTCTATTGATTCTGGGACTTTAGATAATAACTCTTTCAACCAATTGCCAATCAGAAAGTCTTTGAATCCACCTATGACCTGGAAGCCCTTATCCTGCCCCCTGCTTCGAGTTGTCGCACCTTGCCGGACTGAACCAATACACAACTTACATGTATTGGTGAATATCTTCCTGTAACTTCTGTCCTCCTAACATGTATAAAATCAAGCTGTAACTCAACCACCTTGGGTACATGTTCTCAGGATCTCCTGGAGTGGTGTCATGGGCCGTGTTCACTCATTTTTGCCTCAGAATAGATCTCTTCAAATAATTTACAGAGTTTCACTCTTTTCATCGACACCTTGACTATGGAAATTATCGTTTTTGGCTTTACCATTTGGTACCCTTGGCTTGTCTCCACATCAGAGCTCTGAAGGTCTTGGTGTCTAAATTAGCTGTGTAGTCCTTGCTGGCCCTAATGTGACTGAAACCACCTTTGCAAAAATTGCATCAGTGAGAAAATTATGACAGTGAGGGAGATCTGATCTATCCAATCCCCTTCTTGCCTCTAGCCTTCAAGCTGCCCTCAATTATTCTTGGGCTTAAGGCAAGCTAACTTTGGCAGACGTTTAGTTTATAGCTTAAATGATAACAGCCCTTCCCCAAAACTCAATTGCATTTGTAAAGCTAATCAAAGAACACCAGGCTAGGAGGATAGGAGAGACTGAATTCTGCTAAAGTGTAGACATAGAAGATTGCCAGCCATTATTCTGGAGGTCACAAGATATGCAACTTCCCCAGTTACTCCTGCAGATAACATCGCTATTGGAGAGCCTAAGACTGGCCTTTTGAGATACGTTTTCAGGGTTTTTGCATGTTTGAGACTGATGGCTCCACCTGGACTGGCCAGCTGCTCCTGTGGCTTACTCAGAAATGACTCTGCATGCAGGAGAACCATTTCCCACACCCCTATGATTTACACCCTCAACCAATTGGCAGCAAGCACCCATTGCCTAACCACCCTCCCCGCCATTCTTCCCCAAAATTGTCCTTGAAAAGCCCTAGCCTCCAAATCAGAGAGGCAGATTTCAGTAATAATACAACTCCCGTCTTCCATTTAGCCAGGTCCTACATGGGTAAAACTCCTTCCCTACTGCAACAACTCTGCCTCCATAAATCTGGTCTACCTCAGCAGTGGGCAAGAGGAACCCGCTGGACAGTTACATGAGTCCCTGGTAGAGTAAATATAGATCCATCTCCCCTCTAGAGAAGACGACCTAGGAGAGCAGCGATATGGTTTTTATGTTCACCACACTAGCCCCAATCAACCCCTAGGCCACTGCCTGCATGTGTTGTACAAATGCATGAATAAGTGAGAGGATGGATATGTGAATGGCTTAGCTGAAATGAATCTTACTAGAAACTAGAGTGCATAGAACATATATTAGGAAGCCTTGGGAATGTCTGTCCAGCTCATAGTGACCTCCTCTAAGAAGTATGCCTCAGCCACTCCAGGCCACATCTCACCACTTGTTCCCGTCCACCTGCTCAGAATTTCCTGTGCTAGGAGATGAAAGAAACCAACAAGGCCAAGCAGACTCCTCTTCGCCTGGAAATTGGGGGTTCAAAATAGCCATTTCTCTGTGTGTGGCTGAAATCGAGGTCCTATAAACTGGGAAACTGATCAGGCAAGCACTATTCTGCCATGAGCAGAAAAAAGATGCACTAACTGGTCACGGAGAAGCAAGGAGCTGAGGGCAGAGCACTGCAGATGCCGGGGTGGGTGGGCGCCCTCCATCCGGACCCTTCCTCCTTCCTGAGCCTGCCCCCAAGAGGCCCCAGTGTCCTTGGAGCCTGTCAGCCTGTTATTATTCTAATAATCCTCCATTTTGCTTAAGACAGATCCAATAGATTGCTTTATTTGTAGCTAAAAATACTTTCACAAAGACAACAATAAAATTGCTCAACCAGAGGGACACCAAGGGACAGGGAGAAGACCAGCAATTTCAAAACCATAATCAGGGAAATAATGACGGAAAATTTTCCAGAACTGAAATCTAATCAAACACATCATGAGAGAATCTGGGGTACATTCTGAACTAATTATCAAAGGAGGAGGCCTAGGAAACAGCTCATCAAGGCTCTGAATTTTAAGGCCAAAGATAACATTTTCAAGCCTGCCTCGCTGATTCTTTTCACAGGTTCATAATCAGTTATCCACAATCTTGAAACCCTAATTTCAGAAAAGCAAACTTTTTCTATATATTTTGATGTAAAAAAATTCAAAAAACCCTGACTTGAATAGGAATGAGGTTGTTTGCAGTCTTTATTTGTCCCACTTTGTGTAAATATTCATGTTTCACTGCAGAAATCATGCTCGGATGACAGGGTGCTGGCCCTGAACCTCTCAGGGTGTGTTACATTATATCCAAAATTCAGTATGCTCACTGAATTATCTTTCTAAAACACATAAAAAAATCTGAATTTTGAAACTTCTGGGGCTCAGAAAGCAATACCCCAAAATGAAGGCCTCAGAAGTGTTAAAGCAAGCTAACGATGGCCTGAGAAGGACTCTGTACTTCTCTATTTGAGTCCTTGTGGATGAACTGTAACCTAGCTTAATAGTCAGACAAAGCGAAAACCTAACTTAATAGTATGCACCTCTAACAATGGCTGAGTGTCAGCCAATCCCCGCAGCCATACTTCAACCACTCATAGGCTGCTGTATGTTCAAACTGTGTTCAAATAAGGCAAACGCCGAGCTGTAACCAATGTCACTGTTTCTGTACCTCACTTCCGATTCCCGTACGTCACTTTACCTTTTTTGTCTATAAGTTTGTTCTGACCATGAGGCACCCCTGGAGTCTCTGTGAATCTGCTGTGATTCTGGGGGCTGCCCAATTTGCGAATCGTTCATCATTCAATCAAACTCCTTTACATTTAATTCGGCTGAAGTTTTTGTTTTATCAGAAGGAAAAGTTTTCTCTGCCGTCCTCCTGCCTGCCCATCTCTCAGTCCCATTCTCCCCTGAGACTGCCAAAGACACTAGAATCTTTCCCAAGGCAGGTCATTGAAACCAGAATCCTTTTCTGCAAAGCCAGCCATAAAATCTAAAGTGTTATTCTCATTTTCCCTCTGCCTTTCTGTGTGAAAACTGGCCATGAAGAAACTGTCTGGCCTGCCTTGTTTGACTGTGGGTCCTACAACTCCCATTCCAGAAAGGGGCCTGCCCCACACTCAGAAGGAAGGAGTGCCGCTCAGAGAGGCCAGGAGGACCCTGGACAGACAGGCCCTGCTGGGTTTCCCACTCAGTCTATCAGTACCCAATCATACACTTTTTCTCCAATCCCATTTCTACATGGCTGTCCACACTTGGCTGAACCTAAGCTTTAACATGAACAATTTCTCCTGTATCTTTGGGTCTTCATTCTGAAGGCTCCTGTGTACACATGTTAAATGAATGTGTTTGCCTTTTCTCCTATTACTCTGCCTTCTGTGAGTTGGTTTTTCAGCAAAACTCAAGAGGCCCAAGGGGAAAGCTCTCCCTTGGCCCCTGTGAAACCCATCTGGCACTAAGGGTCTCATGCAGGCACTGCAGACCTCTGCAGAGCCAGCGCCCAGGCTGGGCTTGGTCTTGCTGTGCTGTGAGGTGATGGTCCCTGCACATTGGGAGCCACCTCTTTACCGGATGGGTGTGAACTGTGACCCTGGCCCTTGCTCACCCTTCTTTGCCATTGTGCCACCTCTTGCACACCCCTGGGTCCCTCAGGGCTCTCCTCTCTGTCACCACAGCCAGCTCCGTGTGGCCCGACAACCCTCACACAGATGCACCTGGAAGGTCTGCCCTGGAGCCCATGCCCCTGATGCCTTCTCTGCCTGGGCCGCCCTGCGGGTGCGGTCGCATGGCCTCGGCACATGCAGCTGGACACATGCACTCTGGCATCCCACGGGAAGGAGCTATGACCAATGGGCCATGCGCACCAGCCAGTAAACATTCCTTCTTGCTCTACTCAACCCCACAGACAGCCCTGAGGTGCATTTGGTACCTCCACTCAGGCAGCCTTGCAGGATGGAGCCCCAGTGGCCCGTCACGAAGGCCAGCACGCTGGGGCAGTGGTGCCTGCGCTCACTCTCCTCACTGCCCGGCCCCCATCCCTCACTCCTCTTCTCTGGGTTGAAGCTCCCGGATGAAGAACACACATGTGAGCCTTTGCCTCAGGCTGTGCCCCAGGCTGGGTCAGCCACATAGGAAATTCCCCACAATAGTTAAGTTGGAATCTGTGAGCAGCAATGAGAACTTTGTTCGTGCATCCTGAGAACCTACACCTTGCTTCTACTAATGAACCAGGCATTAGCAGCAGGCACCAGGGAGGGGAAATGCAGACACACAGACCATGTCCTTGAGTCTAGCTGGGAAGGGGGAGGACAGAGGACAGACGAGGAAAGAAATCATAAGAATATATTTAAGGTTTGCATAAGGTGCTGCGGAACTCCAGGGGGATTCTCATTGTGCCACGTGCCAGCAAGGGTGTGAAACAGCTGGAACTCCCATACATGCTGTGGGAACGCAACGGGGTTGGCCTTGCTAGAAAACAGGGCAGCAGCTGCTTTTAAAATAAAATCTACACCCACCATATGACACAGCAGTGCCACTCAAGAGAAGGAAATCAACCCAGAGAATAAAACCCTAAGTTCACAGAAAACCATGTGCTCAGAAGTGTCTGGAGTAGTTTTTTTGTTTTTTGGGGTTTTTTTGTTTTCTGTTTTTTGTTTTTCTGAAATAGTCTGGCTCTGTCATCGAGGCTGAGCCCAGTGGTGCAATCTCAGCTCACTACAACCTCCACCTCCCAGGCTCAAGCAATCCTCCTGCCTCAGCCTCCCAAGTAGCTGAGACTACAGGCGTGCACCACCACACCCAGCTAATTTTTGTATTTTTTGTAGAGACGGGATTTTGCCATGTTGCCCAGGCCGGTCTCGAACTCCTGGGCTCAAGCAATCCACCCTCCTCGGCCTTCCAAAGTGCTAGGATTACGGGCATGAGCCACTGTGCCCGGCCAAACATGAACCATTGATGCACACAGCAACTTGGGTGAACCATAAAGGCATTACACTGTGTGAGACAAGCCAGTCTCGAAAGGTGGCATACGATCTGATTCCATGTATATGACAGCCCCAAAAACACAAAACCATAGTGATGGAGACAAGATCAGTCCTTGCCAGGACCGGGGGAGGGTGGCTACAAAAGGACAGCTGAGAAAGTTCTGTAACGGAGCTGGCCTGTGCTCTGACTGCAGTGGCAGTTACACAAACCTACCTATGTGTTAAAATCCAAAGAACGCTACATTCAAAGGAAAAGTCAGTTTTGCTCTATGATAATAAAAAAAAAATAAAGAGAAAGAGTCAATGCTATGTCTAGGTTAGGATTCCTAAATGAAGGAATGTTATCTGATGTCACATTTTGTTTCACAATGCACATTTTTATATGACAGCACCCTATGTTATATGAAATTACATTGTTATAATGTCACGTAGTGTACAGTGTGTGCGCTGTATTAGATGATGTCACGTTACATGATGTACATCGTGTGATACGACATCATTTCATATCATATGACATCACATTGAACGAGGCTCAACTTACACAGCAGGACACATTGAAAACAGAACTTCTGGCCGGGCATAGTAGCTCGTGCCTGTAATCCCCGCACTTTGGGAGGCTGAGGCGGGAGGATCACCTGAGGTCAGCAGTTTGAGACCAGCCTGGCCAACATAGTGAAACTCCAGCTCTACTAAAAATACAAAAATTAGCCGGGTGTGGTGGCGCATTCCTGTAATGCCAACTACTTAGGAGGCTGAGGCAGGAGAATTGCTTGAGCCCAGGAGGCAGAGGCTGCACTGAGTTGAGATTGTGCCACTGCACTCCAGCCTGAGCAACAGAGTGAGACTCTGTCTCAAAAAAATTTAAAAAAACACTGTTACATTTAAAAAAATTAAAAAGAAAACAGAACTTCACCAAAGATAAATGATCACATTGCTACTGGCTGAAGACCCGGGAAGATCTTGTATCCATTTTGCCCTTGTTCTATCAGAAAAGTTCTTATAACTCTAAGGAAACTGTATTCCATTAAAATATATGCCAATCAAACTTTTCTCCTAGTCAACCTAACCTATCTTGATAAATATGCAGTATCTGGATCCCCAGATAAAATCACCTGAACACAAGCCCTAACTAAAAACAAAACAGGATTTAAAAGCAGAAAATAAACATGTCCATCATTCACAGATGTAACAACCACACAAAAGGAGATGAGACATTTTGTAAAAAAAACGTAGACTTGCAGGCTAAAAGTTTCATAGTAACCAAGATTTTTTAAGTCCATATAGTTAAAGATGTGACTTTAAGTATTAAAGTATTGTTTTTAATACAAAGACTGTTGCCAAATGTTAATAAAATTGAATGCAAGCTCTTATATCTTTTTAGTTTTTAAAATGCCTGCTATGTTCCTCTAAAGTAGACTCTCAAATAAAATCAGGAGCAAAATTATCTGTGAACACCTAATGGAACCTCTCTGCCCACAAAACACTAGTTTTTTAAATTTGTTTAATTACCAGTGGTGACCACGTAACATTCTTGTAGTCATTAAGGTTTCTAATGTTAAAATTACATTAGGCCTGAGGCGTAATTAAAAATAATTACACTGCAGCAATTTCTAGATGTAATCCACCAAATACAATTGAAATTCACAAAATCGTTACCACTCCAGCTTTGGATCATTACCTCATCAGGATTCCAAGCAGATCAGCTCTCAGGTGTGGATAAATAATACCTGCCAGCTTGAACCAAGCCCAGGCCACCTGGCAAGTTGGATTTGAGATTATCAAGAGAAAGAAATGGAGGGGCTGCAAATACATAACACAAAGCTGGAACTCCAGTCAAAAGCACATACATCATGTGTTGTGTGAGAATCTAGAAATGCGGCTTTTTTACATAAGAGAAAAGGAAGACCAACTTCTAGCCCATGAATGTCTGATGGTTTCCAGGAACCCCGGAAGCAATGATGTGGTGCGAATCGCTGAAGCTTGAGGCATTATCCATCTATTTTACAAAATTAAGAGGCTTCACTTTCTACGGCAGCTGCACTCCTCAAATTTCACAGTGAACCAAGGTTTTATACAAAATAAGATAAAAGTTGGGTATTTTAACCATCTTAGCAGAGCTCACTTTTGAAGGAAAACTATGGGTAAAGCTTTGGTAAAAGAAAAGACTGTGACACCACCTCAAATTTATGCTTCTTATAAACCTACACTTTCATGTGGGGTGGGTTTTGTTTTGTTTTCAATAAGGATACCAATGGAGATAACTGTGAAATTGATAAGAAACGCCTGGGAGAGTGGAGAACGTTTATGGAGGGTGGAGGAGGCCAGGGGTTGACAAGCTCTGTGGTGAGCTCCCCCTGAGAGAGCCACATCTCAGGTGGGGATAGGTCCTGGCCACAGCACAGGCTAGAGAAAGTGGAGAGGTCTGAGAGCCATGGGTGTGGTGAACGTGGGAGAAGAGAAACCAATGGTGGACGGTGGGAGAACAGTTTCATGCGCCAGATGCACCCTCAGACAAGGCAAGTGGGCCCTGCAGAGCACCGGCCATTCGCCAGGGCTCTCCCGAACAGACTGTCACCTAACTGGCATGGTAGGCGGCACAGATGGCAGCGCTGGCCTTGCCCATGTGGCTCCATCTCTTCTGGGAACCATGTAAAGATGTGGTTATTAACTACAATAGACAGGACAGTGCCCACTCTATATTCCTCCTCATGGTCATCCCTGGAGGGGCTGAGGACCCATGGCACAGAGTCTAAGGGGCCAGAGATGCATCTCTCTCTCCCTCCCTCCTGCCCAGGAAACCAAAAGGAAAGGCGCCCTTCTTCCCAGGGCAGGCTGCCCACCCTCCATCTCAGCCCTCTCTGGCCTTCCACCAGCCCGGCTGCCTGTGGGCAAAGTCAGTGTCTGGGAACAGGCTCTGAAACCTTCCCATCCAGAATGTGACAAAGCCTATGAACCAAAGCTAAATTAGACTCACCAAGATCAAGATGAATGCCAGGGACAAACGAATTGAGGAAAAACATGAAGATAACAAATCCCAACACTGTCAGGCATTTGGCGAGCAGAATCCCGTCAGATATCCTATGCTGTAAGAGAGAAACCACAGCTCATTTACTCTGCACAACCTTCTGACTCCTGCAGCGTGTCATAACCTACGCAACTGGAATCACGACAGATTTCACGAGGATGAAAAATGTAACCTCTCGAACTTGAAAGAAAATGGCAAAGTACTGTGTTACAAGGAAACCCGTACAGATTCAGGATTACTGCATTCAAAATCTTTATGAAAGATAAACACAGATGTCAAGAGTAGCACAGCCCTGTTATGAAACACCTGGCCGGCAGGTATCAGAGGATGACGGGGCGTTTCTACAGGGGCCTATGCTGTCTTCACTGTTCCTTTCTCTACCACGCCAAGCATGCGGGTGGGGCCATGAGGCTGAGCCTTCTCACGGAACTGTGACTCCCAGATAAGGCTCTGGCCATGTTCTTTACACGACATGCATGAGGCCCCTGGAATGCAGGGGGTGCACTCTTAGCGCTGGAATGACACCCGCGAGAATCCACCTGGTCATAGGGGGAGGGCAGGCCCCGAGGCACCTCATCCTCCGCAAGGCCTCCATCAACCTAGGAGTACCTAGGAGACGGCACGAGACGGGGCTCTCCCTATGAGGCCCCAAGGGTACTGTGCTCCACAGGCCATGGCTGCGTGGGGCCAGGGCAGGGAAGCACGCACAGATGGGCACCTGGTAGGCCTGCCCTGTTAACAAGGTCCCCGTGTGAATGCCGGCCCACTGTGTGAAAGGATAACTGCACCAGGTCCTTTCTCTTTCTTTCTTTCTTTCATTTATTTATTTATTTATTTTTATTTTTATTTTCATTTTCATTTTTTGAGACAGTCTCACTCTATCACCCAGGCTGGAGTGCAGTGGCACAGTCTCAGCTCAACGCAACCTCCGCCTCCCAGGGTCACGTGATCCTCCTACCTCAGCCTCCCTCCCCAGTAGCTGGGACTACAGGTGTGCACCACCATGCCCAGCTAGTTTTTGTATTTTTAGTAGAGATAGGGTTTCACCATGTTGCCCAGGCTGGTGTTGAACTCCTGGGCTCAAGCAATGCGTCCACCTCTGCCTCCCAAAGTGCTAGGATTACAGGTGTGAGCCACCACGCCTGGCAAGCATCAGATCCTTTCTTGAGTCTGGTCCCACCAGCACACCTGTCTACCCATCTGTCTAATCTGTCTAGGTGGATTAGATGGAGACAGCAATGATGATGAATGTCAATGTCTGTAGCTTCATGGATGCAGGTGGATCTCGATATCTACCATCATAGTGATCTATAGCTATCTGGATTTGGACAGATATAGACATATAGATATATAGATATAGACACACAGAGGTAGAGCTAGAGCTACAAAGAGATTCTCTCTCTTGCTTCCTCTGGTCACAAAGGTAAAGCTGCTGCCATCAAAAACACATGCAAGGCCCTCTGTGTCACAACAGCTGACACAGCCCCTCCTCTATGTGCAGTGGGGCCACTGGTGAGCATCTGCCCCTCCCTGCCCACCGTGAAGGCTCATGGCTGGGCCAGCCCCTTCTCATCTTCCCTGTCGCCTCTCTGGGGAAGGCCGATTTTCCTACATGATTCTGTGCTGAAGAATTAGGGCCAAAGGAGCATGGCAGGAAAAAGATTTGAAATGCTCAGAGGAGAGTGATGCGGATTCTCACCAGGCATGAGGGGAGGCACTGCAAACCTTCCCTGAGGTCGCAGCAACCACAGAAAGTGGCTATTGCCACAGCCAGTGCAAAGATTGGAGGTGGAGGAGTAGGCAGGTCAAAGAGCATTCCAGCATCCTGCAGCTCATGGAAGTGGAGGTTTTTTGGGGGTATCATTCAAATTTGCTCCTTCTGGATACCTGAGGTCATTTCTTTTTTTCTGTTTTCTTTTTTTTTTCTTTTTCTTATTTCAATAGGTTTCAGGAAGACAGGTGATGTTTGGTTATATGGGTAAGTTCTTTAGTGGTGATTTCTGAGATTTTTGGTGCTCCCATAGCCTGAACAGTGTACACAGTACCCAATGTGTAGTCTTTTATCCCTCGCCCCACTCCCACCCTTCCCCTCAAGTCCCCAAAGTCCATTATATCATTCTTATGCCTTTGTGTCCTCATAGGTTGGCTCCCACTTATAAGTGAGAACATACAATGTTTGATTTTCCATTCCTGAGTTACTTCACTGGTCACCAAGTCCATCCAGGTTGCTGTGAATGCCATTATTTCATTCCTTTCTATGGCTGAGTAGTATTCCATGGCATACACACACACACACACACACACACACACACACACACACACACACCTAGGGTCATTTCTGTAAGAATTCTTAGATGTGATACAGGGATGTTGCCAAGCCTTACCTCTCCATTTCATCTCACTGTAGTCCTCGTCCAGGTGTACAGAGAGGCACACAGTTCTCCAACTCATGACTAAAACACCACAGTCTAGCAAGGCAGGCATAATCTGTATGAACTTGGGGCCTGCAAGAGTATCACAGCTATACCTTTCTTTTCTAACCCTGGCCATCCACATGGGACAGAGTGTGAAGGCACTGAGGCACCTCATCAGATTGCATCCAACATCTTTATGGAAAATAAGCACGATAGATGTGAGGTGTTCTGAAGCCCTTTGAGGAAACACCTGACTCGCATGGAGAGTGTGCCCATCAAAATTAGAGTGGGTATTCAATCTCTCCCTAGAAAACAAACTGCATGGATCTGAAATGTCACTGAGATGCAAATGACTCCTAGCAGATCTTGAGCAGAGCTCTCTCGACTGGGAAGGGGTCCTCTGTGTTCATAAATGGGCTGAGAAAGTCCACCCCCATGGAAGAATGAGCCAAAAAAAACAAAACAAAAGAAAACAAGCTCTGCCCCAGGAAGTCACAGCCATCGGCAGCACACTCACGCATCCTATGTCTGCCCCTAAAGCTGCTCCACTTCATGCAGCATGCCTTGCCGGTCTCCCCTCCGCAAAGTGTGAACCTTGGGCCTGCCCTTCAGGGCCAGGAGCGGGCTGGTGGTCAGGGACACCCGCTCAGAGGGCGGGCCCTGCAACGTGCAGGGACAGGGAAAGGCTCTATAAAGATGTTTGCTTTCCACATCCTCACAAAATCAGCCTGCTGTATCCAGAAAACATTTTTCCCCATCCACTCACACACATAAACCTCAACGTCTTGTGTATAACCACAGAAATAAAAAGAGAAACGGCATTCAGTCACGTGAGGGAAGGAAAAGGCATCACTCACTCTCTTCTTGGAGAAGTGAATCAGAAATCCCTGAGGAAAGAAAGCTGGGTACCTTTTTTTGGAGTTCTTGGATATTGGTCTCCCAATTTTTGTCCTCCTGTGAGATCTGTCTAAAAGAGAAAAGAAGAGACTCATTACTTCCCTGGTCACGCTGCGTGGTGAGATCGCGGAGCAGCAGTCCCCAGCGCTTCGTGCCTGGACGCGGTCTGTGACTTGGAGCCTGGCTGGCAGGACTAGTCATGGGGGGCCGGTGGGGCTTCATTTGTTGGCTGGAAAAGGTGCTCACTCTCTATTTTCCCAAAAAAATACATATAATGACCTGAATGATGAAAGGAGTGTGTGTGAGGAGGTACATGTGACAGCTTGCGCAGGGGAAGCTTCACGAAAACCCCGCAGCAGTGCGTGGAGGAGGGCAGCGACCGTCAGTCTCTTTATTTTCCTCTTTATGCACACTTCTACGGTCCTGAATCTCTTTGTTTCCAAAATGAGGGCACTGAACCTATACAACTATTACAACCAACTAAAGAAAAACGTGGTAAAAGAAATGTCACTTGCTTTAATGTTGTTTTTTATCAATCGATGATCACTTCCACGCCTGAAATCCTAGGACTTTGGGGGGCCGAGGGGGAAGGATCACTTGAGGCCAGCAGTTGGGGAAGATCAGCTTTGAAGTCTTTTCTGTCCATGCTGCTCCTGCCGGGGTGGTCTCCTCCCGCCTGTTTCAGCCCCTTCAGTGGCTCCCACTTGCCTCTTCTTTTTCATGTTTCTGACTCAGCCCACCCCTCCTGGCTGACTTCCTCCCAAACCAATTAGGGAAAAGGGGCTGCACAATGAAGAATGCAGTTTTAGTATCAAAAGAGGCTGACCACACAGGCAGTCTGGGTCGTAAGAAATCACAGCAGACACAGTCGAATGATTCTGAGGACAATTTTTAAAAAGAAAATGTAAAAATAAGACTTGCAGGACGGGCGTGGTGACTCACATCTATAATCCCAGTACTTTGGGAGGCTGAGGCAGGCGGATCACCTGAGGTTGGGAGTTCGAGATCAGCCTGACCAACACGGAGAAACCCCGTCTCTACTAAAAATACAAAATTAGCCAGGAGGGTTGGTACATGCCTGTAATCCCAGCTACTCGGGAGGCTGAGGCAGGAGAATCACTTGAACCCAGGAGGCAGAGGTTGCAGTGAGCCGAGATCATGCCACTGCACTCCAGCCTGGGGAACAAGAGCGAAACTCCGTCTCAAAAAAATAAAACCTGCAGAGCTCGACCTTGCTTTAGGACACCCTCATGGTAATCTGCTTCTCAGCAACTGTGTGGCCTTGGGAAGCCACGCCCTCCCCAGGTCTGTTTCCTCATGTGTGACTAACACCAGAGGAGCTGATGGGAACGTGGTGAGCCTCGGAGCCCACATGTTTCCTCATGTTTGTAACCTGAGATGCACTGAGTGTGTCTTTAACACCCAACACCAGCACAATTTATTCCATCTTTAGTTTATGAAGCGTCTCCTTTAAGATCTGTGCTTGCTGCCAAAGTTGGTCATTCTTTCCCCAGCCTGTAACTCAGGGCCTCCCTGTGGCCTGAGGACACTGGTCCTGCTGCTCCAGCATTACTGGGCGAGATGGGTCCCGGACCGGGGATGAAGCCAATGGCACTGAGCCGGCACTTCATCCCGGGATTGTGTGGGACTCCATGTGACTGCCTGTGAATCCTCCCACTAACAGACCAGACCTTGAGACACCCATGCAGGGTGACCCCTCAGTGCACAGCGAATGGCAACAGGCAAGACCATTCTAGATTTTGTTCATAAGGGTTCACATTTCCCCTTGCCTAGATGGACATCTCCACCCCCTCTCAGCTCAGCTGTGGGGACGCTTCAGCTTCAGCATCCCTTGGGGGGCCACCAGGCTCCTGCTTCTTCTGTCTGAGCTTCCAGAACAAAGACTGCTTGGAACTCAGCAACATGTCATAGCAAGGAGAAAAACCACCAATTCATGGTTACCCTTTAAATCTCAGCTTCAATTAACAACGAATGCCAGGAAACAAATTGAGTGGGGCTTTCATATTCTTGCAGGTGCCTGAAAATCAACTGCTGGCAGAATATTTTGTCAAATTAGTCTTTGCATTAATGGTTTTTGGTTTTTGTCGTGCAACAATTACAATGTAGAGAGATGGGACAGCCCAGCGGTTGACAGTGAGAGCCCCATCCCCAGTGCCACTCCTTCCGAGCTGCACAACCCTGGGCACGCCGCTCAAATTCTCTGAGCCTCTGGTTTTGTGTTGTTTCTTTGGTCCTTAAACTCGGCTGTGTACCCCCTGCAGAGCTCAGTGAGGGTTAGATAAAATGTACTATAAGAGGCTTAGCACAGTGTGCGTCACCTAAATATCACGTATTAGTATACAGCTAATGTCGCTATTTTGTAGGCCCATGGAATGTTCTGCTGCACACCAAGCACAGTCTGAGCAGGACCCCGCCCGGTACCTGTGGAAGGTGTGCAGCCTCCGGGCGAGCAGGTGCTCCAGTGCCAGCACCTTCCCCAGCAGCAGGCGGCGCACAGCTGTCTCCTCGCGGCTGGCCGGGCTGATGCGCTGAGCAGTCAGGCGCCAGACGTGAATCTCGTGCTTCAGTTCTGCAGAGAAAGGAAGGCGAAGCTTGGGTCTCCCATGACCTCAGATATCAGCAACACCCTCCTCTGTTCCCCACACAGTCGATGCCTGACAGAGCAGACACACACTCGAGACGTGCAGGTAGCCCAGGGTCACCCAGAGCTTCTCAGCACCTGAGCTATTGCAATGGAGCCCAGACGACAAAGCCGACATTTAAAAATTATCACAAATTGCAAGGACAAAAAACCAAACACCACATGTTCTCACTCATAGGTGGGAATTGAACAATGAGAACACTTGGACATAGCAAGGGGAACATCACACACCAGGGCCTGTTGTGGGGTGGGGGTAGGGGGCAGGGATAGCATTAGGAGATATACCTAATATAAATGACGAGTTAATGGGTACAGCACACTAACATGGCACATGTATACCTACGTAACAAACCTGCACGTTGTGCACATGTACCCTAGAACTTAAAGTGTAATAAAAAAAAAATTATCACGAAAGCGAAGTAATGCAATTTCAACACTTTCAGTGAAGAATAAATTCCTTTCTTGAACCAACACATCAAAGCTAGCACCCAACAACATTTCCCCTTCTTGCAGGAAATATTTCGGATCTGCTTCCAGCCAAAATCTAGACATTGCCCAATCTTTGAGGGGTTTCAGGAGCAGATCTAGTGAAAATTGAAAACACAAGTGTAATTCTCAGGAGAAGGTGCTCAGCGCTCTCCAACAGGGCATTTGGTAAGCAGCAGAAGACAGGGAGGCGCCCTCCAACCAGGCGCCACTGAGCTGTCTCTGACACAGGCGAAAGAGAGAGGTAGATGACTTGATGAGATGCTGAAATCTATAGAATGAGCAGAATTTTCACCCATCACTGAATTCAGACACCTTCTGATAGAGAAGAGTAGAGAGGAAATGATGTGTCAATTCATTGCCTCTTAAGATATTCAAATATTTCATGAAAACCTACATTTAACCTCTATTTTACTGTTAAAAACATTACATATGTTTCTCAAAATATCCATTAAAAGAATATAAGAAAGCACAATATTTTCATGAACCATCCCTTACGTGCAATACTCCACACTGCCTATAGCAAGAATTAAAGATAGGATGAAAAGACAAAGCCTTTCAAGCAGGCGCTGGGGCACTGGAAGAGCAGCTCGGGGCAGATTCAAGGCATGGTGATCACCCGAAGACCTGGGAAGCAGCATGAACATCGTGGGTTCAGTGGAATGGGAAAACGCCACCTTTTAAGCCCCTTCTGTTCAGTACGTGAGTGCTCATCACCCACTGCGTGGCAGACCTACTGCAACAACAAAGATGAGTTAGGCAGAGGGAGGCAGTCTGGAAACGAAGCATGTCATGACTCAGAGAGAATGCGCAGAGCCTGGGAGCACCAGAACTATTTCAGTTAGCACATGGCTTTCTCTAAAGCTTCAGCCCTACCAAGATGAAAACCTTTAGAACTAAGATACATAATATGTTTTCATTCAGTACATATGGATGCTTTGTAGCTTACTAAAATAAAAGGAACTTGGGTATAATTCAAAGGCCTCTTCAGAGAAACAGATCCAAAATTTCCTCTTGAAAAGTCTCACACTTCGTTAAACCACCTATGAGGCTATGATAACATAAAAAGAAAGGGGAAGAGGAAGTGAAGGAAAAAACTAATGAACTCACTCTCTGAAACACTGAACACAAAAACACCATCTGTGGAAGGTCTCCAATGTAAGTTCAGACAGAGCCA
This sequence comes from Homo sapiens, assembly GCF_000001405.40. Taxonomy (NCBI): domain Eukaryota; kingdom Metazoa; phylum Chordata; class Mammalia; order Primates; family Hominidae; genus Homo; species Homo sapiens. Next base: position 93,758 of record NW_011332701.1, read on the forward strand.
GTATTTCATCCAGTGCTCTAAATCTTGCTAAAAGCCCGTCCATAAAGTACCAGAGACTTTCCAGCCATTCTCTAAAGGCATCACGGTGAAGGGCCACTTTCTGAAGCAGCTGATCAGCTTTAAAGTGCTCACACCTCTGCGTGGTTCATCTCTGGTGCCAGCCCCTGGGTGCGGGCTGGAAGTCTCTCCATGCCTTTATGTTTGGAGAAGCAAAGCCTGGGAACCAAGGCTATGCTGGTGGAGCTGACCTCCCAGTCTCTGTGCGACTACTGCAGGTGCTTACTCTCCAGTGGAGCCTCAGCCACCTTCATGCACACCCAGCACCTACCTGCCTTCTAACCCATAAAACCAAAAAGGAAGTGCTGCTCCACTCAGATCAACCCACGCATTAATACTCAGGTAGTACACTTTTGTATTCCTAGTTGTGGAATGTAATATACAAATTATGAAGGAATTTAGTCGGGAGGGATTTTGCCCAGAAGGGTTCACCCAGAACTCAGTTTACCAAAACCTGTCCATGTATCAGTTCCCAGGCTTCCTCTGCACCTCCTCTGTCATTTCCCCACCCTGTCTACTCTGCTGAGGTCCAAGACCATAGACCCAGCTGGCTACCCAATATTTCCCTCTGAACCCTGTGCTGCAAACTCATAGCTAAACACTTTATCTTCCTCCCATAAAGTTTCTCTCCTACCCTTACCTTCTTAGTTTTTATATAATGCAATTGCTCTTCCAGGTACACAAGACTGAAATGTCATCCTGGTCTTGTCAATGTCATTCTCTTTTATATTTCCACATTAACATTATTGTGTCACAGGTGTCAGATCTGTGTTTGATGCTAAAGGATAAAATTTCATTGGTAAGTTACAAGATGGCCTTCCAAAACTGGAAAGAGATATAAGATATATCATAAATAAACATACGCTAGGGTAGTGTGAGCCTCAAGAGCCACCCAGGATATGCTGGCACAGCTCTTGCCTTGTCTGCTTCTTCCTGTCCTAGGTTACCTTCTTGTCCAGGCCTCACCCTCTCACATTTCTTAATTCTTATTGTTCCTTAGTAACCTTTAACTACAGTCACTTGCTATAAACCTGCCCCTGCTTAATCATAAAACACCATTTGCTCTATCTATCTATCTATCTATCTATCTATGTATCTATGTATCTATCTCCCGCCTGTAATCCTAGCACTTTGGGAGGCTGAGGCGAGCAGATCACCTGAGGTCGGGAGTTCGAGGCCAGCCTGGCCAATATGGTGAAACTCTGACTCTACTAAAAATACAAAAAATTAGCTGGGCATGGTGGCAGGCACCAGTAATCTCAGCTGCTTGGAAGACTAAGGTAGGAGAATTGCTTGAACCCAGGAGGTGGAGGTTGCAGTGAGCCAAGATTGCTTCACTCCACTCCAGCCTGGGCATGACAGAGCAAGGCTCCATCTCAAAAAAAAAAAAAAAAAAATGGTAACAAAAGCCAAAATTGACAAATGGGATCTAATTAAACTAAAGAGCTTCTGCACAGCAAAAGAAACTACCATCAGAGTGAACAGGCAACCTATAGAATGGCAGAAAATTTTTGTAATCTATCCATCTGACAAAGGGCTAATATGCAGAACCTACAAAGAACTTAAACAAATTTACAAGAAAAAAACAACCCCATCAAAAAGTGGGCAAAGGATATGAGCAGACACTTCTCAAAAGAAGACATTTATGCGACCAACAAACATATGAAAAAAAGCTCATTACCACTGGTCATTAGAGAAACGCAAATCAAAACCACGATGAGATACCATCTCACTCCAGTTAGAATGATGATCATTAAAAAGTCAGGAAACAACAAATGCTGGAGAGGATATGGAGAAATAGGAATGCTTTTACACTGTTGGTGGAACTGTAAACTAGTTCAGCCATTGTGGAAGACAGTGTGGCGGTTCCTCAAGGATCTAGAACCAGAAATACCATTTGACCCAGCAATCCCATTACTGGGTATATAACCAAAGGATTATAAATCATTCTACTATAAAGACACATGCACACGTATGCTTATTGCAGCACTGTTCACAATAGCAAAGACTTGGAACCAACCCAAATGCCCATCAATGACAGACTGGATAAAGAAAATGTGGCACATATACACCATGGAATACTATGCAGCCATAAAAAGGATGAGTTCATGTCCTTTGCAGGGACATGGATTAAGCTGGAAACCATCATTCTCAGCAAACTAACACAGGAACAGAAAACCAAACACTGAATGTTCTCACTCATAAGTGGGAGTTGAACAATGAGAACACATGGACACAGGGAGGGGATCATCACACACCGGGGGCTGTCGGAGGGTTGGGGGCTAGGGGAGGGATAGCATTAGGAGAAATACCTAGTGCAGATGACAGGTTCATGGGTGCAGCAAACCACCATGGCATGTGTATACCTATGTAACAAACCTGCACATTCTGCACATATATCCCAGAACTTAAAGTGTAATTGAGAAATAAAATAAAATAAATAAAAATAAAAATAATTTAAACATTTTTAAATTAATTAATTAAAATAATAAAACAAAATAAATCTATTTCCCAGATGATAGGAAGATGACTGATATTTATCTAGCTATCATCTTCCTAGATCTATCATTTCCTAGATTAGATGATAGATTACAGATAGATAAATAGAAGATAGACAGATAAATTCCTTCTTTCAAATATCCAGTAGTTCCCCGTGGCCTGTAGAATAAAGCTAAAGATGTCAAAGATCTTCAGAGAAGACTCAAAACCCCAAATGCCCAGCACCATTGTGAGCTCTGATTCTGCCATATAAGTTTCAACTCTTTGTCTTTGCCACCCTAGCCTCTTACTAGGAGACATCATCAGATATCCCATGTCTTACCTCTCTATCAGCCTCTATCTTTCTGAGCTTCTCAACCAACTTCTGATGGTATTACTTAGAGTGGCCACATACATGTTTCAAACAGGCAAAGAAAGTGCCGTGTGGGATGTGCTCTGACACAGGAGGTGATGGCTTCCAGGGAAGCCTAGAGTAGTGAGCTCAGAGCTGGGAATCTCAGGAGAAGAAGCCTAGGCCAGAAAGAGAGAAATGGAACTATACTAGTGTTAAGTTCTTCTACTGTATGTTAGGTAGTATAATATCGCTCAAAGTTAGTGGTATAATAGTCACTAAAATCACAAAACAGAATTAAAGCCAAAAAAAGTAACAACCAACAGAGGAGAAAATATAGAATGTATTTAAATACTCAATTAATTCAAAAGAAGGCATAAATGAAGAAAAGGGTAATAATGAAGCACAAATATAAAACAATAATATGATGTTACACTTAAATTCAATCGCATCACTAAGCACATTAAATATAAATGGTTTAAGAGACAGACTATCAGAGTAGATAAAAAATCAGGATGCTAATATATGCTGCTTACAAGAACTGTACTTTAAAGATATAAATAAGTTAAAAGTAAAAAGATGGAAAAAGATACACCACACTAACACTAGTCAAGAGAAAAATGAAATTGTTATATTAACAACAAAGTATATTTCAGAGCAAAGAATATTATCATGGATCGCAAAGATTGTTTTTATAGCAAGGTGTTAAATCATCAAGATGAAAGAACAATCCTAAATATTTATGTGCCCTAATAGTAAACTTTTAAAATGCATAAAGCAAAATAATAGAATTACAAAGAGAAATAAACAAATCTATAATCAACCTTAGACACGTCTGTATCCATCTCTCAATAATTAAACAAGTAGATAGAAAATCAGCAAGAATATAGAATACTTGAATAACATTATCAGCCAATCTGACCTAAGCTATATAATTGACATCACTGAACATCCCTCCTAACAAGAGCAGAATACGTTTTCATTTCTAGTGCACACAGAATGTTTACAAAGGTAGACCACATTCTATAGCCATACAAGCCTCAATAAATGTTAAAGGATTCAAGATTTATGAAATATATTCTCTTACTACAGTGGAACTAAATTAGGTAACTGCAAAAACTTTCCCAAATACTTGGAAGGTATATAAACCATCTAAATTATCCAAGGATCAAAGAAAAAATAAAAAGATGCATTATAAGATAATTTGAACTGAATGAAAATGAAATAAAAATAATAAATTAGTGAGAGGCCACTAAAGTAATACTTAGAAGGAAATTTAGAGCACTAAAGGCCTATATTAGAAAATAAGATGCACATAAAATCAATAACCTTAGCCTCCACTTTAAGAAACCAGTGAAAAAATAAGCAAGCCTGAAAGTAAGCAGAAAAAAAATAAATAAAGAGCACAATAGACATTATTAAAAGAGAAAAAAATTGTAGAGAAAAATCTATATAATCAAAAGCTGGTTCTTTGAGATCAATAAAATTGATAAACCAACCAAAGAGAGAGAGAAGACACAAACTATCAAACTACCAACATCAGGAATGAGAGATATGACATTATCAAAAATTTGATAGCCCTTAAAAGGATAATGAAAGAATATTATGAACAATTTTATAACAATACATTCAACAACTTAGATTAAATGGACAAATTCCTTGAAAGACACCAACTACCAGTCAACACTCAAGGAGAAACAGATAACTTGAATAGCCATCCCTATATGTATATTAAGGGATTTGAATTTGTAGTTAAAAACCTTTCCACAAAAACATCCAGGCCTATAAATGTCCAAATAAACATTTAAGAAAAAAGTAATAGCAATTCTACAGAAATTCTTCCAAAAAATTGAAGATGAGGAAATATTTCCATATTCCTCCTATGAGGACAACAAAAAAGACATTACAAGAAAGGAAACTACAATCAAGATCCCTAATGTACACAAAAACAAAATGCTAAACAAAGTATTAGCAAGAAGCAGCATGAGTTGAACATTTGGTGATCAGAGGGATAGGCTCTGGTGATTATTGTTCTTTTCACCATGTAAGTCATGCTCTCTCCCATTCTGAGCACCTGGCAGGCTGGCCTGTCCTGGTCCCTTGTGACTGGGTGGGGCCTGCCTGTGTCACTGGATGGCAGAATGGGACCATGCTATTCTCTTTGCCTTCAAGGCTAGCCGCTCAGGACTCTAAGAACAGATGATGATCAGGGCCCCTGCCAGTCCATTGGGGAGGGGGCGGGGGGTACAAAGCCAACACAAGGAAGAAAACACAGTTCTGGAAGTCACTGAGATTTCAGGGTTACTTTTTCACTGCAACATAACCAAGCCTGTTCTGACAATGCTCTGTACACCACCACAGGCCTGCTAAACTCAGATCTCTTGAGTGGGGCTTGGGAATCTGCAGTTTTACCCACCACTCCAAATTTGGAGCCCTCTAAGCCCCACAGTGGCACAGAGCAATCACCCCACCTTGCACTGCTGGTCTTAGCCCGGCCATAGGGTTCCTGCATCACCAGGTGTGTCCACTTCCAACCATCACTCCCCACTTCCCTCGAAGCTTTTCTCTGTTCCTTACTCAGGAACGGTGAGGAATTCATTACAGAGATTATTTTCTGTGTGTCTAAATCTGTGTATCCCAAATTCATCTCAAGATTAGACTCTTCAGGACAGCTTACTAACAACACAGAATTCCTGGGGATGACGCTGAAAATCTGCATATACAACAATTGTCCCAGGTCACTGTGATCACCAGGGAGGTTGGGAGAGGCTGGCATAGTTGGGCAGGATGACGGTTGAGCTCTCCACTAAGACACAGCTGTGCACACACAAGCTCCAAGAGACAGGACAATTATCCACCACGATCACAGTCTCCTTCACTCTCCCTTAGTTCTAACATTTTCATCAGAAAAAGAAACCTATATATTAATTTATCTTACTTTGCATATATTAGTTGATTATAAAACATTCTAAACACCTCTAACTAGTTGTTATGGGTTGAACTAGGTCCAGCCCCCAGGTAAGATGAGTAGATATTCCCAAGAACAAGCTTGTTTTGACAGATGAATCCTGAGGAGGAATGCAAAACAATGTTTTCTTAATGAGATTTTTTAAATACTCAAATTCTGAATAACATGAAAGTCACACAGATCTGTCTTGGACAGTCAGCATCGGAGGAACTGGAGTATGGCAGGACCATGTCGTGGCCTCCAGCCACCCATGTGGAAATGGAATCTGGGTATCTTATCCAGAACAAAGACAAACTGAGATCCTGTAAAACACAGGCCAGCAGAATCACAAAGGCTGAGAGAGATCAACATGCAATCCGTGAGCTCTACAAATTCCCAAAGAAGAGCGCCTTCATCTGCTGAGCTCTGGTCGCCTGATGCCCCTGTTACCCAGGCAACCTGCACAGCATCCATATTCTGGAGCTCGTCAAGGAAAGGCTGCTTGTTTCCCAAATAATCTATTGTTCCTAATATATTCTAATCAGTAATGATCTCAGTAAAACATCTACTAAAGTGTTTTAGTGATGAAAATGCAAAACGATAAGATGGCCCTAAGCCCTCATCCTGCTGGCTGGTGCTCAGCATCTGCTGTTTGTTTGTTTGTTTGTTTGTTTTTGAGACAGAGTTTCACTCTGTCGCCCAGGCTGGAGTGCAGTGGCACGATCTTGGCTCACTGCAACCTCCACCTCCTGGGTTCAAGCAATTCTCCTGCCTCAGCCTCCTGAGTAGCTGGGATTACAGGCCTGTGCCACCATGCCCGGCTAATTTCTGTATTTTTAGTAGAGACGGGGTTTCACCATGTTTGCCAGGCTGGAGTCGAACTCCTGACCTGATTCAGGTGATCCGCCCACCTTGGCCTCCCAAAGTGCTGGGATTACAGGCGTGAGCCACCGTGCCTGGCCTAGCATGTGCTCTTGATTGACAGGGCCCATCACCTCCTGTGCTGGGTTATGTTGCTGTTATTTCCAGTCATATTTAAGACTCAAGCTATGATACACTATTAGAGCACTGCAGTCTATATGTTAGTGTATTTGTACCATATACACGTGGCTTTAGGGGGTTATGACATGTGAGTTGTACATGGTGGCCATTACTTCCCACATTTTACCACAGTACACTTCACAGAAAACTAAAGAGGCACAGCTCATGATAGCAGCCCTGAAAACAGTGTATACTAGAAGGTGGACGTGGAGAGTCACTGGTATTGAGCATCCAGCAACCCATCAACAGATACTTCCTGATAAGAACTTCTCCTGGTAAACAAACAATATTATGGTCATGAAATCTGAGCCTACATGAGGTTGCACTTGTACTCACCAACAATCTCACTGGGTTCCTTGTTATAAAGCTTTCTGTTCCAGTAAAGGAGTCTGAGGAGCGGAAAGCAGACCAGGAGAACAAGACAAATCCCAATGAACATGTGTGCAGTGAATCCGGCAAAGTCCAGGCCCTGGAAATAAACAAGGGGAAATGAAATGGCAGCCCAGGCATGGTGGCTCACGCCTGTAATCCCAGCACTTTCCGAGGTGGGTGGATCACGAGGTCCGGAGATGGAGACCATCCTGGCTAACACAGTGAAAACCTGTCTCTACTAAAAAATACAAAAAATTAACTGGGCGTGGTGGCGGGTGCCTGTAGTCCCAGCTACTCGGGAGGCTGAGGCAGGAGAATGGCGTGAACCCGAGAGGCGGAACTTGCAGTGAGCCGAGATCATGCCACTGCACTCCAGCCTGGGCGACAGAGCGAGACTCCGTCTCAAAACAAACAAACAAAAAGAAACGGAAGACGGGCCTTTCCTCCGCACAGGCAGCAGCTCCCTGAGTCAGGGTCCAGGGAGGGCCAGAGCCCAGGAGGGAAGGGGCTCACCAGGAGTTCCAGGACCTTAGGCAGAGGTCCTGGAGCCCAACACAAAGCCCACGAAAGACCACGGATTCCTTACCATGATTTTGAAAATTGTTAACGTTTGTTTCTTTCATGTCGAAAACCAAAAACCAATTCTTACACAAATGACAAGCCATCATAGGAAGAAACAAAAACAGGCTACCACATCTAACTCAACCTTGGCTTGGTCCATCTTCACCACTAGATTGATGCCTTCCCCAAGATAGGGTGAAAAAAGACTGAATGGGACAAAATACTAAACTATATGATAATATTTGCCCATTTAAAGGTAAGTTGAATTTTTAAACACTTCATTTAAGTCCCTGCCATCGGTTTGAAAGTGTCCTCGTGGCTGGAGAGCACAGCCCTTTGCAGGGCACTCAGGGCCCATCAGGGCTGGGATCGCTTAGAGCATGGGGACCAGCCGCAGGGACTCAAGCAGGAACCTCTCCTTCCCGGCACGCTTCCTTTGCCTGCCTAGGGCTCTGCACGTGGCCGGCCACTGAGGGTATCTTTAGAGTTGGGCAAATCCCCACTAGGTTGATTTGTCCTGGAATAAGTCAGCGGCGTCATTGGTTGGTTCTGTTCTTTCACACACAAACGTCCTGGAATAAGTCAGCAGCATCATTGGTTGGTTCTGTTCTTTCACTGACGTCCTGGAATAAGTCAGCAGCGTCATTGGTTGGTTCTGTTCTTTCACTGACGTCCTGGAATAAGTCAGCAGCGTCATTGGTTGGTTCTGTTCTTTCACTGGCGTCCTGGAATAAGTCAGCAGCGTCATTGGTTGGTTCTGTTCTTTCGCTGACGTCCTGGAATAAGTCAGCAGCGTCATTGGTTGGTTCTGTTCTTTCACAGACGTCCTGGAGTAAGTCAGCAGCGTCATTGGTTGGTTCTGTTCTTTCACAGACCATGTGCTTTTACACCTTCAGCACATCTGTGCAGGCACCTCCTGAGCCCCCAGCAGGACAGATGAGGCTCTTATCCCCATGAAGCTGGCCATCTGGCAAGAACTCAAGGTCTTTTCTGTAGTGTCCATGAATCACAGGTGCCACAAAGGGGGTCAGAGGCACAGTGACAATGCACGACCATGGGGAATGACAGGGGCAGGGTGGGAGGGACCACGGGCAGTCCAGCTCTGCCTTGGGACCCTTAGGAACCTCTTACATAGGTAGAGGGGTGGCAAGTCACACAGAACGTTAGTGAGGATCCCACGTTGGGAGTTTGGAAAATCACCTTCCAAAGGTCTGGGTTTGAGTGATTTAAACTATATTAATTGTTCCTTATTAAAATTTATGTATTTTTCCTCTCACTTTTAGAAAATATGTGAAATCACTTTCAACATTATTAAAGATACAACACAACTAGAGGCCATTATCAATGAAGTTGTGTAAAAGTTTAGAGCTTGCCAATATACAATAATCTGAAATGCTTAATCCCTTGCAGTTACCGGCACATCCAATGGTTGTCCTTGAAAACAGCATTACAAATGACAGGTGGAGCTATATAAGCTAATTCCTGGACAGATGGCAGGGAAACCACACAGAGGCGGGACTCATGGAATGCTTTGGGTGATCATATAGAAGAATTCACCACTTTCCCGATAGTTCTTCAATGGGGGTATTACATTGAATTTTGTGTTTATCTCTATAATTCATACCCCAGATATCTGAAAAAGATCCACGATACTTTTAGGGGCTTATGAAACTGTTTTAAATTCTTCTAAACTCAGAGGCAAAAAAAAAAAAAAAGGAACTGTTGCGTCAGAGAAAATGATTTAAACTATAGTACTAATATATTTATACACTAGCTGGGTCATGAAATGCAATTGTTAATATTTTTTAGAGAAAATGTCCCAAGAAGACAGAAGTACCTATATCCTGAGTAATTCTTGGTCCCTCTAGAACATAATAACTATAAAGTTTTGCCCCATTTGAAATGTTGGGGCAATTGGAGAAAAAAGTGATGAGTAGATAAAAGAAAAAAAAAAAAGTAAGGAGGTCCTGGGTGTGCGTCCACAGCAAAATGACACAGCACTGAGTGAAGCATTTGGTTGCTACTAGACTTGCGATGGGTGGATTCATCAAAAGAGCAATGATAAGGGAAAAATCCAAACTGATCACTTTAGGAAACAGGCAGATGCAGTGTGCAGTGGGATGCAGATGTTTGCACTAAGCTTATTAGGCGCAGGTATCTGGGACACCCTGCTGCTTTTACATGCCTCTGTAATTTCCTAGACTCTCGTCTGTGTTCCCAGTAACAAAACTATCCACCAGCACACTCACATCAATTCAGCGCCTAAATGCGCTCTTTCTGCTTCAAGGTGCCACTTCTGCTTTGTATTGTTTTATTATAGGCTCCATTCAGTCATTTTCTTCTTAATTTTCCCCACTGTCCTCATTTGATGGATTAAATGGCCAAATATTAGGCACGTAAACCAAACAAAAGAGGAACCCTCAATCAGATCAGAACATTCCCAGATTCATAATCTACATACATTTAAGGGGACACGCCTGAGGGACTTCTGGCCCACCAATATCATTTTCTAGGAATGACGCTTCAGGCTAGCTCTGTGACAAGTCAAAATGGTCCATTAGGTTGCAAAGGAGGGGCTCAAGCCAAAATGATTTCTTGAATTCTTCCATGTGAAAATTTAAAAAAAAAAAAAAAAAGCTTCTTATGAAGTGTTTAGCTGAATCTATTGAATATTTTAGTAAAATATGCATGGTGTAATTTGAAAATATAATCCTGTCTAGATGGCCAGTAAGGAGAGGACCCAGCACTGCAGGAATGCGTGTGGGCCAGACGGGGGTGTGGGTCTCGCTGCTTGTAAGGGATCCATCAAGCATAGGTGCAGGGGTCCTGGCACACATGGGTCTAAAGGAAGAGCCTCTGGCAGAGACACAGATCCCAGCAAGCTGAAAACGGAGCAAGCCACGGAGGGGATGAGCTTTGCTAGCCAGTGCTGATCTGAGAGGAGAAAAAGGTCAAAAACGAAGACCCCTGAGCCCACAGATATTAAATAGGTGTGTGGAAACCAACAAACCAAAAAAAAACCCCATAAAGGAAATTCAGAGGGGGCCAGAGAGGCAGAGCAGGGCCCACAAGAGAGAGACACTGTCTCAATTAACACCCAAGGGAGTGGGGGAAAAGCAGTAGTGGAGGAGAAGCCAAAGAACTTCACAGCACATGCAGCATGGCAGGAACGCAGGAAAAACGCCCCAGCAGGCACGGCATGGTGGGAAAATATGAAGAAGGTCCCAGCACACACAGCACGGTGGGAAAATGTAAAGAATGTCCCAGCACGCACAGCATGATGGGAAAACATGAAGAATGTCCCAGCATGCACAGTATGGCAGGGAAAGCCTGAAGAACGCCCCAGCACACACGGCATGGTGGGAAAACATTAAGAATGTCCCAGCATACGCAGTACGGCAGGGAAAGCCTGAAGAACGCATGCTGGGAAAACGTGAAAAACATCCCAGCACACACAGAATGTTGGGAAAACATAAAGAACATCCCAGCATGCACAGTATGGCAGGGAAAGCCTGAAGAATACCCCAGTACGTATGGCATGGTGGGAAAACGTGAAAAACGTCCCTGCACACATGGGATGGTGGGAAAACAGGAAGAACGTGGCAGCACCCACGGCATGATGGGAAAACGTAAAGAACGTCCCAGCATGCACAGTACGGCAGGGAAAGCCTGAAGAACTCCCCAGCAAGCACGGCATGGTGGGAAAACGTGAAAAATGCCCCAGCATGCAAGGCATGGTGGGAAAACATAATTATAATGTCCCAGCAAGCACAGTATGGCAGGAAAGCCTGAAGAACGCCCCAGCATGCCCGGCATGGTGAGAACACGGAAAGAACCTCCCAGCATGCAAGACATGATGGGAAAACGTGAAGAACGCCCCAGCACGCATGGCATGGTGGGAAAACGGGAAGAATGTCCCAGCAAGCCCAGCGCACAGTATAGTGGGAAAAGTATAAAAAGCATCCAAGTACACAACGTGGGGCATGAAGGGAAACCTGTCTTCTTACAAAGATGCTATTCAGAAGCATAGGGGCACGCTTCCCTCAAGAGACTTTTCAGGTATTATTTTAAAGATAGTTGAATAGTTTTGCTCACCATGGTGAGTCTCTGTAGAACAGGCATAAAGGAGCAAATGTAACCAGCAAAGTAAAACTTTATCCTGTCAGCTTGTTAGGAGCTGAAGGTGCAGTGGGTTGGTGCGCGTGGATGCTACAGCCAGGCCGACTCATGCTTACCCAAGGGAGGCTTGTGGCTGGGGAATAAGTGGTTGTCCATGTGGTGGGTCCTGGAGGTCCTCCCTACCTACCTGTCCAGTGCTGGAAATTCCACCGACAGAGAGTTATCCCAAGAGACCTGAGAGACCTAAGCCTCGTGCAGCAATGGTAGGTGGCAAGAACTTTCCTCACAACTTCCTGTCGTTTCTGCCTAATGCTCGGAAAATGTGGACGAGTTTTCAGATGTGACTTCTTTACTGTTCCAAACTCTAGTGCTGATTTGTTTATTATTCCTCCAAACTACATAAGTATTCATTTTCTTTGTGAATTTTTTTTTCATTAGCTTTAGGGGTGCAAGTGGTTTTCAGTTACATGGATAAATTATATACTGGTGAAGTCTGGGATTTTAGTGCACCCATCACCAGAGTAGTGGACATTGTACATAATATGTAGTTTTTCATCCATCAACCCCTCCTGACCTCCCCTCTTCCTAGTCTCCAATGTTCTCGTTACCAGTGTATGCCTTTGCATACTCACAACTTAGCTCCCACTTATATGTGAGAACATGCGGTATTTGCTTTTCCATTTCTGAGTTACTTCACTTAGAATAATGGTCTCCAGTTCCATCCAAGTTGCTGCAAAAGACATTAGTTCATTCTTTTTTATGGCTGAGTAGTATTCTATGGTGTGTGTGGGTGTATATACACGCATATCTCTCTCTCTCTCAAATTTTCTTTATCCACTTATCTGTTGATAGGCATTTAGGTTGAGTCCATATCTCTGCAGTTGTGAATTGTGCTGTGATAAACATAAGTGTGCCGGTGTCTTTTTGATATAATGACTTCTTTTCCTTTGGGTAGATACCCAGTGACTGGATTGCTGGATTGAATGGTAGATATACTTTTAGTTCATTGAGAAATCTCCACAGTATTTTCCATAAGGGTTGTATTAATTTACATTCAAACCAGCAGTGTATAAGCATTCCCTTTTTACCACATCTGTGCCAACATCTATTGTTTTTTGACTTTTTAATAATGGCCATAATGGCCATTCTGGCTGTAATAAGGTGATATCTCATTCTTTTAATTTGTATTTCCTGATGATTAGTGATGTTCAGCATTTTTTCATATGTTTCTTGGCCAGTTGCATATCTTCTTCAAAAATGTCTACTCATGTCATTTGCCTACTTTTTATTGGGATTATTTTTTTTTTCTTGCTAATTTGTTTGAGTTTCTTATAGATTCTGGATATTAGTCCTTTGTCAGATTCATAGTTTGCAAACATTGTCTCCCATTCTGTAGGTTTTCTGTTTACTTTGATGGTTATTTTCTTTTCTTTTATTTTATTTTATTTTTTTTTTTTTTTGTGACAGAGTCTCTCTTTCTCACCCAAGCTGGAGTGCAGTGGTGCAATCTCGGCTCACTGCAACCTCTGCCTCCCTGGTTCAAGTGATTCTCCTGCCTCAGCCTCCCGAGTAGCTGGGATTACAAGCATGCACCACCACGCCCAGCTATTTTTTTATTTTATTTTTAGTAGAGATGGGGTTTCACCGTGTTGGCCAGGCTGGTCTCTAACTCCTGACCTGAAGTGATCCTCCCACCTTGGCCTCCCAAAGTGCTGGGATTACAGGCATGAGCCACCATGCCCAGTCTGCATTAGCTTTTCAGTTTAATTAGATCCCATTTATTTTTGTTTCTGCAGCATTTGTTTTTGGGGTCTTTGTCCTAAATTCTTTGCCTGGGTCAGTGTCCAAAGGAGTTTTTCATAGGTTTTCTTCTAGAATTTTTATGGTTTCAAGTCTTAGATTTAAGTCTTTAATCCATCTTCAGTTATATTGTATATCGTGAGAGATAGGGATCCAGTTTCATTCTTCTACATGTGGCTAGCCAGTTTTCCCAGCATCATTTACTGAAGAGAGTGTCTTTTACCCAGTTTATGTTTTTGTATACTTTGTTGAAGATCAGTTGGTTGTAAGTATTTGGCTTTATGTCTGGGTTCTCAATTCTGTTCCATTGCTCTATGTGTCTACTTTTATACTAGTACCATGCTGTTTTGGTTACTATAGCCTTTTAGTATAATTTGAAGTTGAGTAATGTGATGTCTCTAGATTTGTTATTTTTATTTAGGATTGCTTTGGCGGCTATTCAGGCTCTTTTTTGGTTCCATATGAATTTCAAGATTGGTTTTTCTAATTCTGTGAAAAATGATATTGGCATTTTGATAGGAATTGCATTGAATCTGTAAGTTACTTTGGGCAATATGGTCATTTTGTGATACTGACTCTTCCAATCCATAAGTATGGGATGCATTTCCATTTGTTTGTGTCATCTATGATTTCTTTCAGCAGTGTTTTGTAGCTCTCCTTTTAGACATCTTTCAACTCCTTGGTTAAGTATATCCCTAGGTATTTTATTTTTTTGGTAGCTATTGTGAAAGGGATTGAGTTCTTGATTTGATTCTTGGCTTGGTCATTGTTGGTATATAGCAGTGCTACTGATTTGTGTACATTGATTTTGTAACCTGAGATTTTACTGAATTCATTTATCAAATCTAGGAGTCTTGGAGGAGTCTAGACTTTTCTAGGTATAAGATCATATCAGTGGCAAACAGACATAGTTTGACTTCCTCTTTTCCAATTTGGGTACTCTTTATTTCTTTCTCTTGTCTGATTACTCTGACTAGGACTTCCTCTTCAGGAATAATTTTAAAATTAATTTCAAACTTAAGTTTTATTTCATAATCTGTTTTCTTCCTATTTGAGTTCCTTGATGAACAAGTAAACAATGCAAAATAAATATGCACATCATGTGAGGCAAATGTATGGCTGTGCTGTCACTATTGATAATGAGGCTTTATAAATTTATCTCTACTGAAGACACTGTCCCTGAAACTATGAGTGCATCTGTGTCTCCATACAGAGAAGTATTTCCTTATCTCCAAACTACTGTGAAATAAATTAAAATCAAGGCCGGGCATGGCGGCTCATGCCTATAATCTCAGCACTTTGGGAGGCCGAGGCAGATGGATCACCTGAGGTCAGTAATTCCAAGACCAGCTTGGGCAACACAGTGAAACCCCATCTCTACTAAAAATATAAAAATTAGCCAGGCGTGGTGGTATGCACCTGTAATCCCAGCTACTCAGGAGGCTGAGGCAGGAGAATTGCTTGAACCCAGGAGGCGGAGGTTGCAGTGAGCCAAGATCACGCTACTGCACTCCAGCCTGGGCAATAGGGTGAGACTCCATTACAGTTTAATTCCCAAATTCAGAGAAAGTCATTAAGTAGAAGACAAGGAATGCTGTCTTCAGTAAAATAAGGACAGTCCTAAGGCCATCTTCCCAGAGAATGTCACTTTGGCAGAAAATTGTATGACAAGCCTGGGCTGAGCCTCAGCAAGACCATAGGGTGTACTCACCTCCAGGGTCCTCACCTTTCTTTCCTACCATCGTATTTAAAACCTGGATATCTTAAAAAGGCTCGTCATATGCCATGGAGGATTGTAGCAATGGTCTGACAGACTGCTCTTTGCCCTCAGTTTTCTACGTGGCTTGGTAGAAACACAGCCAGTGTCTGTCTTGGGTCATATCATATTGTTTAGTTCAGAATATTTCGATCTAGGACTGTAAGGGCAGGCTTAAAATGATGCAGAGTTAATTCAGATTGTGTGTAAGAAATACACCATGCCTAGGATTTTACATTAACACTAATGTGATGCTAGTCAGGAGAGTTAAACTGTTGCAGCATTCATTAAATATTGTCTTAAAAAGAAGAAAAAAAAATAAGTTGAAAGCCAAGTTCTAAAGAGTGTAATGAAGTACAGTAGCCACATCTTCACTTGAACTATTTTTCTACCTATTCTACTACAACTTAGGTTTTCCACTAGAAATTAAGGTTTTAGGTTTTACACTTACATCTATGATCCAGTTTGAGTTAATTTGTGGATATAGTGAGAGGTGTGGACTAAAGTTCATTTTTCCTGAATATGAATATACATTTGTTCCAGGACAATTTGTGGAAAACGCTATCTTGTCTCTGCTGACTTGGCTTTGCACCTTTGTCAAAAATCAGTAGTTCACTTATGGGTGGGCCTGTATCTACACTCCCTACTTTATTCCATTTATCTATTTGTCTGTCTTGATGCCAAAACCACTGTCTTGGTTACTGAGACTTTATAATAAATCTTGGTGTCAGGAAGTACTAGCCCTTTCCATTTGTTTTTGTTTTCTTTTTTTGTCATTCTGGATACTCTGAATTTCTGTATAAATTTTAGAATCAGCTTGTCAATTTCTACCCAAAGAGAAAACCTGCTATAGTTTTGATGGGGATTGCTTGAATTTATAGATTAATTTGGAAAGAATGGATAGCTTAACCATATTGAGTTTTCCAGCCCATAAACAAGGTGTACCTCTTAATTTATTTAGATCTTCTTTAATTACTCTGCAGTTTTGTAGTTTTCAGTATATAGGCCTTGCATATGTTTGGTCATATGCAATACCGAATACAGCATATGTTTTGTGCTACTGTAAGTGAAATTTTAATTTTAATTTTCAGTTATTTATTGCTAAATATAGAAAACCATTAATTTTTGTATATGGACTCCGTATCCTGCAACCTTGTCAAATTTATTTATTTGTAGGAGCTCTTTTGTGGACTGCACCAAATCTTCTACATGGACGATTGTGTCATCCGCAAATAAAGACTTTTAATTCTTCCTTACCAATATTGATGCTTTGTATTTCTTTTCTTGCATTATCACGTGAGCTACAGCCTCCAATAAAATGTTGAATAAAAATAGTGAGAACAGATATCCTTGTCTTGTTTCTGATGTTAGAGGGAAATCATTCAGTTATTCTCAATGAAGTATGATGCTAGCTATAGATTCTCAGATGTTCTTTATTGGGTTGATGAATTTCTCTTTTATCCTTAGTTTCTTGAGAGATTTTATCAGTAATAGATATCGGATTTTGCCAAATGTTTTTTCTGCATCTATTGAGATGATCATATGGTTTTCTCATTTAGTTTGTTAGTATAGTAAATTACATTGATTAATATTTCAAATATAAGAATCTTCCATTCCTGGATAAATTCTACTTGGTTAAGATGTATTACCTATTTAGATATTGTTAAATTGGATTTACTAATTTTTTAAATATTAAATCTATGTTCACAAGAAATATTTATCTATAGTTGCCTTTTCTCATACTGGTTTTGTCTAGTTCACATATCAAGGCCTCATAGAATTAATTGGGAAATATTCTCACCTCTTCAATTTACTGTAAAGCTTTGTATAGAATTGGTATTATAACATTATTTTTTCCTTAATTATTTGGGAGAATTCACCAAAGAAGCTATCTTAGCCTGAGTTGTTTGTTTATGTTTGTTTTGTTCTTTGTGGGAAGGTTTTTAACTACATATTTGATTCTTTCTATAGATACAGGGCTACTCAGGTTACCTACTTCTTCTTGAGTGAAGTTTTAAAGAGTGTGTGTTTCCAAAAAATTGTTTATTTTATCTAAGTTGTCAAATAGTTTACATAGAGTTGTCCATGATCTTCTCTAAGAATAGTATTAATGTCTGTATGCTCTGTTGTAATATAACAACTCTTATTCTTGATATTAGTAACTTGAATCTTCTGTCTCATTTTCCTCATCAGCTTGGCGAGATGTTTATCAATATTATTGATCTTGTCAAAGAACCAGCTTTTGCTTTCGTTGATGTTCCCTATTTTTCTAGTCTGTATATATTTTTTTCTTCTGCTTACTTTTAGTTTAATTTCTCTTTCTGATTCCATAGGATAAAGCTGAGGTTATGGATTTGAGACACATCTTTTCAAATACAGGTGTTTAGTGTTATAAATTTCCTTCTAAATACTGCTTTAGAGTAGGGACTAGCACACGTGGAGCTGGAATATAGCCATATCCATTCATTTATGTGTTGTCTATGGCTGCTTTCTTGCTATATAGTGGTGCAGCTGAGTAATTGCAATGGAGACCATACAGCCCACACGTCTATAAAATTAACTATATATGGCCTTTTAAGAAGTCTACTGACTTCTGCTATAGAGGAATCCCACAAATTCTGATATGTTCTGTTTTCACTATAATTCAACACAAAATTGCTCAGGACTGAATTGTGTTTCCCCGAAAGTACTGTGGCCAAAGCCCTACCTCGCCCCCTCAATGGGGTGGTATTAGGAGATGGAGTCTTTTGGAGGTGATAGGGCTTAGATGAGGTCATGAGGGTGGAGCCCTCACACTGGGATTAATGCCTGTATAAGAAGAGACACCAGAGAGCTTCATCTCTGCCTCTTCTCCCCGCCTCCCTGCCACATGAGGACACAGTGAGAGAGCGGCCATCTGCAAGCCTGGAAGACAGCCCTCACCAGGGAATGAGATCCACTGGATCTTGAACTTTCTAGCCTCCCGACTGTGAGGAATAAATTGCTGTTATTTAAGCTGCCCAGTCTATGGTATTTGGTTATCGCATTCCAAGCTGATGAGTACAAAAATACTTTCTAATTTCAATCTCACTTTCTTCTTTGACCCTTGGATTACTGAAATGTGTGTTATTTAGTTTCCAGATATTTGAGGATTTTCCACATATCCTTGTTATTATATTCTAATTTAATTCAACTGTGGTCACAGAAAATATTTTATATTACTTGAATCTTTTTAAGTTTATTGAGATCTGTCTTATGGCCTAGAATCCATTTCGGTTAATGTTTCAAGTGCAGTTGGAAAAACATATACATTCTTCTGATATTGAGTGGCGTTTTCTATAAATATCAACTAGGTCATGTTAGTTAACAATAATGAAGTTTTCTATATCCTTGTAGATTTTCTCTCTACTTGTTCTTTCAATTATTGTGAGAATTGTACTGAACTCTCCAACTATAATTAAGGATTTATCTATTCCTCCTGCAGTACTATCAAGTTTCACATATTTTAAAGCTCTGTCATTGGTTGTATAAATGTAATTTTTATGTTCACTATATGAATTTACCCCTTTATTATGATGAAATGTTCTTTAATCCTAGAAATATTCTTTGCTCTGCAGTCTACTTTGTCAGATATTAATATAGCCACTTTGTTCTGATGAATCTTTTGCCATTCCTTTACTTTTAACTTGTGTCTATATGTATATATGTGTGTATATATATATAGAGAGAGAGAGAGACGTTTTTTTTTTTCCTGAGACGGAGTTTCACTCGTCACCCAGGCTGGAGTGCAATGGGGTGATCTTGTCTCACTGCAACCTCCATCTTCCGGGTTCAAGCGATTCTCCTGCCTCAGTCTCCCAAGTAGCTAGGATTCCACGTGCCTGCCACCATGCCCGGCTAATATTTTGTACTTTTAGTAGAGACGGGGTTTCACCATGTTAGCCAGGATGGTCTTGAACTCTTGATCTTAGGTGATCCACCAGCCTCGGCCTCCCAAAGTGCTGGGATTACAGGCATGAGCCACCGCGCCTGGCCTTGTATCTTTATATTTTAAACTTGTGTCTTGTAAGCAGCATAATGCAGATGTTCCCTGACTTAATTTGGTTCCATTTACAATTTTTCAATTTCACAATGGTGCAAAAGCATCTCAACTTTGATGTAATGTACAATATTCAATAAGTTACATGAGCTATCCAGCACTTTATTATAAAGTAGACTTTGTGTTAGATTTTGCCCAACTATATGCTAATGTAAGTGTTCTGAGCACATTTAAGGTGGGCTTAGGCTAAGCTATGATGTTCAGTAGGTTAGGTATATTAAACACATTTTGGCTTATGATATTTTTAACTTACAGTAAGTTTATCTGGATGTAATCCCAAAGTTAGCTGAGGAGCATCTATAGTTGGATGGGGCTTGTTTGTTTGATCTGACAATCCCTGCTTTTTAATTGGGATATTTAAACTATTTATATGTTATGTAATTATTAAATATAGTTAGGTTTAACTCTTGCAATTTGTTTTATATTTGTTCCACCATTTCTTTGCTTCCTTTTGCCTTTTTTCTAAATTCCATTCCATTAAATAAATACTATTTATGATTCCACTTATATTCTTTGTTGGCATTAGCTGTTACTCTTTGTTTTTCCTTTTAGCGGTTGCTTTAGAGTTTATCATATACATTTTTAACTTTCACGGACTACCTTCAAATTATATTAGTTTACATATACTATAAAAAATCTTACATTAATATACTTTTTTTTTTTTTTTGAGACAGAGTCTCACTCTTTCACCCAGGCTGGAGTGCAGTGGCACAGTCTTGGCTCACTGCAACCTCCGCCTCCTGGGTTCAAGCAATCCTTCTGCCTCAGCCTCCTGAGTAGCTGGGACTACAAGCACGTGCCACCATGCCCAGCTAGTGTTTTTTTTTTTTTTTTTTGTATTTCTAGTAGAGACGGGTTTTAACCGTGTTAGCCAGGATGGTCTCGATCTCCACACCTCATGATCCACCCGCCTCAGCCTCCCAAAGTGCTGGGATTACAGGTGTGAGCCACCGCACCTGACACATTAATATACTTTAATTTCTTCCCTTCCAGGCTTTATTTTATTGTTGTCATCAATTCTACTTACATGTTACATTACTGTTTTCTTTAAACAATTATCTCAAAGTGGCTTAATTTTTTTTTGTTTTTTGAGACAGAGTCTCGCTCTGTTGCCCAGGCTGGATGGAGTGCAGTGGCACGATCTCGGCTCGCTGCAAGCTCCGCCTCATGGGTTCACGCCATTCTCCTGCCTCAGCCTCCAGAGTAGCTGGGACTACAGGCACCCAATACCACGCCTGGCTAAGTTTTTGTATTTTTAGTAGAGACGGGGTTTCACCTTGTTAACCAGGATGGTCCTGATCTCCTGACCTCATGATCCGACCGCCTCAGCCTCCCAAAGTGCTGGGATTACAGGCGTGAGCCACCGCGCACGGCCAGTAATTTTTTAAATTATGTGAATTTCCCCATGTAGTTACCCTTTTCAGTATTCTTCATGACTTTGTGAAGATCCATGTTTCCATTTGGTGTTATTTTCCTTCTGCCTTAAGGACTTCCTTTAGTATGTCTTACCATGTGGGTCTGCTGCTGATGCATTCTTTTTAGCTTTTCTATATGAGAAAAAGTCTGTTTTTTGTACATAAGAAAAAGATTTTCACCGGGTGTAGTATTCTGAGATCACAGGTGTTTTCTTTCAGTATTTAAAGGTATTGCTCCGTTGCCTTCACACGTGCATTATCTCTAAAGAGAAATATATTGTCGTCTTTATCTCTGTTTCCTCGCCTGTAACATGTCTTTTTCTTTGGAAACTAAGATTTTCTCTTCATCTTGCTTTCAAATAATTTGATTATGATGTGTCTTACTGTAGTATTCTACGTGTTTCTTGGGCTCTGGCTTCATTGAACTTCTTGATTCTGTGGGTTTATACCATTCATAAAATTTGGAATTTAGGACCATTTTTCAGATGCCTTTTTCCGTTCCCCTCTCTCCTTCAGAGATGAGAATTGCATATGTTAGGCCACTTGAAATTTTCCCATAGCTCACTAATGCTTTTCAGTCCTTGTTATTATCTTTTTACTCCATTTCATTTTGGATTTATGTCTTCATTAATCTTTCCTTATGTAATATTTAATATGCCACTAATCCCAGCAAGTGTATTTCTATCTCAGACATTGTAATGTTCATGTCTAGATGTTTGATGTGGGGCTTTTTTAATATCTTTAATGTTGCTACTTGGTGAATATCTGTAACACCATTATAATAACACTTTTAATGTCCTAGTCTGCTAATTCTAACACCTGTGCCTGTTCTACGTTAGTTTCAAATGGTTTGTATCATCGCTGTCATAGGTTATATTTTCTTGCTTCTTTACATGCCTGATAATCAGTGATTGGTTGCCAGACATTGTAAATTTTACCCTGTGTGTTGTTGAATATTTTTGTATCACTCTAAATATTCTTGACATTTGTTCTAGGATGCAGTTAAAATACTTAGAAACAGTTTGGTTCTTTGGGGTCTTAGTTTCAAGATTTCTTAGGTGGAAGCAGAGCAGTGTTCAGTTTATAGTTAATTACCCCTCATAACTGAGGCAAGACACTTGTGAGTACTCTACCCAGTGCTCCATAAATTAAGAGGTTCCAGTCTGCCTGGCAGAACAGATATCATTACTATTCCTGTCGTGTGCGTCAAGCACTTGTCCCTCTCATCTTTCTGGGTTGTTCTCCCCGGGTCTCATGTAGTCTCCTCGCATGAATGCACTGATCTGAACACTCTGCTGAACACTCCAAAGGGACCCTCTGAGGATCTCTGTGGTTCGGCTGTGTCCTCTCTGGACTCTCGCTGCCCTGGTCTCCCCAGACTTTCAGCTTCATCCTCTCAACTCAGGGGGTGTCATGGGCTTGGCCAGGGTCGTCCCTCCCTGCACTGCACTCTGGAAGCTCTCTTGAGGTAGTGAGCTGGAGCAGTCATAGAGCTCACCGCATTTGTTTCCCGTCTCACAGGGATCACTGTCCCTTTGTGCCTGTTATCCAGTGACTTGGTTACCATTGTTCCATGTGTTTTGTCTGGTTTTGGTTTATTTTTGTTTTGTTTGACTATCCCAGGCAAGAGAGTAAATCCAGGCCCTGTTATTCCATGTTGGCCAGAAGCAGAAGCTGTGCTGTCTTTTGTACTCATCTATATCCACATACAAACACTCTAGGATGCTATTTGCACCAAAATATTAAAAGAATTTACCTCTGGTTTTTGGAATTATGAATTTTTATTGTATGTGCATGTGCATGTCTGTGAGACTTCTGTTTTCTACCAAAAAAAGTATTACCTGTTTATGGAATGAAACTAACAATACAATTTTTTTCTAAAAATACTTCTATTCCATGAGCATGAGCTCCATCCTGGATAACAGGTGCCCCTAGCATAAACTGCAGGGTCTGTTACCACCTGACATGCTCCAGGGTGGCATGACCATGGCTGCACACCTCAGTTCACATGGCAAAGTTGGTGAAGTGTTGCCAAGCAGTTTCCCACGGCAGCTAGGGAATGCAGAGCCATACCCAGAACCTCTGGAGCGCACTGCTTCCATGAAGCGGCCATTAACACCCTGGAGCCATGGATTCTCAAATGTTTAAATATTTTTATGGAACACAGCGTTCAAATACAAACACACTGCTACCCTTCAGGCACACACACACACAAACACATCATCTACAAGAAATAACACCAATGTGGAAGCATTTTCACTGATGCCTCAGAGGAGGAAGATTGAGAAAATTCTAATGATCAAAGAGTAGAGAATAAAAATTAATGATATAGTTCAATTTTCACCTTGAAGATATGTAGAATACCTTGCACTTTCTAATACTTTGTCTTTATTACAGTATACAAAGAAATTATACCCTAATATTTATATGGGGCTTTCAAAGAATTTCTAAAGACATTCATTTCTGACCCTTAAAAAATAAATTTTAAGTCCTTCATCAGTAAACTAATCCACCACAGTTTGGGAATCCCATATCTCCAGTGAGAGGGAACAGGTCATTTTGTTTTTAATGTAGGTTGGAAGAAACCTCAGTTCCTATTAATACAATTAATATAACATACTATGACTAACTACATCATGCTATCCAGTCATTTCTTTAAAAACTGATCAGAATGAGTATGAAGTCAATTCAAGCCAGTTAACTCTAGGATTGAAGGACCAGTCACCTAACATCCCAGTCTTGAGATGCCCAGTAGCACTTACTGTGAAGAGGTGGCGTGATGATCTTGATTTCTAACAAAGGCGTCCATGTGGGGTAGAGCTCTAACTAAGTGGAGGTGTGCGTTTACTGGAAGCAACCCTAGCATGCTGGTACGTACCATCTTCCTCAGCTCTTGGTTGGAAACAATAATGACATTTGGAGGGTCCCCGATGGCAGTGGCAGCTCCTCCAATGTTTGTGAAGATCACTTCTGCAATCAGGACTTGTCTTGGATCAAGGTTGAGCACCTCACACAACCTGTCACAAATGGAAGAAAATGAAAGTAGTCCCACTATACACATCGTGAAAGGCCCACATGCAACCCAGAGATTTTTAAGGCGCTTGCTCGTATAAGGGAGGCGCGCACACACACACACCCCTGTGGGGAAGGCAGTGCTGGGGGGAATGAACAACTGCAACAACCCCCGCAGGCCACAGCTCACTCCGAGAGTTACATTCCTTTCCAGAGTGAGCCTCCAGCCACCAAACCCTCGGTGTGGTCAGGTACCCTTTCCCCAATGCTCCCAGGTCTGGAGGGAGCACTGGCCCCCAGGGCAGGGCAGGCCCTCCACAGGCAAGCCAGTGCTGTGGGGGTCAGTGTGGAGGCAGTGCGGATGGCTCACACAGGGCCTGCTGACTCAGCCCCTTTCCCACCTCCCCCTTCCTGGACACCAAGGCCCTAGGCTCTCTTCTCACCCCCTCCCTTTGTTTTATTCATCTATGTATTTTCTATGTATTTACTTTGTATTGCTATAAAACATACTAGATATATATATACATACATACATTTTCAGGGTGCATATGATAATGTAATAATTCACATAATCAAACCAGGTAACTAGGATAACCATCCCCTTAAATATCAATCTGTTCTTTACCCTGGGAGCATTCCAGTTATTCTCTTCTAGCTATCTTGGAGTGTACAATCAATTCATGCTAACTGTATTCACCCTACAGATCTGTCTAAGCCACATTCTACAGCTGTGGAGCTCCACCATGGCCTCACACTAGATTTGTGCTGGAATCTGGGAGTCCTACGACTCGCCCAGCGCAGACCAGTGCCTGGGAGTGGGCCCGGGCAGTGGTGCTCTACAGCTCCCCAGGGGACCCAGTATGCACACAGCTGGGAAACATTGCTCTAAAGAAAGTGTAGAAGGCACATCACAGCATCCCCTACACCTGCTCATCCACACAGCCCACTCCCACACAGGACCCGGCCTTGGGTCTCACTCAGAGGCCTCCCACCACCTCAGCAGATGGTGATGGAGAAGAACATGGACAGGGACTCCTGGCACCTGGGCACCTGGTGGTCTGGGGTGAGCCGTTTTTTGTTTGTTTGTTTGTTTGTTTTTTGAGACGGAGTCTCGCTCTGTTGCCCAGGCTGGAGTGTGGTGGCGCAATCTCAGCTCACTGCAACCTCCGCCTCCCGGGTTCAAGGGATTCTCCTGCCTCAGCCTCCCCAGTAGCTGGGATTACAGGCACGTGCCACCACGCCTGGCTAATTTCTGTATTTTTAGTAGAGACGGGGTTTCACCAGGGGTGAGCCATTCTTGTCCACATGTCTCCCCATGAGACCACAATCTCCAGGAAAGCAAGGCCTATGTCTTCCACCTCCTGCAGGCATTTCTGCCACCAGCTTCTGAGGCCCCACTGCTTGTAGCATGTACTGCAGTCACACAAAGCAGACACGAGCTGGACTGGAATGCAGTGAGCTGTGGGCTCAACTGCCCCCACCTTTTCATGCACCTGAGAATGGAACCTGGAGCCAGGCAGTGCAGGCAGAGCCCCTGCCTGCCAGAACCTGGCCGCAACTCCCACGGCAGAGGTGCTTTGCGTACCTTATGGTCACAGGCGTGAAGAGGAGCATGGTGGTGACGTTGTCCAAGAAGGCAGAGAGGACGGCCGCGATGAGACAGAGCATGATGATCATGGCCCACACCCGTCCCCGGGAGAGCCGGTATGCCTGGCCACACACACACAGAGAGAGTACAAGCCAGAGTGAGCAGGCTCGTAGAACAGAGGCAGCCTTTCATTAGTGACTTTAAGAACAGGGAGCCAAACTAACATTACCCCATGGGTTAAGACATAGACCCACGGAGTCCTAGGGGGGCCGAGATGAGACAGTGCTGGCCATCGAAGTTCCTAGACATTCTAAATCCTCCCTAGCCAGCACTGTCACCCCTCTGATCCTCTTCCTTCACAGAGCCCCTGTGATGGTTAATTTGTCACAAGGTGATGACCCTCAGTCCCCGTAATGCCATCGGTATTCTGGTTAGACAACCTGGGCTTTGACATTTGGGATCCATGTGAGCCTAGTGTCTGCTGATCTCTGGGGAACTAAGGGATACTTTTAATAGTAAGGAGTAATAGACCAAATATCTACCTGGCATGTATAAGGTGGGGCTCAAAGATGACAAAAATCACAGCACAGTTCCATCATTCAGAGTTTGCAAAGGGCTTTGTTGAGTAATTTTTTTTTTTTTTTGAGACAGAGTCTCACTCTGCCACCCAGGCTGGAGTTTGGTGGTGTGATCTCGGCTCACTGCAACCTCCACGCCTGGGGTTCAAGCAATTCTCTCGCCTCAGCCTCCCGAGTAGCTGGGATTACAGGCGTGTGCTACCACGCCCAGCTAATTTTTGTATTTTTAGTAGAGATGAGGTTTCACCATGTTCACCAGGATGGTCTCAACCTCTTGACCTCGTGATCTGCCCACCTTGGGCTCCCAAAGTACTAGGATTACAGGCGTGAGCCACTGCGCCCAGCCTGTTGAGTAATTTTTAAAAAGACCTTTTCAGTTTCAAAAATAATATATATTCAAGCACAGCACTAGACTGCATTAGCAGGGCATGGTACATGTTGAGCTCTCCTCTTGCCAACCCTGAATGACAGGACAGGTACAAATCCTGGAGGCCAGAGCTGGCTGGTGAAGCTCCCCAGGGTTCCAGTTAAAAATGTAAATGTGTATATATTCAATATTTAGGAAGTAATCATGGAAATTATTTCACCAAAAAGCAAAGTAATCAGAAGCTAATGGCTTGAAATATTGGGATACTCTAATATGTAAAACAATTTTTGATGTGTAGCTCTCACCAGACAATTTAAATAATACACAACGATTCAACCTGAGTACCCTTTTCCTTGACCTCCTTCTTCATTTATTTACTGAGCAGCTGAAAGTGCTGCTCAGAGCCATACAACTTAACATAGCAAGTATACCCTGCCCTGCAGAAGCAACCTTTAAAAGAAGGATGGAATTTTTCAATGTTTGTTTTAAATGTTTGTTTCCTAAATATATAATGTCAGAAAAATACATATATAAATTAATCAGGATAGAATTATTAAATGCAACATCATACCTACCTTTACAGCACAATAATCGAAAAATCCCGTTTCTGAAAATATGGCTACTAAGATCATCTACGGGGAAAAGAAGAAGACAAGGATAATCTTTTAGCAGGACACCATATTAAAACGACATCAGCATGATCCCTTACACATTTGAGCTCTGGCCTCTGAAAGCCACCACATCACCAAGCTCCTCACTCTGAGATGCAGAAAGACCGTCACTTCCTGGAATAGTACACTCACTCACTCCTTGAATGGAGCCTCTTGCTAGCAGTTTTGTGCCTATATGTGTGTCCAGGGATTTGTCCTCAAGGCACATTACCATCCCATCTGATCCTCACACACAAAAAAATCAGGTGTTATTTTCACCCTCTGTTTTATAGACTAGAAAATGGGATCAGAGTGCGAGGTGGGTTGCTCACAGCCACAAATCTAGAAGCCGGGCGGGAGCCAGCATGTGGCCTTCTGCACCTACGTGTCCACACAAGCAACACTTAAACATTCTATGATGCTAAAATTGGGTTCAATTTTGTTTTCTAAAATAATTAAACTGATTTTTGTCACCAATTTGAGAGTTTTATTGAAATGATTGCTCCCTGGGTTCCAGGTGAACCCAGAATGCCTATCACCTGTTTCTTTCCAGTGAGGATGATGAGTTAGTGAAAACAGAAACAGCCATCCTGGATCCTAATAAAAAGTCATGTCCCAGTTATTCTGAATTTTATCAACCAGACATCTCAGCTAGTGAATGTTCTGGAAGTTCCTCTGCTTCACCTCTTTGATGGCAGTCACCATGTGTTGAACTTGGAATGAGAAGATGCAAGTTCAGATCCTGATTCTGCCACTTAAAAATAGTCTGAACTTGAGGCTGGGTGTGGTGGCTCACGCCTGTAATCCCAGCACTTTGGGAGGCCAAGGCGGGCGGATCACGAGATCAGGAGATCGAGACCCTCCTGGCTAACATGGTGAAACCCCATCTCTACTAAAAAAAAAAAAAAAATACAAAAAATTAGCTGGGTGGGGTGGCGGGCGCCTGTAGTCCCAGCTACTCAGGAGGCTGAGGCAGGAGAATGGCATGAACCCAGGACGGGGAGCTTGCAGTGAGCCAAGATCACGCCACTGCACTCCAGCCTGGAGACAGAGCGAGACTCTGTCTCAAAAAAAAAAGTCCGAACTTGAACAAAAATATGAATTAACCTTTCTGTCCTTCAGTTTTCTCACCTTACCTGTGAATGTTCTATACTTTGTCAGGTTATGAAAATGCAATATAATTATTCAAATTACAATACTCAGTAAACAGGAGTCCCAACAGACACTATTGTCTCTCAAATAAACTATAGAAAACAAAAATGTCCCCAGTCAATTTAGACCCAGTGTAAATATCCACCATGTCCAGAGTGACCATCAATGTTCATCCTCACCCAAAAGGCCACTGAGAGCTGACGGTGGAGCGTGGGGCTTCGCACACCAATGTAGCTTCACGTGAATACGCATGAGGAGACAGGCGTGTGGAGACCCATGTGGTGTTTTACACATTTGCTGACAGAACCACCCTGGGAGACTAGAACTCAGGGATGGGGGTAAATGGTCCCATGGGTGGTTGGCTGCCAGGAAATGGGGGAGAAGAGGCAGGGACCTGGTTGTAACGACCCTGTACCCTGCAGTTCCAGAATCACAGAACCTGCCAGTGCTCGCTGAACTGAATTCCACCGAGAAAAACGTGCTGAAGCCATTTTTATAGGCTGTGTCCCCCAAAATTCATATGTTCACCTCCTAGCCCCTAGTACCTGGGAATGTGAGACTGTATTTGGAGTGAGGGCGTTGAAGGAGGTAATTAAATTAAAATGAGGTTGTTAGGGTGAGCCCTCATTCAGTGTGACTGATGTCCTTATAGGATGAGGGTCTCAGGAATCAGAAACACACGGGGAAGACAAAGTGAAAACGCTGGGAGAAGGTGCCATCTACAAGCCCAGGAGGGAGGCTCAGGAGAAAGCATGCCTGCCCACACCGTGATCTCAGACTTGCAGCCTCCAGAGCTGTGAGAAAATACATTTATATTATTTAAGCCACACGGTCTGTGGTACTTTGTTACATAGTCCTAGCAAACTAATATAGCATTCCTTTTTTAAAAAAGGCGTATCTCAGGGATATCTGGTACACTTCCTCTCTTCTATCCAGATGCCCAAACTCTGTATACGTCTCAGGCCCGACACAAGTATTAGTTACTCTGTGAAGCCAGGGTTAGAGCACTGGCCTGCCTCCCTGCGCACCACCCACAGAGGATGGCGGCACGGTTTCCATCAGGTCACATAGCTGGGCCCTCCGTTATGTCAGCCAGCCTTGGGAGGGACGAAATGTTGGCAAGGAAAATGAGGATCTATCGTGCCCAGCTGTACACAGAGCAAGTCTTCTAGCCCAGAGAGGAAGAGCCCTCCTGCAGACCACTGGACTGTTTGGGGTCTGCTGAGGAACACGTGGACTGCCCCTGCTGCCCAGGCTCCACTGGTTCTAGTTAAGCTGGGTTAGGACTCACACTAGTGAGTCCCACACTAGCCCGCTTGGGCACTTCGAGATCCTGCAGGTGGACTTGGTGGCATTCCTCACAGCAGAGTGGCCACTGGGCACTATGATCAATTGGTAAACACCCAACTAATACTTAGGAGTGACACCTTCCTTTATTCACATAATGAAAGGTACTCTCTCTCCCACTGAAACTCCTACATGGTTTATTTATTTGGGATAGTCCATTTTTTTTTATTTTAACGGAAATAACTCAAAAGAATTGCTAGCTTTTCTAAATGGCAATATGACTTCATCGTCAGACACGCCTTGGGCTGAAATTCTCCCGCCCACGAACCATAGCCCCATTCCATTCCTCCTCAGGAGATTCATGAGACCTGCACTAACACTTCTCAGTCAAGCCCTAGGCGCTGTGTCTTTAACATAATGAAGGACCCTCAGCGGTGGAGGCCAGAGAAGGCCCGGTTACCGCAGGCGTGGAGCCCAGTCCCACGGGGAGAGCTGTAATTACCATGCCAAACAGCAGGGCCAGCGTCTCAAAATCAATCCACTCCACCACATGGGTCAGGCTGGGTCTCTGCAATCAAAGCACAAATTTGCCAATTAATCCGTGCGCCGCCATCCCAGTGATGAGCCTAATGAAGCGCTGCCCCCTGCTGCAGACCCACTCAGTGGGCGGGCCAGGGTTGGAAATCTCACCATCCACTTGCCTTTGAAGTTGGATTATATCGCTGCTGAAAAACAGTCTTGACCCAGGGCATCTATAATGTCAAATCTATGCATTTAGTAATAAAGTTTTTTCTAGCCCCTGCCTCTGGCAGCTCCCACATGGCGGGACTGGCCCCTGGTTACATTCCGAGTGGAGTCTGTATGTGCTCTCTGCAGTGCCGTGCCTGAGACCAGATGACAGGAACTGGCATGGCAGCTGTCCCACTCTCAGCTGGGTTCCAGCACTGCCTCTCAGACAACTCTGGGCCTCCATCCCCAGTGGCCACTGGTCTCTGTTGTTTCCCTACATTTGTTTCCCATGTCCCTGCCAGAGAGGCCCTGCTCAGACCCAAACAGGACACCCTCATCCCCAAACACGCCTCTCCAGGGGCCTCCTGATCTCTTCAGGACAGACCCTGGCCCAACTGACTCCCACCTTTCTGCACCAGCTAGGACGGTCCCCTCTAGTTCCAACACCCAGATCCAGCCCCATCACAACCCAGCTCCACAGCCCTAGGCAAACATGCCCATGAGGAGCCTTTCCTCCACCACGATGAGGAATCACACCACTGGGATGTGAGTGTGTGACAAAACCTAATGAAAAGTACTCTTCAATGCTGTAGCTTGTTAGTTCATACCTCTAGCATGGTTCTTGGGCAAAAACATGGACGTGGCATATAAAATAGTGAAAAAACCAGCGAAAGCCTGAATCCTGGAACATCTTTGAGCTGACATCCCACTGAGTGGTAAGCCAGGGATTGGGACTGTGACAACTTACATCGCCAATCACAGCCAGTGCTGCCAGTGCTGCAAGGGAACCCAGCATGGCTGCCAGAGTTCTGTGCACGATCTGGAAAGAAGCACAGGAAATTACCGCGTTCCAGTGCACGAGGGAGTTAGCACACACGAAAGCCTGTGTGGACATGAGGGGGTCTATATCTGCCACTGTGTACCACATCTATTCAAATGATAAGTCATGGGTCTTGATGTTTCAGGCCTGGACACCCCACAGACACATACAGCTACCACCAACGTGCCATCTAAGGGAAGCTGCTTGCATTTCCTAAATAATTAGATGACCCTGATAAAGCAGCGGAAGGCCAGATGGAGTATGTTCTATGAGAAAGGCCATAGCAAACTGTCATTAATTATTTGCCATATGCTCCCTTGGCAACTGGCCCATTTGTTCAGCAACATAAATCAATTCCTCCCAATTACTAGGCTGCTGTTAAACCAAAGGTACACAGTCCAACACTTCATCTAATTGAGATGTCTGTGTTATCACAAAAGCATCTTTTCTATTTGATTATAATTCAAATGGAAGTGGAATTTCTAAGACAAAATATGAGAAAAGGCCAAGATGTGGAGAATTGGAGCCCTCATACATTGCTAGTGGGAATGTAAAATGGGCTAGCCACTGTGGAAAGCAGTTTGGCAGTTTCTTACGAAGTTAAACATAAATTTACCATATGACCCAGCAATTCTACTAGGAATCCACCCAAAAGAAATGAAAACACATGTCCACACAAAGCACTGATGCTCATAACAACATTATACAAAGGAGGCGAAAACTGGAAACTTTCCAAATGTCCATCCGTGGTGAAGGGATAAAGAAAATGCGGCACAGCTCGTGCACGGATGAATGCTTAGAAGTGATGCTGGGGAAAGAAGCCAGACACAGAAGATGGGGTCGGTCCATCTATATGAACTTTCCAGAAAAAGTAAATTTAGAGAAACAGAAAGATCAGGGCTGCCCAAGGCTGGGGAAAGCAACAAAGGTTGACTGGAAACGGGTCCCAGGGATCCTTATGGGGTGATGAAATGTTCTAGAACTTGTGATGGTGGCAGAACTCTAAATCTGGTAAAAATAACTTAATTGTACATTTCCAAGGGGTGAAATTAATGGTATTTAAATTATACCTCAATAAATTTGTTAAAAAAATACAAAAAGAATGTGGCAAGAACAAGCGGAAAATTAAACGCTAGCATGCATTATTCATTTCTTAATCCCCTAAAGGGACTTCCACTCCATTTTTTCACAGCTTCCATCTCACAGAAACTGACTCCCTTTACCAGTAATTACCTGAAATGCAAATTCTGACTAAAATTATATCATTTATAATGTGTAGTACTAGATTCAAAGTTCATTTTCAGGAAATGTGATACTAGGTGTTGGCTTTTCACAGTTTCACTTTTTAAGAGTTGTTTTGTTTGTTTTAAATGTAAATACCTAAAATCCAATAACTTGCTACCAAACTCTAATAATTCCTTCTGTTCGTTCTCTGCTTTTCAGTCTTAGTTTAGGACGCTTTTTTTTTTTTGAGACGGAGTCTCACTCCGTTGCCGAGGCTGGAGTGCAGTGGCACCACGTTGGCTCACTGCAACCTCCATCTCCTGGGTTCAAGCAATTCTCTTGCCTCAGCCTCCCAAGTAGCTGCAATTACAGGCACCCACCACCACACCTGGCTAGTTTTTATATTTTTAGTAGAGACGGGGTTTCACCATGTTGGCCAGGCTGGTCTCCAACTCCTGACCTCAGGTGATCCACCCACCTCGCCTCCCAAACTGCTGGGATTACAGGCATGAGCCACCGCGCCCAGCCAGTTTAGGACCCATTTTAAGAATACTTCCTTATCCAATGCCAAGGGTGGCCCCAGGAAGCAGGCAGGGCAGGCATTCATCCCCAACTTGACAGCCATGGCGCTGAGAGTGGAGGGTCACCCGCTGGACATGGTGAGCAGGCACCAGAGCCAGGCTGTCCTATCCGCCCTACAGAGAACAAGGCGAAGACACTTCCCACTTTGGTATGTCTCTTTTTTGATATTTAATTAAGTCTTCATTAGTAGAACAGGATGTGACAGCATGCAAATACAGCCCATGGATGACAGGAGGAAGTCACTGCAGGGACAGAGCAGATAGGGATGAAGCCTGCTCCAAGCCAGCCCTGTGACCTCACTCTATGACACGTTCCTTTCTTCTGGCTTAACCTTTGGGCTAACTTTGTCTGGACGGAAAGGAGACTTCCAGTAAAGAGCAAAGAGCCGGCCTGGCACGGTGGCTCACACCTGTAATCGCAGCACTTTGGGAGGCCAAGGCAGGCAGATTGCTTAAGGCCAGGTGTTCAAGACCAGCCTGGCCAACATCACAAGACCTCATCTCTACTAAAAATAAAAAAAATTAGCCAGGTGTGGTGGCACACACCTATAGTCCCAGTAACTCGGGAGTCTGAGGTGGGAGAATTGCTTGAGCCCTGGAGGCAGAGCCTGCAGTGAGCCAAGATTGCACCACTGCACTCCAGCCTGGGCAACAGAGCGAGACCCCGTCTCAAACAAAAAACAAAAAAGAGTGAAGAGCCATGACTGCCAGCCACTGGTCAGCAGGATTGGATAGCAGCAAAAATAACTAATTTTTATTGAGCAACTACTGTGCACCCGGCCCTGGATTAAGTGCTCTACACACACCATCTGCACCTTTCACAGCAACTGCATGAAGTAGAACTATGATAATCCACTTTGCAGAGGAGGAAACAGTCTCAGCTGAATAATTGTCCCCGTGTCGGAAAACAAAGGACACGCGCACCCAGGATACAGACCAGCATTTTCTTACTCCAGAGCACCTCCTCTCTCCTCGTGGGGCCTTGTTTGCTCATTTGTAAAATCAGAAAACTGCACTACATACCTCAAGGAGCCCTCAGCTCTGGAGGAGGTCCGTGGACATCATGAAATCATGAGTCCTAGCAGATTAACACACAAATGAGCAAACGACAAGGCAGACAGCCATGGCCCTCTCAGGACAGCTGGGCTCATCGTGGTCTCACTGACACCCCTAGCACCCTCGCTAAGTTTGCTCCGCCCACTGCCACCATCAACACCTTTCTCCCCTCCCTCGTCACACACACCGGCTTGCAAGTGATCCACACATGAGCATCTCTGTGGCCCACAGTGAGTGCTTGGGACATCTGGATGCAGCTATCCTCACTCAGAAACCCACCCTCTTCCACCAGCTAAGGGGCCCCACACACCACGTGGGAGGCGAAACCATCACTTCCCATTTAAAAAATGGAAAAGCACGCTGATGATCCGCCTCTAGGATGTGGAATAAAACTTTTTAAACTACATGGTTGTAGAAGAAGATGAGTTCATTACTTCAGATATAATGATGGACACTACTAAATTTCTATGCTTAAGAAAAAGAATTTTCAGCTATCAGGAATAAAAAAATTTCTGGTAAATGGACCTAAAGAGTAAAAATAATAAAAATTCTTAAAAGATGCTTTAAAGCAGGGGTCCCCAACCCTCCTAACCCTGCCACGGACTAGTACCAGGGCCGCACAGTGGGAGGTGAGCTGGGCAAGTGAGCATGACCGCCTGGGCTCTGCCTCCTGTCAGATCAGCGGCAGCATCAGATTCTCATAGGAGCGTGAACCTTACTGTGAACTGCGCATGTGAGGGATCTAGGTTGCACACTCCTTATGAGAATCTAACTAATGCCCGATGATCTGAGGTGGAACAGTTTCATCCCAAAATGATGTCCCACCCCACGGTCCATGGAAAAATTGTCTTCCATGAAACTAGTCCCTGGTGCCAAAAAGGTTGGGGACCACTGCCTTAAAGGACTGTACAAAGGTTCTCTTCCTGCCCATGCTCTGGGAAATATAGCACACCTCTTCCTACACCCAAACCACTTCCCAGGCACAGAACGCACCACCTAGCTTCCCAGGCATCGCCTCACAGACCCAGCCACCGTTCTATCACTGCACTCCTCTCCGGTCGAGCCGACACTCTGTGCCTACGAGTTTCTTTGGCAAGAGTCCAGCTGTGAGCTCCTGTGAGCATGGCGTGCCTCTCTTGGTTTCTTCAGTGCTCTGCAGCGCAAGCAATACATGCTGAGCAAATGAGAAGCAGAAAATGCATGAACAGAGCCTGCAAAACAGAAGGCCAGCATCGCTTCCTGGGAGAAGAAAGGAAAGAGTTTGGGGGCAGCCCCCAAGGAAATTATCTAGGGCATCTCTGATCTTCACGCATCTGCCCCTCCATAGTCACACAGGTTTACAGCTAGTCATCATGTAAATTCCAGATAGGTGGGATACCAAGCAGATGGAAAGACAAAACTTCTTTTGGTTACCATTTGCATGGAAATGGTAACCAAAAGACAGCAGGGATAGCTAAAGTTATATCAGACAAAATAGACTGTAAGTCAAAAACTGTCTCTAGAGACAAAGAAGGTCATTACCCACCCTCTTCCACTGATAAAATGGTCAATTCAACAGGGACCTATCACAGTTATAAATAAGTACACACCCAACACCAGAGCACCTAAATATGCACAGCAGTATTAACAGAGATAAAGGGAGAAATTGACAGCAATGCAATGTAATAGGGGACTTCAATATCCCATTTAAGACAATGGATAGAACATCCAGAC
This sequence comes from Homo sapiens, assembly GCF_000001405.40. Taxonomy (NCBI): domain Eukaryota; kingdom Metazoa; phylum Chordata; class Mammalia; order Primates; family Hominidae; genus Homo; species Homo sapiens. The sequence goes on from NW_011332701.1 coordinate 129,491, forward strand.
AGGAAACAGCAGACGTGAACAGCACTGTACACCAAGTGGACCTAACAGACATAGACCGAACTTTCCACCCAACAGCAGAAAAAGACATTCTTCTCTAGCACACACAAAAAAGTCTTCAGGATATATCACATATTAGGTCACAAACAAGTCTTAACAAATTTTATTTCTTTTAAAAAAAATTTTGTCTTAGAGACAGAGTCTTGCTCTGTCACCCAGGCTGGAGTGCAGTGGTGTAATCAAAGCTCCCTTTAGTCTTGAACTCCTGGACTTAAGCAATCCCCTTGCCCCAGCCTCCTGAGTAACTAGGACTACAAGTGTACACCACCATGTCCAGCTAATTTTTTTTTTTTTTCAGAGATGGAGGTCTTGCTATGTTGCCCAAGCTGGTCTTGAACTCCTGGTCTCAAGTGATCCTCCTGCCTCAACCTCCTAAAGCACTAAGATTATAAGCATGAGCCACCATGCTTGAACTTAACAAATTTTAGAAGATGTAAATAATATCAAGTATATTTTCCGAACACAATGGTATAAAACTAGAAATTCATAACAGAAGGAAAATAGGGAAATTGATAAATATGCAAAAATTAAGCAACACTTTTTTTTTTTTTTTTTGAGATGGAGTCTCACTCTGTCACCCAGGCTGGAGTGCAGTGGTGCAGTCTTGGCTCACTGCAGCCTCTGCCTCCCAGGTTCAAGCAATTCTCCTGCCTCAGCCTCCCAAGTAGCTGGGACTACAGGCAAGCACCACCATGCCTGACTAATTTTTGTATTTTCAGTAGAGACGGGGTTTCATTGTGTTGGCCAGGATGGTCTTGAACTCCTGACCTCATGATCTGCCCACCTCAGCCTCCTGAAGTGCTGGGATTACAGGTGTGAGCCACCACACCCAGCCGCAACACACTCTTGAGCAACCAATGTGTCATAAAAGAAATAAAATGGAAATCAGAAAGTATCTTGAGACAGACAAAAATGGAAACACAACATACCAAAATTTATGGGACACAGCAAAAGCAGTTTTAGGAGGGAAGTTTATAGTGATGAATACCTACCTCAAAATCATTAGCCTGATTGGATGACACTACAGTGTATAAATGAATTGAAAACCACATTGTGCCCCATACATATATACAATTTTTATTTGTTAATTAAAAATAAAATAAAACTTTAAAAAAGAAGAAAGAGCTCAAATAAACAACCTAACTTTATACCGCAAGGAAATAGAAGAGCCAGCTAAGCCCAAAGTTGACAGAAGGAAAAAAATATTGGCAGAAAGAAATGAAACAGAGACTAGAAAGACAATTGAAGAGATCAGCAAAACTAAGAGTTGGGTTTGAAAGGATAAACAAAATTGATGGAACTTTATCTAGACCTACCAAGAAAAAAAAAAGAGCACTCACATAAATAAAATTATAAATGAAAAAGAAGACATTACAACTGATATCATAAGATTACATGCCTACAAATTGATAGCCTAGAAGAAACTGGTAAATTCCTAGAAACATGCAACCTACCAAGACTGAATCAAGAAAAAATAGAAAACCTGAACAGACCAATAAGAAGTAAGAAGATTGAAGCACTAATCAAAAACCTTCCAACAAAGAAAGTCTCACCAATGGCTTCACAGGTAAATTCTACCAAACATTTAAAGAATGCCAATACTGGAACTTTTGTAAAACTTCAAACTTTTGCAAAAAATGAAGAGAGAACACTTCGAAACTTGTTTTATAAAGCTGGTGTTACCCTTCATACCAAAGCCAGATAAGGACACAACAAAAAAAAAGAAGAGAGAAAGAGAGAAAGAAAGAAAGAAAGAGAGAGAGAGAGAAAGAAAGAGAAAGAAGGAAGGAAGGAAAGAAGGAAGGAAGGGAGAAAGAGAGAGAAAGAAAGAAAGAGAAAGAAAGAAAGGAAGAAAGAAAAGAAAGGAAGGAAGGAAGGAAGGAAGAGAGAGAGAGAAAGAAAGAAAGAAAGGAAGGAAGGAGAGAGAAAGAAAAGAAGAGAGGAAAGGATATAAAGGAAAGGAAAGAAAGAAAGGAAGGAAGGAGGAAAGAAAGAAAGAAAGAAAGAAAGGGAAAATTAATTAATTTCAGGCCAATATCCCTGATGAACTTAGATGTAAAAATGCTCAACAAGTCTTTAATCCATCTTGAATTAATTTTTGTATAAGGTGTAAGGAAGGGATCCAGTTTCAGCTTTCTACATATGGCTAGCCAGTTTTCCCAGCACCATTTATTAAATAGGGAATCCTTTCCCCATTGCTTGTTTTTCTCAGGTCTGTCAAAGATCAGATAGTTGTAGATATGCGGCGTTATTTCTGAGGGCTCTGTTCTGTTCCATTGATCTATATCTCTGTTTTGGTACCAGTACCATGCTGTTTTGCTTACTGTAGCCTTGTAGTATAGTTTGAAGTCAGGTAGCATGATGCCTCCAGCTTTGTTCTTTTGGCTTAGGATTGACTTGGCAATGCGGGCTCTTTTTTGGTTCCATATGAACTTTAAAGTAGTTTTTTCCAATTCTGTGAAGAAAGTCATTGGTAGCTTGATGGGGATGGCATTGAATCTATAAATTACCTTGGGCAGTATGGCCATTTTCACGATATTGATTCTTCCTACCCATGAGCATGGAATGTTCTTCCATTTGTTTGTATTCTCTTTTATTTCATTGAGCAGTGGTTTGTAGTTCTCCTTGAAGAGGTCCTTCACGTCCCTTGTAAGTTGGATTCCTAAGTATTTTATTCTCTTTGAAGCAATTGTGAATGGGAGTTCACTCATGATTTGGCTCTCTGTTTGTCTGTTATTGGTGTATAAGAATGCTTGTGATTTTTGTACATTGATTTTGTGTCCTGAGACTTTGCTGAAGTTGCTTATATTGACTTAAATGTTAGACCTAAAACCATAAAAACCCTAGAAGAAAACCTAAGCAATACCATTCAGGACATAGGCATGGGCAAGGACTTCATGTCTAAAACACCAAAAACAATGGCAACAAAAGCCAAAATTGACAAATGGGATCTAATTAAACTAAAGAGCTTCTGCACAGCAAAAGAAACTACCATCAGAGTGAACAGGCAACCTACAGAATGGGAGAAAATTTTTGCAACCTACTCATCTGACAAAGGGCTAATATCCAGAATCTACAATTAACTCAAACAAATTTACAAGAAAAAAACAAACAACCCCATCAAAAAGTGGGCGAAGGATATGAACAGACACTTCTCAAAAGAAGACATTTATGCAGCCAAAAGACACATGAAAAAATGCTCATCATCACTGGCCATCAGAGAAATGCAAATCAAAACCACAATGAGATACCATCTCACACCAGTTAGAATGGTGATCATTAAAAAGTCAAGAAACAACAGGTGCTGGAGAGGATGTGGAGAAATAGGAACACTTTTACACTGTTGGTGGGACTGTAAACTAGTTCAACCATTGTGGAAGTCAGTGTGGCGATTCCTCAGGGATCTAGAACTAGAAATACCATTTGACCCAGCCATCCCATTACTGAGTATATACCCAAAGGACTATAAATCATGCTGCTATAAAGACACATGCACATGTATGTTTATTGCGGCACTAGTCACAATAGCAAAGACTTGGAACCAACCCAAATGTCCAACAATGATAGACTGGATTAAGAAAATGTGGCACATATACACCATGGAATACTATGCAGCCATAAAAAATGATGAGTTCATGCCCTTTGTAGGGACATGGATGAAATTGGAAATCATCATTCTCAGTAAACTATCGCAAGGACAAAAAACCAAACACCGCATGTTCTCACTCGTAGATGGGAATTGAACAATGAGAACACATGGACACAGGAAGGGGAACATCACACTCTGGGGACTGTTGTGGGGTGGGGAGAGGGGGGAGGGATAGCATTAGGAGATATACCTAATGCTAAATGACGAGTTAATGGGTGCAGCACACCAGCATGGCACATGTATACATATGTAACTAACCTGCACATTGTGCACATGTACCCTAAAACTTAAAGTATAACAAGAAAAAATGCTCAACAAAATACTAGCAAACTGAATTCAGCAGCACATCACAAGGATCATATACCATGATTAAGTAGGAATTATTCCCAAATCCAAGGACAGGTTCAACATACACAAATCAATAAATGTGATACATTGCCTTAACAGAATGAAGGATAAAAATCATAGGATCATCTCAATGAATGCAGAAAAGGCATTTGAGAAAATTCAACATCCTTTCATAATTAAAAGCTCTCAACAAATAAGGTATAGAATAAATGTACCACAACGTAATAAAGACCATATATAACAAGCCCACAGCTAACATTATACTCCATAGTGAAAAGCTGAAAGCTTTTCTTCCAAGGTCAGGAACAAGACAAGGATGCTCACTCTCACCACTTCTATTCAACATAGTACCAGAAGTACATAGTAGAGCAATTAGACAACAACAACAACAAAATTAAAAATGTCCAAATTGGAAAGGATGAAGTTAAACTCTATTTGTTTACAGATGTGATCTTATATATAGAAAACCCTAAAGACTCTACCAAAACTCTACTAACACTAATAAACAAATTCAGTAAATTCGTAGGATACAAAATCAGAACACATACAAAATAACAGTTTTACTTCAATATGCTAACAATGTACTATCCGAAAAAGAAAGAAAATAATCCCATCTATAATAGCATCAAAAAGAATAAAATAGGAATAAATTTAACCAAAGAGGTTTAAAGATCTGTACACTCAGGACAGTAAGACATGAATGAAGAAATCAAAGAAGATACAAATAAATGGAAAGATATCCCATGTTCATGGTTTGGAAGAATTAATATTGCTAAAATGTCCATAACTACTCAAAGCAATCTACAGATTCAATGCAATCCCTATCAAAATTCCAATGGCATTTTTCATAGAAATAGAAAAAAATTCTAATTTATATGGAACCACAGAAGACCCTACATAGCCAAGTCAACATTGAGTAAGAAGGAAAAAGCTGGAGGCATGACACTTCCTGATATCAAACTATATTACACATCTATAGCAATCAAAACAGTATGACTGGCATACAAAGAGATATATAGACCAATAGAACAGAAGAATCAACAGCCCAGAAATAAACCCATGCATGTTACAGTCAACTAATATTTGACAAGAATGCCAAGAATACACAGTGGGGAAAGGATAGTCTCTTCAATAAATGGTATTGGGAAGCTGGATAACCACATACAAAAGAATGAAAGTGGACCCTATCCTACACCATATACAGAAATTGACTTAAAATTGATTAAAGACTCACATGTAAGACTTGAAACTGTAAAACTTCTGGAAGAAAACACAGGAGAAAAGCTCCTTGATGCTGGTCTTGACAATGATTTTTTGGATATAACACTAAAAGCCCAGGTAACAAAAGCAAAAAATAAACAAGTGGAACCATATCAAATTAAAAAGCTTTTGCACAGCAAAGGAAACAAACAACAAAATGAAAAGACAACCTACAGACTCAGAAAATATTTGCAAACCATATACCTAATAAGGGGTTAATATTGAACATATGTAAGGAACTCATACGAATCAAGAGCAAAAAAATCAATAACCTGATCAAAAAATGGGCAAAGGATAATAGACATTTTCCCAAAGAAGACATGCAAATGGCCCCCAGGTACATGAAAAGGTGCTTAGCATCATTAATCATCAGAGAAATGCACATCAAAAACACAATGAGATATGGCCTAACACCTGTTAGAATGGCTGTTATCAAAAACACAGGAGATAACAAATGTTGGGTAGGATGTGAAGAAAAGGGAACCCTAGTATGCTGTGGGGGTGCAAATTAGTACAGCCACATGGAAAGCAATATAGAACTTTCACCAAACTTAAAAATAGATCTACCATATGACTGAGAAAAATCCCACTTCTGGGTCTATATCCAAAGGAAATGGAATCAGAATCTCAAGGAGATATCTGTGCGGCCATGTTCATTGCAACCTTATTCACAGTAGCCAAGATACAGAAACAACCTAAGTGTCCACAATGGATGAATGAATAAAGAAAACATGTTTCATATACATACAAACACACACACACACACACACATACACACACAAATAGAATATTATTCACCCTTAAAAAGGAAGGAAATCCTGCCAATTTGGGACAACATGGACGAACCTGAATGCTAAGTGAAATAAGTGAGACAGAAAGACAAATACTGCATGATCCCACTTATATGAGGCCAAAGGGAGCTCTGGGGTCAGGGGTGGAAGGAGAGGAGGGTGTGGGAGATGAAGAGCTGACCGCCAGAGCTGGGCACTGGGGCAGTGTGGTCAGGGAAGGGTTTGGATTTAATTCTACATTTCTCATTTAAAACATAACCAACTACTTGCCAAAAAACACATATTTTTCTTTCCTTGTGTGTCTGTGAAGGAGGAAAAAAATAAAGAACAAGGAGGAAGGGTGCAGGAAAAATGTTGCAGAGAAACTTCCAAATGACTTGGACACATCAGGAAGGAAGAGATGAAGGCACCCAAGCCACAGGACAGCTGCCTGAACTCACAGCACTGCCCCCAGGGAGCTGCAGCCCCAGAATGTGGTGCTGGAGGACAGCATGCACCTCAGCGATGCCCGGAGGCCGTGCACAGCCCTGACAAATGCCCAGCCAGGCAGAGCTGCAGAGGAGCCACAGAGGCACCTGGTTCTCTGCAGCATCGGCTCTGCCATTGGATTCCAGCTAGGCGACCTGGAGCCTGGAGAGGCCGAGAGCTGCCGGGCTCACGGCACTCTGCACCATAAGTACAACAGAGTGGGCTGTGTGCACCAAGATGTTCAAGTAGGTCACTGACACGGCAAACACTGGCTAACAGAAATTGGTTCAGATGTGGGGCACTCCAGAAGCAAAATGCTAAAATATATGGCAAGACTTTCAAGGTTGGGCAGGAGGCACCAAAAAAGCTGATACAAGAGGCCAGAAAAATGGCAACTAGGCTTGCACAGTAGCAAAACATGAAGTAGGGGTGTCCCCCGGGATACCAAGGAAGTCAGAAAATATACCTAACCAACTTGGATCTTTGGAACGTAGAGGCTTGAGCTGAGGCTGGAACAGAGGAAGCTAAGAGGTGTGTGGCAGATGCTGGACCATGGAGCTACAGGGCATGGTCTGACCCCATGGGGCCTCCCTGCAGGGCCTGCTCCGCCTGCTTCCTTTCTCTGCAGGGTGGAGGTGGGCTATGGTGAGTGCCCTACCTCACTGTGGTCTGTGGGGTGCATGAGGGCAGAGAATGCCCACTCGGAGGCTGTGGCCACTGGTCCTTATCCCATCACTGGCTCCTGCATTGGGGGCAGGAGCCCTTAACAGGATGAAAGCTTTTGGGGAGGAGATTGTGTACCTGGTTTGAGGAGTAAACCTGTGGCTGCCGATCGGTCCAGGAGAGCCGGGTTCCTGTGTTCCCAATCATCTTCTGCTGGCCTTTCCTCAGCGGGCTGATGGGGTGGGCTCCAGGCCACGCGGGAGCCTCACAGGGCTGCGTCTGTCCCTGCCACCAAGGCCTGCTTTCCTCTGCTCTTACATGGATGTGATGAGTTCCTGGCCCCTTGTTCTTGTTGATATTTTGTCATTATTGTGTGTTATCTGATGTGTTCCCTTTGCAAGGCCCCTTGGACACCGTGTGACCCAAGGAGAAGGTATACACTCCAAATTCAAATATCTTCTTTTCAGGTATTGCCCACAAATACTGAGCTGATTTTCTAGCCTGGCTTATGTTATGCAGAACAATAGATCCCAGAGCTCGAAGGCACCACAGGAAATCAGTGGAGCAGTCCTCCAGCATCCGAAACCTCCTGGCTGTGATTTCAGTTCTGAAGTGATGATGCCCAGCTGTGGGCTGTGGGCCTGCGGGTCCGCGTCAGCCACGCACGGACTGTGCTTCTTCCCCCACGTGATCCTGCCTGGCCTGCAAGGAGAGCTGAATTTTCAGTACTCAGTTCCTAAGGTACAAATTCCTATTGTATATGGAAAAGCTTTCTGCTCAGAAGCTATAGAAGCTTAGCTCCGCAATAAAATAGCCTGTGAGCTGCCAACTCCGCCAGCTTCGGAGAGTCACATTGGCCAGCCACACTTCCCCATCTTAGAGAATCGAGATGTTCCCAAAGCTGCTTTCGCGTGACTGTATCCCTAAATATACAAAATTGAACAGGTGCCGTCCCTACCCCTGGTTCAGACGAAAGATGGCTCTAGAAGCTGGCGGTCCCCACCCAGGACGCCCGTCCGTGCCCCACGCGCGCTGCCGCGTTCGTCTCCCACAAGAAGCCAGGAGATGTTACTCTGTTTTGTGGGTGAGGGGAGTAAAATGTGGAAAAACCACAGCCTAGAGTCTGAAAGCCTGCATTCTGGCTGCTACACGCTGGCTGCGGGGAACGACGGGAAAGCAGGGCCCTCCGTGGTGCAGCGCGTGAGCCGTGCGCAGGGCAGTGTGCCCCCCGAACGCTGAGCCCGAGGTGTGTCAATGACACGGCCCTCGGGGGTTCTTAGAAACGGGATCTCAGAGTTGGCGGATGTCTGAAGACCGCCCTCGACGTCCACGAGGGTGGCGGTCCCACCCCTAGCCCAGCCTGCTCGCGTCCTCGATCTGGGTGCTCTGAAGGTGGGCCTTCCAAGGGCCACCCCACGAACCCGCCCGCGCCGCCTGCTCCCTCCACCGCGTCATGCTCCGGCCTACGCCCCGAGCGGGGAAAGGTGACCTGAGAGTGATGCGAAACCGAGGGACTCAACCTGTCCCTTCCCGGCTCTGCTGGTGTCCACGTAGCGCGCTGCGCGCCCGCGCGGAAACACCGTCCAGCCGCTGCCACCCAGGCCCTGGGCCCCACAGGTCTGCAAGACACCCTGCTCTTCCTTCCTGTGGGTCTCTCTGCACGTCACTGATCCTTCCATTTACCAAAGTAGCCCACAGAAGAACATCAGTCCATCGTCTCCTGTTTTCAACATGGAAAAGCAGCCTACGACATCGAAAGACCTGTGCACAATAGACAGCAGAAGCTGCCGGCCCTGGGGTGGGAGCATCCCCTGCGGCTCCGCCCCCTCTCAGCCCCCCTGCTAGGCGCCCTGTGGCAGCTGTCCCCGTGGTGTGCTGCATTGTCCCCGGGACACTCTTGCCTGCCACCCAGCTCCCCAGAGCACGCGCTCTGGAAACCACCTCTCCAACCAGAGTGTGAGCAACAGGCCGAGGCCCTGACTTCCAAGCTGGGCTGCAGGGGAGCCTGCGGGGACGCCAGCGGGGCACCCGGACCGTCTGGCACACACCCACACACAGACACACACACAGTCACACGCCCTCACCTCACATACACGGTCTCACACTCACCCTCCCTCACATGCCCACACACTAACACAGTCTCACACTCACACACTAACTGGTATACACAGACACAACCATGCAGTCACACACTGTGACACCCAGACACATGGTCTGACACACACCCTCACATGCCCACACACTAACAGTCTCACACGCTGACTCACACACTAACTTGCACAGACACAACAGAGTCACACTCTCACATGCAATCACACACAGACACATGGTCTCACACACACACCCTCGCTGTGACTCACACACAGCCTCACATGCACTTAAACAGTAATACACATACTCATGTACTAACACACACACAGTCACACACTCACATGCACCCCAACGTCCTTCCACTTGATCCCACACTCTCACGGCAGCCCGATCTTTTGATGACAGACAAGGCCATCAGACTGTGGGGGAGGAAGCCCCTCCACCCCTTGAGCCCCAGATTTCTTCCTGTATATCAAAGAAAATCACCATGCCTCACAATGTGGCTGTGACAGAAACTGTGTGCCGGCCTCGCCTCGCACTGCCCCTGCGAGCTGGACCGTGGTGTCAGGGCGTCCAGGAGGCAGGCAGGCTTGGGAGGCTCCTCTCACACTGCCTGTAGCTCAGCTCAGCTCAGTTCAGCCCGCCAGTCCTCAGCACCCCCACTTCCCCTCCTCAGAAGGAGGCTGATTCCATGGAAATGGCTGTGATTCCACAGAAAGGGCTGGGGGGTGTCTTGAACCTAGGTTCAACCCTGCCTTCACTGCCTCCCAAGCCCCCGTCTCCCCAAGCCCACATCTCCCCAAGCTCACATCTCCATTGGCAAAACCGGAGCACAACACCTCCTTCAGAGACCTTCTGTATGAGTTTCCCGGGCTGCTGTCACCAAACCCACCCTCCTCTGGTCCTGCAGGTAAGACATCCAGCAGGTGCGCTACATCCTACATCGAGGCGTCGCAGGAACGCATTCCTTCTGCAGGCTCTAGAGGAGAATCCATCCCTCACCTTCCCCTAACACCCAAATCCCATGAACAGGACCCCTCTTTTCCAGCTTCGAAGCCATCAACGGTGAATCAAGCCCTCGCATCACACTTCTGTGACCCTTTATTCCATAGTCACCTCTCCCACTGACCACAGCTGGGAGGGCTCTCCATTTGTAAAGACCCACTGAGCTCACCCAGATAGTCTCTACATCACAAGGTCATTGGCATAATCACTCTGCAAAGCCCCTTTTGCCGTGTGAGGTCCCATATGCAAATGGTCTGGGGGTTAGGATGTGGCATCTTGGAAGTGGTCATTTAATCAGCCTACTGCACCTTTTCAGAATCAACATAGATGATGAAAACATAGAGCCAGACCCATGGTAGGAGCATGACAGACATCTGTTCACCTTGCACAGCCTTCTGGGCATTGGCTACAGATAATTCCCATCTCCTTGAGAAGCGCCACACCCTGGTGAGAAATGTGGACTCCAAAGGCAGCCACTGGCCAGCTGGGGAACTTTGGGCAAGTGGTCTGACTTCTCTGTGCTTGATGTCCTCAACTATAAAATGGAGGTGGTGATAAAGTCTGCCTCATGGGGTTGTGGGGTTGTCCATTAACACACAGAGAATTCCCAGAACAGGGCTGGCCCCTCCGCACACGTTAGCTCCGGTGGTTATCACCATCATCATTTTCTTTGAAATCAGAGCCCTCAAGATTCACTGTGGCCCTCCTTCCTGCACTGGCTTCCTTTCGCCCCACCACCCCCCACCTCTCATTGGATCTGGCTTCGAACAACAGCATGCTCCAGAGCTCACTGCATGTGCAGGAACAGCCAAGGGCATGCGAAAGAGAGCCATCCAGGAGGCGAGGTTGGAAAGGGTCCACCTACTTCAAGCAGTCTGCAAAATACTTGCCATTTTTCTAAGGAATGATGTGGCTACTCACTTTGAGAAGAAATGCTGGATTGTGAGCTTGCCAGAAAAAAATGTGAGTAGCATGGCCCAGTGGCCAGAAGACCTATGTCCCATCCCGACTCCTTCAACTGCAAAAGTGTCTCTGCAATTCAGTTTATGTGTTAAGCAGAGGGAGTGTATTACATAATCCACCAGTTTTCCTGCAGTTCTGAAGGAGTCCTTTTCAAGAAAGAAAAGGAGAGGTATCTCTGGAACAAGGTAATGGAGCAAGTTTGCCAGTGCTACTTATGCAATATGTTCCATGAATCAGCAGTAAGAAGAGGCTTGCAGACAAAAAGAAATGAATGAGGGGGCAGAGCCAATGGCTACAGATTTAAATTGCAGCCCTGCAGAGCATCATAAGAACAGAAATTAGGAAAACCTAACTTGGAGGTTTGCAGTGTTATGATACGTGCATTGGGTTTTGAAATGCAGCTCTTCTCTCTCCAAATATGCTTCCCATTTCTGTAAATTAAAAATGGAAACTCCCTGGAAGATGGAAGGTGTTCTCTATTCATCTCCCTCGAATTTAATTTCACAGTTAATTTTTAAACCAAACACTACACGAACTCCTAAATTAAATATGAAAGGACCCAGAGCAATGAAACACGATGTTACACAAAGGCTGCATCATTTTGCTACAATTACATAAAGTGGGTGAAGGGAAAGAAAGGGCTCGCTTGTTTCCAGCAGAAAGGAGCTGTGGTGGCAATCCTTCTTAAAACATAATACCAGGGGTTGGATGGAAGACATATGGAGAAAATGCACTGTCTCATTTATGTTGTGAAATATTGTTCATTAAGACTGTGTCAGAACTATTTTAATTTTATACAGTATAAGGGCATAGAAGCCTTAGCTCTGATAATGGAATTTTTAGAATGCTGCATTGGGAAATCTCCCAGAGCCGTATTATAGATGCAAAGTGCAAGAGTTAGGAGGATTGCTCCAACTGTGTTCTTTGGGACTTTCAACAAGAACTACTTTACAAGGATGGGCCGGGCATGGTGGCTCACGCCTGTAATCCCAGCACTTTGGGAGGCCAAGGCAGGCAGATCACGAGGTCAGGAGTTCGAGACCAGCCTGGCCAACATGGTGAAACCCCATCTCTACTAAAGATACAAAAAATTAGCCGGGGGTGGTGTCTCGCACCTGTAATCCCAGATACTTGGGAAGCTGAGGCAGGAGAACTGCTTGAACCCGGGAGGTGGAGGTTGCAGTGAGCCGAGATTGCACTATTGCACTCCAGCCTGGGCAAGACTCCATCTCAAAAAAAAAAAAGACCTACTGTACAAGGATGAAAGATACAACCCCAAATCCTCAGGCAAGAAAGTGCCAATCAGGATGATTATCTGTAGGACCAGAAGTATAAATAACCCAAGGTATTTCCTGAAATAATTTCATCCCATCAAGCTATTAAAAGACCTAAGGGAACCCTGGCTGATCCTTTGTTCCCATTCAGTCACTCATGGATCACTGGGCACAAAGTCAGGGGTGGAAAGTGCCCCCCACGTAGGAGCCAAGTTAGACCAGACCCAGAGGACCTTAGCACCTGTCTCAAATATCTGAAGATGCTCTGGAAACATTTGTTTAATATTTATTGAGCACTTGCTCTAGGCCAGGCAGTGTCCAAGGCACTGGGAATCAACACTGAACAAAAGCAACCAACAACAGACACAATAAGTGAGATGGAGCGCCCACGACAAAGCATGTAAAAAGTAGAGTAGAGTTTCCTCTTCAAAGACTTCCTCCCCATCTCATTAGAAATAAATAGTAACTTCTCTTAGAAGCAAAATTTATTCAAATACCTGTGCTAACATTCTTAAATATCTGCTGGCCGTAATAAAGAAATCAATGTACTTTATGTTCTTAGCTCCCACAATTTAGCCTAAATACTTGTCCTGGCATGCTTATACTAATCCAAGCAAGCATTAGCTCATAGCCTGTTCCTCTTCCTTATTTAAAGGTGTTTGTTTTTACCTTTCTCAGCATTCTACAAGTTACTTCCTCCTTCCTTTGTTGTCCTCTGCCTTTGCCTCTTTTAAAAAGTTCTAAGTTGCTAGCCAATCAAAACAAATACAAAATGTGAGGTCCCGTCCTAGCCAATGGAAACCAGACACAGTAGTAAGGTGGACACGTCAGGTTATAAATGACCCTGTCTCCTTTGTTTGGTATACTCTCATGGCAAAACTACTGGCGAGTGTGCCCTTTCTGCAGAAAGTATAAAAATGGCCTTGCTGAGGAAATTAAATTTATGTTCAAGTGCTATTTCTTTTCGGCACCAAAAAACAAACATTTCAAACAGAGCAGATGAGAAGGGATCAGGGAGGAGGCCATAGCCTGAGGCAACAGTGTCAGCATCTGGGGAGCAGCTGGCAGCAGCAGATTGGGAGGACAGGCAGGGGCATCTGCAAGCCACCCCAAGACTCCCCTGAGTAGAGCAGGATGCAGACAGCAGTGGCACAGCCTAAGCATGCCTGCCTGCAGAATCTAGAGACCTCCAGTTCTGGGGAAGCAGCTTTGCCTGAAACAAGACAACTTCTGAGTCATTGCCCAAGGCAAATTCTACCCCTAGAGTAGATCCTAGGAATAATGCAATGTTGGCTCCACTGCTGGAGAGCCCATAGGGCTGGCGATTGCATCCAGCCCTCCCCTCATAATGTGGACCTTCCCCTAGGGAGTTATGGACACACAGAAGTCACAGAAACATAAGGTAGAACATACTATTCCTTTAACACCCCTGCAGCCTTCTCTACCTTCCACATCAAGTTACAGACACAACAAAAGGTCAGTGTTGGGTTTTCACAAGTTGTTGCTTAGACTACCTATAAAAAATTTATATTTGCAAGTTACACTAGTATTATAAGAAAGGAAAAATCATATTACTTTAAGCCCACAGAATATTCATCAAGATAGACCATAAACCTGAGTCATTTAAAAAAAAGTCAACAATGCCCGGGCACAGTGGCTCACATCTGTAATCCCAGCACTTTGGGAGACCGAGGCAGGCAGATCACTTGAGGCCAGGAGTTCATGACCAGCCTGGCCAACATGGCAAAAGCCCGTCTCTACTAAAAACACAAAAAGTAGCCAGGCATGATGGTATGCGCCTGTGGTCTCAGCTACTTGGGAGGCTGAGGCAGGGGAATCACTTGAACCCACAAGGCGCAGGTTGCAGTGGGCTGAGATTGCGCCACTGCACTCCAGCCTGGGCAACAGAGCGAGATTCTGTCACACACACACACACACACACACACACACACACACACACACACACACAAAGTCAACAAATTTAAAGGATTAAATATAGTGTAAGTTCTCTAACTATAAATGAATCAAACTGTAATTTAGTAATAGAAAGACAACAGGAAAATCTATAATATCTAGAATTTAAACAACACACATCTAAATAATCTATGGGTCAAAGTGGAAGTCTCAGGGAAATGTAAGAATTAGAGAGAACTAACTGAAACTGAAAACACTACAGATCAAAATCTGTAAGATGCAGCTACAGCAGTGCTGACAGGGAAAATTATAGTAATAAACGCTCACATTAGAAAGGAAGGATTTATTCCAGATATGCAAGTCTAGTCCAATATTCTAAAATAAATCAATGTAATCCACCATCTCAAGCAGCTAATGAAAAAAAACCATATGAGCACATCAGTTGACACAAAAAAGATGCTGACAAAACTCAACACCCAATTATGGTTTTTAAAAAAAAAGAGAGAGAGAGAAGAAAAGAAAAAACACAACAAAAAACCCCTCTTAGTACATTAGGAAAAGAATTTCCTCAGTCTCATAAAGAGCACCTACAAAAACTAATAATGTCATACTTCATGGTGAAAGACTGAATGCTTTCCCTTTAAGATTGAGAACAATGCCAGTCTTACCATTCCCATTCTAGCCACTGCAGTAAGGCAAGAAAAGGAAATTAAAGACATACAGATTGGAAAAGAAGAAATAAAACTGTCCTCATTGCAAATGACATGATTGTCTACATAGGAAATCTCAATAATTTTATTTTTTAAAAACTCTGAGAAGTAATAGGTAAATTCAATAAAATGACAAGGTATAAGATTAATACACAGAAAAATGTATTTATATGTACTGACAATAGATAGGTGGAAATCAAAATAAAAACTCAGTACCATTTACAATTGCTCCAAAGAAAAGGAAACACTTAGGTATAAATTTAAGAAAAGATGTACAAGATCAGTATCATGAAAATTATTTAAAAAATCAAAGAAGACCAAAATAAATACTATGTTTAGGGACTAGAAGGCCATTCTAAAATGTGGATGTCAAAGCACCACATGAAAAAGCAACTGAAGTCCTAGAAAATAGAAATGTAACTTTATTCCAATAAAGCTGGAGGACAAAGAGGGGAAAATGTATTTGGAAAACAAATGGCCACAGAATAGCCAGAACAATTTTGGGAAAAAAAATAATAAGTGTGAGGAATCACTCTTCCCAGTGTCCAAACTTACACCTGCAGTAATCAAGATAGTGTGGTACTGGTAGAGGAACAGACACATTACCAATGGGACAGAATAGAGAACCCAGAGAGATACCCCACAAATATGTCCGATTAATTTTTAACCAAGGAGCAAATGCAATTCAACTGAGGAGGGGTAGTCTTGTCGATAAATGATGCTGGCCCAGTTGGACATCCATAGGTTTAAAAATGAACCTTCACTTAAAACTCTCACACAAACACAAAAAATAACTCAAGGCCTGGCACAGTCACTCACACCTGTAATCTTAGCACTTTAAGAAGCCAAAGCAGGAGAATCTCTTGAGGCCAGGAATTCAAGACCATCCTGGGCAACATAGCAAGACCCTGATTCTACAAAAAAAATTTTAAAACTTAGCCAAGTATGGTATTGCATGCCTGTAGTCCCAGCTACTCGGGAGACCGAGGTAGGAGGATCACTTGAGCCCAGGAGTTTGAGGCTGCAGTGAGCTGTGATCATGCTACTGCACTCCAGCCAGGGTGACAGACTGAAACCTCATCTCAAAGAAAATAATAATAATAATAAAACTAACTCAAAATAGATCCTGGTCTTAAAAGTAAAACTGAAAAAAAAAAAGAAAACCAATCTTTGGACTCTGGAATTATTGCAACTAAGCAATAAGTTCTCAGACTTGACACCCAAACCGCAATCTATAACAGAAAAAAACTGGCCCGGCACAGTGGCTCATGACTGTAATCCCAGAACTTTGGGAGGCTGAAGTGGGTGGATCACTTGAGGTCAGGAGTTCAAGACCAGCCTGGCCAACATGGTAAAACCCTGTCTCTACAAAAAATACAAAAAAATTAGTCAGGTGTGGTGGCACGCACCTGTAGTTTTAGCTACTTGGGAGGCTGAGGCAGGAGAATCACTCGAACCCAGGAGATGGTGTTGCAGTGAGCCGAGATTGGACCATTGCACTCCAGCCTGGGCAACAGAGGGAGACTCCATCTCAAAAAAGAAAAAAAAAGGCCGGCACTGTGGCTCATGCCTGTAATCCCAGCGCTTTGTCTCCAAAAAAAAAAAAGGAAAAAAAATTATAAACTAGACTAAGAGAAAATATTTGCAAACCACATATCCAACAGTCTGTATATCTATAATATATAAAGAACAGTCAAAGCTCAACATTTTTAAAAACAATTCAATTAGAAAATAAGCAAAAGGCACATACAGACATCACGCTGAAGAAGATAGACAGGTGGCAAATAAATACATGAAAAGATAATATCCAACATTATCATCATTAGAGAAATTAAGTTGAAAGCACAGTAAGATATCACTACACACCAATAGAAAGACCACACCCTGTCATAGGCAGGGGCACATGGACAGCTATGACAGAAGGGCCTTGGACCACCAGATGTGTAGAACAAGCCGTGTAGGGAGACCTACTGAAAGATTGCCAGGGAACGGATGGGCTGCATGGGGAGGCAGCCTCTGGGAGGTCTTGGGCTGCCACACTACTCATGGAATCCAGGGACTGCCCTCCAAGGCCCTTCCTGAGACCCTGCCATGCTCCCTTCTATGTGTGGCTGGTTTCTGTGTGGTGGCCTCTGCTTTTTGTTTCTGTAAGGGTGGAAACCATGTCGAACTGGCCTCTTAAATATCTGCTAGCCGTAATAAAAAAAAAATCAAAGTACAGGACTTTTAAAATCTAGAAATGGCTTTTTGTAGAGAAGGAGAGGTTTTTTCTAAATGACAAATAATACTAACCATTAATTAATGAAAATAAATCTTTGCAAATTATGTAGTTTTCAAAGGTTGAACAATTTTACAAAAAAAGTGAACAAACCTTAGAATAACAGAGAAGCCCATTAAAAATAATTGGCATTGTATTGTATTTTTTAATTAATGACTGTAACTAATTAAAGCACATTGAATTTATTAAATCTATAATTGCAAAATAATAGTAAAAAAGGGGAAGAGGGAAACTAAATAAATTCAGTGGACACCACTGGAAGTTACTAAGGGAAGAGCTCATTACTAAGAAAGTTGATCATTACAGAAATAGGATTTATCTTAGGCGGGCAGTGGGCCCTGGTGGGTATTAAAATCATTAAGAGAAAAAGTGGCAGGGAGCTGGGCACCTTTCTCCACCACCTCAACTCCCTGAGCATTCTCCGCACCCCTGACAGCAGGACATCCAGACATAGGGTCCTCCTCCTGGACACAGGCCAGACCCCTGCACACCTGTGAAGCACAGGTGCCCCAAAATGGAACCTGAAGGCTTCAGATCTCAATTGTAGTCTGTAGGAAATAGGATAGAGCAGCTAATTAATCCCATGAGGAACCCAGCACTGAATCAGGGTATAGAATATTCTACAGAACAACAGAATAGGATTTGTCAACTAGATGGTGGCGCAGTAAAGATTTCACCTAACGTCACCTTTAGAAGGGCCCTTGGCTGGCTTCTGGGTACTCAGCTTCGGGACTATTCCCTCATTACCAAAGAGAAGGCTGTCTTGTGGGCCTGGGGCAGTGTGTTCTGCTGTATTACCTGCATGCCCAGACTGTATAAAATGTGATTTATAAATGGTGCGCACCTGCTTGCTTCCTGGGAGCAGGGATCTTGGTAAGCTGAGGGTGACCATCTAACCGGCCTCCACAAAAACTCAGTCTCCAACAGGTTGCCCAGGGCAGAAACACCGCATATGGCTGCCTCTGGCTGCTGGAGGGAGGGGCGTGCTCTGTGTGGGCCCACCTGGGAGAGGAGACCTTTCAGAAGCCCACTCCTGGGTTCCTCCAGGCTCAGCAGGTTTCCACTGCCGGGCATGGCAATAAACCCCAGCCCAGAGGACAGCTGCCCCTGAGCCTGCGAGTTCCTGTGTCAAATCACAGGGTGGTCATGGGAACCGTGAAACAACAGTAATATTAATTTAAAAGAAAATGGATAGAAAATGGAGGGAACAAAACTGTTCTAGAACTGAAGAGATGTAAGAGATAACAATTAATCCTGTGAGTGGTCCTTGTTAGACAGGTGAGGGCTCAACTTACTGGGGTCATCATTCCTCAGCAAGTGTACTCAACAACCACAAGCAAAGTTCTGGAACTTTCCTGGCCACTCCTCCAGCCTGCCATCTCCTCAACATCCCCAGGTATTTCTCAGACCTATCCCAAGCTCACTAGGACGCGCCTCTAACGGTCACATCATGCACTGACCTTCCAGGCTCCTGTCCGTGTTGTGGTTAAGTTTGATTTCATAGTTAAAGCAACAACGGACCTGCCCAGCCCAGGAAGGGTCTGCACATTGCTTCGTGCTATTGAAGGCATAGCCACACTTAGAACTTCCCAGAAACATAACATTGACTGGACTTAAGATCACATGTGGAAATGCCCATAAGCCAAGTTGGTAGACGGAACAGATAATCAAATAATCCCTCCGGGCACACAGCCCCAGGCCATCCGTGTCCCCTCACACACACAACCCCACGGTGCAGGTGGGCGCAAATGAGCACACCCATCACACAGGTGCAGACTCTGAGTCTCAGAGGAGACTGTGACTCTTGTTCCCTCAAGGTCACACTTGGAGTGAGCAGCGGAGAGAGAGTAGAAAATCGTATGCACATTCTGTTTTCTCAGGTACACTTCTGCTCCTAAAGTCCATCCTTCTCATGTCAGTTGCCAAGATTCAGCAAATATTCCTGTATGGTTCCCTTTCTACCTAGAGAGAGGGACACGCTAATCTTTAGGAATGATGACACTAGTCCAGTTTGATTAAGGAGTCAGGACTGAGCCCATCCAGAGTGTCTCACGGATCTCAAGCCTCCCTGACTGTGGGCCCAGACAGATCGGGGGAGCAGGTGTGAAAGTTACCTCAAATATGATCAGCGCGTAGACGCCCGCGAGGATGGCCGTCGCGATGGTCACCTGGGTTTCTACACTTCCGCGGAGGTACTGATGAGCCATCAAAAGAGGGACAGCCTGGGTCTGCTGCAGGGAGGCCCGGATGCTGATGGACACCGTCTCTCTGCAGAACGAAACAACGACCTTACTGTTCACAAGGTCAACAGTTAGGGGACCTCCCTCTGTATCAGCCATGGCATTAACCAGAGTGCAAATGGAACAATTCAGCCCAACGCCCAATCTCACAGCTGGAAGAGCAGTGAGCACAGGCCAGCGGCGTGAGACATAGGATGCAGCCTCCCTGCAGCCAAGCCCGACTGGTCCAAGCAGGCCCCTCAGCCTTCCTGTGACACCACCCGACAATGAACAGTGAGTAGGGGCCTGCACAGAAGACGCCAGCCATTGAACTGGCTCTTCCTCCTCCCCAACATACCCGACCAGTTTACCTGCTAACTAAGAGCAAAGCCAGCTATTTGAACTCCAGTCCCTGAGAGTGGGGAGACGCACTACAGACGAGAAGCCTGCAAGTGACCACAGGTCTGTGGCGAACACTGAAGCGTTTTTTCAAGTTCAGGCCAATATGTTTTATGGGCCGAATTATGTCCCCTTCCTCCAAAAACAATTCCTCTGTTGAAGTCCTAACCCCGAGTACCTCCAAATGTGACTGTAGGTAGAGGGAGGGTCTTTAACAAGGTGAAGAAGGTTAAATGAGGTTATGGGGATGACTCCTAATCCAGTAGGATGGGTGTCCATACAAGGAGAGATGAGAAGACAGGCACAGAGGGATGGTCACCTGTAAGCCAGGGGAGAGGCCTTGGGAGAAACTGACCCTGTCGACACCTTGACCTCGGACTTCCAGCCTCTAGAATTACAAGGTAAATGACTGACATTTAAGCCACCCAGTGTGTAGTACTATGATACGGCAGCCTTAGCTGTCTAACACACCAAGCAAGAGTACCGATTGAATATGAAGCAGCATTAGTTAAGGAAGAAGAATCCTAAATTTCCTAGAATTCTCCATTGTACAGCTTCACATTAATGAAATTAGAACGTCAACCAAAAAATACCATTTGTTTCAAAGTGACTTCTGCAGTCGACCCTCTCACATCCTGACACCCATGGCTACGATGTCCTCCCACAGCCTTTGAGCTCACTGTCTACACAGCATGAGTGCCGTGTCCAAGTCACATGCTGACCTGGTGCTGTGTGGGCCGAAATCAGTGTCCTATAGGTCAGACTCCTTTAAACGCACGTGTCCCAGAGAGCCTGCCCCAACACCTCACTCACTGAGAACTCACCTGGTCAGTACCTCAAAGGTCCTGCTCATCACTGAGTGCTCGCTTCTCCTCGGATTTAAATACACCGTCCAGTTGTGAGTGACCTGTACAAGCCAAAGCATAAGTTATGGTGAGGCTTTTCACCTGAGACACCATCTGGGATCTGGCACTGCTCGGTCTAGGTATTTGTTTCAAAAAAGAAAAGGAGAAAGAAAGAAACAGGAGAGCATCTTTATTTGAGCTCTCACATCTCTGATGTTAGGAGCTAGTGCAGGTGGTTGGAGCTGGGAATTTCCACAATTTAGAGAGCTTTGTTTAAGAAAAAGGATTCAAAAGAAAAAATGCAGAATTAGTGTACAAAAGTACAAAAGGCATAGAAGTAAATAGTGATTTAATACGAGAAAAAGAAATCATGCCCAGACGCGCTGGCTCACGCCTGTAATCCCAACACTTTGGGAGGCCAAGGTGGGAGGATCACTTGAGGCCAAGAGTTCAAGATCAGCCTGGGCAACAGAGCAAGACCCCTGTCTGCACAAAAAAGTTTTAAAAATTAGCCAGGCCTGGTGGCATGTGCTTGTGGTCCCAGCCACTTAGGGGCTGAGGCGGGAGGATCCTGTGAGCCCAGAAGTTCCAAGTTACAGTGAGCTGAGATCATACCACTACACCCCAGCCTGGGCAACAGAGTGAGACCCCCGACTCTAAAAATTTTCTAATATAAATTTTTTTTAATTTAAAAAATGAAATCACTACAAGTTACTAGAGACTTGGAGAACTCTTCTGAGTGCTCTGAGTCCTGAGAACTGCTTCTGCAACTGCTTGCAACCTGGAGGCAACAAACCCACCCCCAGCAAACCTTCCACACCCCTGTGCACAGGAGCCCCTGCAAGGAAGGGCCCCAGAGTGAAGCTTCATTCCCTGCCTTGCATGTTCTTGCCCCTGGGGTGCAGGAGAGTGATCACCTGGGGAGGCAGCCTGGGGAGCGGGGGGCGGGGGGGGACCCTCAATGGGAAGATGCGAATCTCGCCCACAAATCACAAAGGACACTGAAAATAGGATCTCTGAAACCGGTCAAAGCAAAGAAGCACACGCATGAGAGAACAGAAGTTCTTTTAGGTACTTCAGTGTTTGCAAAGAGCGTATCTGGGGGGAAAAATCCTTTAGTAAAGATCTCTTGGGTTTCCCATGTTTCTGGGGCTGGATTTGCCTGTGGGCATTTTGGGTGCATCAGCATGTTAGGAAGGGCCACCCCAAGAGAGCAGGGAG
This sequence comes from Homo sapiens, assembly GCF_000001405.40. Lineage (NCBI taxonomy): Eukaryota > Metazoa > Chordata > Mammalia > Primates > Hominidae > Homo > Homo sapiens. Next base: position 151,646 of record NW_011332701.1, read on the forward strand.
GTGCCATACAGATCATTTAATCTGGGTTATTAATATGCAAGTGCTGGGGAGGCAGCGGGACCGCAGGCTGTGTAAGGTCCTGCCCTTCTCCATGCAAGTCCCAGGTCAGAGGGCAAAGGTCATTGCTCATCACCAAGGAGCCCCTTGCCAGAGGGCTGTGCTTTTCACACAGGGAACCAAGTTGACATCCTAAGACCCTGGCCAGGGCAGCCGGTTCAGAACATTGGTGTTGCGTCAGCCACGGTCCAGGACACTGCATGCTAGTTCATAATGAGACCTTTGCTCTGTGGACCATGCTCTACAAGGCAGGAAAAGGGGAGGGTGCATTCATTCTTCAGATGCTCCACTGCAGGTGACACAGCCTGTGCATGGGCGGGGTTTCCCTCTACTGGTTATAACAGGGAACATCCATGAACCAGGGCTACGACTTCCATGCAGAAGTCACCGTGATAATCCAGTGGAGTCTCCGAGGCCAGGGCTCGGGGGAGTCAGGCTTGCGTGGAAGGAGCCCTGCCTCTGGAGTCTAGGCTCTGGGCTGCCATGACAGCCACCGCTTCCTGGCTGCCTTTGCAGGATGTGAATGAAGGCTTGACAAGGCTCAGAGACAAGGCTGAGCACAGGCCTACACAGATACAGCAGCTCAGAACGTAGGCACTGTCTTAGCAGATGTCCACAAACACAGTAACCGTGCTGTGGAAGTGTCTTCTGAACCCTGACGTAAGGCCCGGACTTAACTGCACTTCAACGACACCAAAAAAAAAAAAAAAAGTTTTTTCATTTCAAATGTATGTTTCCTGAATGGCCCAGCAAAACAGTTTTGAATAAAGAACTTGCAAGCCTGATTTTACTGAAATGGCAAGAGTTTCATAAATAGAGAAATGGTAAAAAGAGAATTTCAAAGACAAAGCAAAAGATAAGAAGAGCCAATGAATTGACTAAGAATGGTGTCCTCGCCTGTGGCTCCCCATCAAATCCATTCAAGAGGAAACACAATTTATTATGAGATGAAATGAGATTTCACAATTCCTTTCAAATAAATTATCAGCATAACCTGCTGTGGCCGCCGCCACCTGGAGCCCAAAGCGTCAGCCTGGGTCAGCTCCACCACGATGTGCTCTTCCCTCCCAGGACGACTCGGCCCACTGGCCACTAGGGCCCCTGCCAGGTCCACCTGCAGCAGCGTGGAGTCCACGTGGCTGCTAAGGTTCACGGCTCGGAGAGTGTCAAGGAGAACCACAAGGCAGACAGGAGAAACCCCATGTCCCCGCCGCCCGCCAGACGCACACCCTCCTCTGACAGTGTGTGAAGAAATGCGTTTCCCCAGGTGCCCCACGCCCTTGGCCATTAACACGATCTTCCTGCCTTTCTTATTACCCACATCTCAGCCCTCATTCAAGACCTAACTCCCCTGAAGCAGATCGTCGTGACCCTCTTGTGAGAGGTGCCCCCCACACCAGGGAAAGGGTGCATCCTTAGCTCCAAAGATGGAGGGAGGCCAAGAGGGACCTGAATGGACAGGCCTCGCCAGGGCCCCTCCCGGCCCGTTTCCTGCGCTTGCTCATGTGCTCTCGTCCTATCACACCTTTCAGGACCCCACTCTTCATCAAACCTAGCATCAAAACACCAAGCTCAGCTGTTTCTTGTCAAGCAACGCTTATATGAAATACATGAGTATGCCTTTTTCTTGTTAACCTGTCCTTCGTGTCTAATCTGCAGGGCCCTGGTTGGAGAAGCTAGGAGGGTGGGGAAACAGTGTTTTCTCCTCCCCTCTGAATCTCACAGTCTCCTCCATGTCCTCTGAGAGCCCAGGATGCAGCGCTGGGTGTGATACAAAATGCATCACATGGGAAAAAGGAGAGAATGAAAGGGATGGGGAAAGAGGGAGGGAGAGAATAGGGAGAATGGGGAGAAGGGAGGGAGAGAGAAAGGGAGAGGAGAAAGAAGAGGACGCAGCAAAGAAGAGCAGGAAGGGAGGGAGGAAGAGAAAGGAGAGCGGGAGACAAGGACGGTGCCTTAACTGACCTGGTTGTAGAGGTTTGCTGGCTTCTGTTCATTTGCCCAGTGCCCTGGGAGCCTGACAGGCCTCCTTCAGACAACAATTCAGGGACAAAGAACTTCAGGTGCTACAATTACAGGCTTCTGAAATAGACCCTGCAACTACCGAACCGACACCGCCTGGCTGCTGCGGGAGACACTGAGGTTCCGAAAGAAAGGTGGCTTCGCTATTCACCGGCTAAAGGAGAGTGGTGCTTTCTCCAGAAGCTCCTCCCCTCACAGCAGACACCCTGGGTGTCCTTCACCCAGCCTCCTCCACAGGGCAGGCCAGAGGGCCGGGAGGAGGCCTCGAGCTCCTTGCTCAGAGGACAGCCCTGAGGACATTGCTGTGGGCCTTTCCAACCAGGCCGAGGCCCCTCCTACCTCACGCCTATACTGCACGCCCTTTCTCAGGGAATCACCTTGTGGGGGGCAGGGTCCAGCTGGCTTCCCCTCCTCCCCAGGCAGGCCTCAGGCCTGCAGCTTTCACAAAGCTCAGCTTTCACAAAGAGAGGGTCCGTGAGTTTCCGGAAAGCGTGGTTAATCCCTGGGAACACTGCCCTTTTCCAAGGAGCCTGCTGGAGGCTCAAATCAACCCCTCATCGTGGCTGGTGACCCACTGCGCTGGAGGACGCAGCACCCGTCTTCCCCCCTGCGGCCTTCATCTCTCCCAGGCTCTCTCTCTCCCTCTTCATCCAAATTCGAAGGCCACACAGGGAGCAGGCGAGACAGCTCCCCGCCCCCACCCATCCCCACCCCCTGCCAAGAAAGGCAGGCTGCCCTGCCCCCTGCTGGGAGGGACTCAGGCTGTGGGGTCCTGCGTGGGGCCTGGTGCACTCAGGCTGCTCGAGAAGGAGCTCGGCAAAATGCCTTAGAATAAAGGGGACACACTGGGGCCTGGGTGGGATGACCAGAGGGCTGAGGCTATCATCTCATCTTAGTGACCTAAGCTGCTGTGCTCGCCTGGGATCTCTACTGACTGATCAAGTTTGGTGCCAGTGTTCCCCGAAATCTCCCCCTCCTGCCTGAGTCCCACTGAGGACGGTTTCTGGACAGGATCCAGCCTCCCCCTTCAGGTTCCTGGGTCAGCCTGGCAGCCGGTTGCTCTATCTCCCCTTCCCCCTGCGGGAAAGTCCTGCCCAGGAGGGTGGCATGTCCTGGGAACTTCATGAGGGGGGCCAGGAACACAGGGCAAGTCTTGGCTTTCTTCATCCTGGAGAAGTAATGCAGAGGTCGAGGCACAAGAATGAGAAACAAAGTCTGTCAACATCACACAGCTCTTCGGTTCTCTCACATGGAGATACTTTACAGCTCAGGCACGGTTTTAAAGTGATGAAGAAAATACAAACACGTGCACACGCACTCAGCTGACATCAGCACCGCCCTGACCCCAGTGGAAGTGGAGTGCTTCTAAAACTGTGGGTGCCTCCATCCACTGAGCAGAGGGAAGCACAAACTGTGACCAGTGTGCCCCCGGCTCACCAGAAAGCCTCAAGTGCCAGGCCTTTCTGGAAGGCTGCTGGTGCCCTGCTGGGTAGGTCACTGGCTAAGGAGAGGGTGTCCTGGGAAGATGTAGTGAGACTGCCAGAAGGACTACAAAAACCAAGACTATGCAACAGATTACAGCAACTGCAAGGAAAGCAAGCCAGTTTCCTAAAATTTCAGTTCACTGAGGCTATCAAGTAAGTAGACTAAAGAAAAAAACACTCGCCATTTAGCTAACTGAATTAATTCCTTTTTAAATAATAATCATCAAAAATATTTGCCTGATCAGAGCACTGCATCGGAGGGTCCCACCTCTCCAGGACCCTCCACGGATGCCCGCCGCACTAGCAGTACCGGGGGCTTCAGGGGCCTTCATGCACAGACACCTTAATGACCATGTCCATTCCAAAATAGGCTCTGGACCCTGGCTGGAGAGCTGAGAAACAGCCCTCCCACCCTTTCACCCAGAAAAGGCTGGGCGGACATCAGTTAACCGCCCACTCCTGATCCCAGAATAAGGCTGCAGCAGAAACAACTCGCCTGAAACCTAGAGCAAAACAGGTGACTGTAGGAAGAGGCGGCTTCCCTGGGACAGGTGCCAGCCCCACACTTCAGAATCAGGCGGGATTCAGCCAGAAAATGTAGACATTGCTCAAGGTCAAGTGTGGGCTCGCTTGAGCGTGGGAGCCTCTGAGAGCCACAGATGGAGGTGTTCACATTTTCTTGCAGGCTTTTCCTCCAGGAACCCCAGCGGACGCTCCCCAGGAAGACAGGAAGCCTGGGGAAGATCCCGGGAAAGCATCCCCCAGTGATGCCAAGCTTCACCCTCTCCCGCTGCCTCTATCTCCCCTAAGGAGCAAAGGCCTTCATTTGCTTGGGAAGCGCATCTAATCTGGCAGCCAGAGGGCGCAGTGGGAATTCCTGCAGCCATGAGAAGGTAGGAGGGGAAAAAGTAGCTCTTACCCCAGTGGGAGGGGTGGGCATAGAGCAAGGTCTGGCAGACAGCTGGCAGGGCGCCCGGTAATTCTGAGTGTCTAGTGCACCGCAGGTTGCCACAGCAACCGCAAACCTCAACACAGCCAGATTCTCACTAGATTTACATGAACCCTCCAACTAATGCCTGCAGAAGTCAAGGCATGCTCATCTCCAAGCTTAAACACCACTGGCCTCTGTATCTACTATCCTACAGGATGTGTATGACTTCTAACTAAAAATTCTGAGGCATGCAAGAAGGCCAGAGCAAGCACAGTAGGAGGTGCCACAGCAGTCATCAGAGCAAGGTGACACAGCCAGGACAGCAGGGACTGGAAGATGGGTCACGCTGAACGCAAAAGAGACGGGGGAGGAAAGGAGTATCGGGGAGCTAGGGAAAGCCAGGTCCTGGCTGGAATGTGCCCTGCTGTCCCCCTTCCTCACTCGGAGAGCTCCACCACCAACCCCGCCACTGTCTCCCTGGAGCTCCCCGCCCCTCTGTCCTGAGACTCCATCTCTCATCAGACATCCTGGAGAAACAAAATTCGAGTGGTAATGGCCTGTGCCGTGGCCTTCAGCAGCAGTCACAACCGTCTGCAAGTGTCTCCTTGTGTTTCAGATCTCAGCCAGGCGGCTGGCCATCTCAGAGTGGATTTTGGATACAGTAGTTCTCCAGCGGTGATAAGGCCAACAGCTGCCAGAGCTTTCCTTGATCCGGATATAGGCTGAACAAAATCTGTAACAATCAGAAACGTTGAATGACAGAGGTGTGGTATGAGAGCAGTAAGGTATAAATCATTTTGATAACAGTCGAAAACAGATGTGATGATGGGGCTACTGTGTGCATCCAGTACGCGCCAGCTTACTCTGAATAGCTTTGTCTTAAATATTATAATATTCTGATTCATTACAGTGTTCAGCTACAATGGGCCCTGATTATTGATACCTGCCAAATTTAAGGATTAAATGCCTGGCCATAAAATTAAATCATCGAAGAAGGATAAATGTGGTTTTCTCACAATGGAGAATAAAGGCATATGACCCCTGTGATGGTTAGAGCATGTGTTTGTGGTAGCAGGTGTTTGTGAAATTTGCAAAGCACCTTATACACCATCAAAAAGTAAATTAAACTGATGATAACATGAGATTATAGAAGTTCAAATCATTCCTCAAATTCTATTTTGGATATCTCCACAAATCACCTAAACTCCATCTCACAGAAGAAGGCTGAAGACTGGACACAGAGCTCAGGTCAGCTCTTGGGGACCAGGGGAGACCTGGCCCACCCTGCCCGGTTCCTTTGAAATCTCAGAGCACCTGCCAGGCCCTGCTGAGCAGCAGGGCTTCAGAAACACACATTCATGTGAGTAGGAAGTGGGGAAGCAAATTGGTAGCCAAAAATATCAAATCGTGATGCTTTCAGAGCTCAATGTAATTGGTTTTCCATTTCTAGCATAGGTTTCCTTTCTCTGGGTCACAGATCTCCTCCCTCATGGGTTGGTTATTAAGAAGTTGACTGTACTCAGCTCAATGCAATCAGCACTGACTTCGTACACCACCCTGCTGTCCACATGTCACAGCTGAGAGCGGACCCAGGGCCACAGACATTCCTGCACGCACGCAGAGCCACAACACACATGCCACGCGTGCAGGTCACGAAACAGCCAGCAACAGCCACACATCTCATGCACAGGGGACCCTGTCACCAGGGCAGGCTGCGTGGGAGAGCACACCACCCCCTAAGCTGGTGCACATCATGAAACACAGCTCAGACCCACCCTTGCCCACAACCACAGTCACACCCCCATCACAGCAGCACCTACCACCCACTGTGGTCTCCCAGCAACTGCCCATGCACACCATCTTGGAGCAACACTCAAAAGTGGCACTCACCCAAAATAACTCCGCAAAGCACAGGCACAACCCATCATGGTCACTGACCACAACCTACACAGCTCACACAGGTGCACACACAGAGACATACAGCAGGCACAGGGGACCACACACAACCTACACAGTTCACAATGGTGCACACACACAGACATAGAGCAGGCACAGGGGACCATACACCCACGTGCAGACACGAAGACACACAGCCACAGACAGGAGACCATATACTCACCTGCACACACACAGACACACAACCAGACAGGAGACCACACACCCACTCATTGGGCAAATGTATTTTGAGTGCCGCTATGTGACCCTGGCTCAGGCTACATCAGGCCACAAAGCACACCAAGGCTGGCAGTGGGACCTGTGACTGTCGCCTCGGAGGGCACAGAGGTGTCTCTGCAGCCCTGGCTCCCTGCTCGGGCTCCTGTGCCTTTCCCTTGATGGGTCCATCTGCTAGGACCCCTCCAATGAAGAACAGCACCGCCCACTGCCATGGGCTCACCAGAGCAGCCCTCGCCCTCCCCTCGTTCCCACACTCTGTTCCCTACAAGGGCATCTCACGTTGGTTTGGCTCCAGAATGAGTCTGTTGTGAATGTTCATGTATTTGAAAGGATGGAGATGTCTGGGCAAATAAAATCAGAGACACCTCCCCAGAGGGGGCAAACCTCAGAGCTTCAACACTTACCGCTGGGCAGAGGCCCAGGGCACAATCTCAAAGGGGTGCTGAGACACTCTGGGCTATCCACGATCTCCAGATGTGTTCCAACACACATGAAGAGTGCTACTGTCCAGGGCTGAACAGGGAAGTGGTAAGCCACTCGAGGGGGAAGGGAGCCCCACAGCCAGCTACCCGACCTTCCATATGGCAACAACATGCTGCCCGGCTTCTGCCGTGTGACTGGGACCACAGCAGAGGAGCACAGCTGCGGCCTCGACCCCCTCAGCCCGCTGCCCCACAACCCTCAGCATCTCCTCCAAAGACAGTCAGAGAATCAGGCGAAGAGGGCCAGGCACTGAGCCCCACACCTCAGGTTCCCCCTGCTATACAGCCAAAGGCACACAGGGCTTCCACGGACCCAACAGTAGTGCTGGGGCAGCTAAGGTACTCACAGAACACAGCACCACAAAGGCAAACAGGCCCATGACTTTCAGCCACTGCACACAGCGCCTGCAAGAGAAAAAGTAGGGCCTTAGTGGCAAGGGCAGCAGTCCTGTTGCCCAGACTCAGACACTTTTCTGCAGCCTTGAGTAACTTCCATCTCAAAGCATGTGTTTTGAATTCTTTCCATAACATGATATGAGGGAGAACACCCTCATATCAGTGACCAGTAAACCCACAGCCCCATCCAAAGGAGCATGGTGGAGGTTCCAGAGGAGAACAAAGTTAACCAAAGTGTTTGCACATAGCTTGTTGTTGGGGAAACTAAAGTTCAAGATTTGAGACTTTTTGATAGCTGTTTAAAGGCTCCTGTTTCCTGGAAAAAAAGTAAACTGAATGCCTTATCTTGTCTCTCTGATTCATATTTATCAATTATTTTCCCCTAAGTTTTCTGAAAGGTAGGAATACAGATTTGATCATCAAATACAAAAACAAATAACTTAAGAAAGAAATTGCTATGCCGTTACTGGTTGTACCAGCAGTCTGTTAAGAATTCCTTAGGCGATAACTTAATTAACCATCAAGCCACACACTCAGCCCCTACCAAGGACTTCCAAAGCCATCCCGGCCCCCTTACCATTACCCATTTCTTAACCATGACCCCCAAGGCCCTATGTGAACCTGGGCCTGGCCTGCACTCTGCTGCCCTTCCATCCTACCAACGTCCTTGCTGCTCCCAGACCGGACCACAGGGCCTTTGCCTGCCGGGATGCTCCCTGACTGCAGTCCTCCTGTCATGCCCTTCTCTGCTCACTCAGCAGCCAGACCCCATCACCCAATGGCACCATCACTGCCCAGTCCAGGTTGTGCTCTCCCACCGGCTGCTCCGTGAGGGCAGGCACTAGAGCGTTTTTGCTTTGTCCCCACACATGGAAGGATGCTGGTACATAGCCCATGCTTGATGTATGTGTGTAGAATGAAATAAGAAACTCTATGTTGGAACATCTTTTTAATACTCTCCTCACTTAGTTAAGTTGCATCTGTCTTTGAAAACCTTCTTTCTGATCCTTTGAAAATGGTAAAATCTTGTTTTGCATTCTCTTAGATTTAATGAATTTGATGAATAATCAGTTCACGCTTCCCAATTACGATTCAACAGCTCCTACTTAAATAGGAATCAAAATGACATTTCTTTTTAAAGCATGAAGCATTAATTGAGCTATTCTAAATACAAATTTCTTTCTACGTAACTGACATCTGCAGCAGAGCTGACAACCCAAAATAAAAGGTTTTTTACAAGATTCTTCACTGATCACGCATGGTACTTTTTAGACATGTTATAAAGAATGGAGCTAACGTCTTTTAGTTCAGTGGCAAGCTCAAAGGCAAATATTCCATGAATCATAGAAGATAAAACAAGTACTGAATGCAAAAGTCTCAAATGTACTTGATTCTATTTTTCCATGTTGTGGGACAGCTGAGGACACGGCATCCTCAGGAGTGGTTACCCGTCCAGCTGGGAAAAGGCATGAACAGTGTCAGCGTTTGCCATCTTGTTGACCCATGGCGCCAGAACCCCACTCACACAATTTCACCCAACTCACATAATCTCATAGCGGATTCATTGGCCAAATGTTTATTGCACCCACGAGGGGGGCTGAGACCCCTTCTTCTCATCAGGAAGAAGCTACAGGCCGTTGAGAGTCACAGTGGGAAGAGACAGCTCCATGTAAAGCAGCGATGTGGGGGATCTAGGGTCGAATCCCTGCCCCTTGGCTTGGCTCAGTGTGGCCTTGGGCAAAAGCCTTATCCTCCTTGAGGTACCCTCCGTGTACCTCCCAGGATTGTTGGGAAGATGTATAGGATAGCGGATCCCTACGCACCTCAGGGAGTCTGAGGCGGGCCTCTTCGCACCCCGGGAGGTGCACTTGGAGCGTGCAGGCGGGTACACTTCCAACCAACCGCGAGCATCTTCAGAAAAGACTGGTCCCCACACACAGAGACACGGTGACGCTAATATTTGATGACTAAGTAGTGTTTTTTCACTTTTCTAGGGCTTTCACACATATTATCTTAGTGTAGGCCCGTGAGAGGCCACAAAGCCAGGAGGGCATCGCGTGACAGGGTACCGTCGCGTGGCCAGGCAAGGCCCTGCGATGGGCGCTCAGCGACTTCAGGTCGGATCCAGAATGGAAGCCCACTGGTCCCGGCTCCAAAACCTTGTTCTGTCCTGGAAATGATGCTTTCAAACATGTCCCTCTCAAAAGAACCCTTTCAAATGAACGGGCGCATGGGAGGAAACCCATTAGATAAATAGGCCAGTAAGGTGAGAGCGCTACTGCCCGCGCACACGCTCGGCCTCCCACGCATGCGCGCCCTAGGCCTACACACGCATGCGTACTCCCACTCCCACGCCCGCCGTCCCCCTACGCATGCGCATCCCCTCCCCACCCATTGCTCCCGTAGGCATGTGCACCATCCACTTTCTCTATGCAACTCTGCTTCCCCAAGCATGGCTCTGTGCTCCGTGTGCCCCGGACAAATGCTTACACATTAATGGTTTTCCAACGGATTGTAAGTTCTAAAATGTTTCCAGCCTTAACAAGGTTTCTGGAGCCCACAGCACAGAAGGGAACCCCACCCCTCAGGCTGTGCGCTGGGCCAGACCCACTCCTTCGTCAATAACTACAAAGGTATATCAAATTCCAAAACGCCACGGGGACGCCTGAAGCAAACAGATCCTATCTGCAAACCTAATGGCCATGAAGACCCCAGCCACACAAGCAGGAAGGAGAGGAGTGTACTGTGTCAATCATTTAGGTTTGTCCTCTCCGGCGCTGCATGATTTGCAGGAGGTCTTAAATGTCTCCCTAGGCCCAGGTAAAAATAAATCACCTTGGAGGAAAAGTGCAGCCTGGCCAGATGAGACAAAACTCATCCTCTTCTTCACGCTGCTGGTTTGAAAGATGGAGGGGCCATGTAGGACGCGATGTGCGGCCACCGCTGCTGCCAGGGTGGGCACCCCAAGTCCGCCTACCTCAGCTTGGAAAGACGGAGTCGGATGTGCGGGCTGTCCAGAAGGTCTCCCTTCTCGGAGGAGGCAGATGCAGACAGACCAGACACCTCCCTGCTTAGCAGGTATCTTCGCTCCCAGTCAGCAGAGCTGTCTTCCCAAGACTCTTCAGCAGTGATGAACTCTGGATGGTAAACAGGTATGCACCGTGACCTGGAAAGCAAGAGAGGTGTGGTTATCTCTCCTGAAATAGTAATGGCTACAAAGCAAGCTTTCCTCTGAGTTCTGACTGTGTGAAATGGCACCGAATCAACCCTGGTCTTTCAAAGGACCACAGACAGTGGTGCACTCTCATACTGGTGGGAATGGGTTTTTTTGTGACCTCTCAGAACACTTAGGTCAAAGGAAATTTTCTGGAGTCATTAAAGTCTTCAAAATGAATTGTGGGCCTTCAAGAAACCAGCTTTTTCTGAGTTTGGGACTTTCCAAGAAAGCTGTTTCTGGCTCAGACCAGTTCCCGCTGATTTCAGCGTTGGCTTTTTCACTGCATGCACTCCAGTAGTCAATACCTAGATCTGGGAGACTTGTCCAGGGTGAGTGGTGTCAGTTTTTCCTCCTCTGTGTAGATCTCTTTCTGCAGTGGAGCTGTAGGGAAGGTGGCCTACCTGGCTTCCCACACAACATCCACAGAAGCATGAGCAGGAAGAGGGAACATTCGTACCTGACTATACAGGCCAAAAATGGGGCCTATATCTAGATGACTCAAGGGGAATCATAAACTTTTCTCAGAATTACTTGAAAACACATCCGTTTACTTTTGGGATTTTTGTTGTTGTTGTTGTTTTGTTTTGTTTTTTGAGACAGAGTCTTGCTCTGTCACCCAGGCTGGAGTGCAGTGGCGCAATTTCAGCTCACTGCAACCTCTGTCTCCCAGGTTCAAGCGATTCTCCTGCCTCAGCCTCCCCAGTAGCTGGGCTTACAGGCGTGCACCACCATGCCCAACTAATTTTTGTATTTTTAGTAGAGATGGGGTTTCATCATGTTGGCCAGGCTAGTCTCGAACTCCTGACTTCAAGTGATCTGACTACCTTGGCCTCCCAAAGTGCTGGGATTACAGTCATGAGCCACTGTACAGAGCCTCCATTTACTTTTGGTTGAATCCCTGACCTGATCAGTTCCTTCAGTTTAGATGCACTTGACTCTTAAAAGTTTGTACCAAAAGCCAGAATTTTCATGTATCATATAGAATATTCATGGGCTCACAATACTGACGTTAACAGATGTGATCTGTGACACACTAGAATGGAGCCAGCTCAATGGGGCATTGTGATTCTCCTGAACACTTATGACTGCTTTAGAAGTGGTTCACAAGGAAAAAATGTTATTCAGAAGAAGCGTAGAGATGCCAATTAGGCTGTGTATAACCAATGTGTAACAAGATAACACATGACTTTGAAAATAGTCGATAATCCTATCAATTTTGTGACTGGAAAATGCTCAGGTGTGTGAGAAATAATATCACACCAACTGCTGAAAAAAACACAACTGTAACAAAATTGGAACAAAAAAAAACCTTTTCTTATAAGAAGACAGAGGGAAGCAAGTTAATGTCATTGCCTTCTAGAGCAGTGCTGTGCAATAGAACTTTCTGTGGTGATAGAAATGTTCGCTTCCCTGTCCAATATGGCAGCCACATGTGCTATTTGTCACTTGAAGTGTGGCTAGTGCAACTGAAGAAGTGAATTTTTAATTTTAATTAATTTAAATTTAAATAAACATCTGTGAAGAGTGGCTACCAGTTGTCAGTTCAGATACAGGGCATGCTTTGACCTTTGTACCACACGTTCCTGCTGTCAACACCCTTAAAAGAATACTTCTGAAAATATATAAATCAATGGATATTATCCTAATAAGCCATTTGATCAAATTAAAACTGCAACAAAATAAAGTTGATAAAAGTAAAGCATGAAAAAGACATTCCTACCACCAATACCTTAATTAGCTTCATGCAAAAAGAGAAAAGGAAAACGTTTTGTAAGCAAAGCTGACCCATGTTCTACTCCCTTGAAATGGTTTTTGTGACATGAGGCCCAGCTCGGCCTCCCAGGGCATGTCTCTGCTCTGCATGCCAGAAAAAATGCTTACACATTAATGGTTTTCCAATGAATTGCAAGTTCTAAAATGTCACAGGCCTTCACAATTTACCAAGTAATTCAAGAGAAAGCATTAAGGGAATAGGTGCGTAAAGTTTTTGTCTTAAAAGTTATTGATTAGGAGCAATGGAGGAGAATTCAGTTATCCACCAGTACAGAAGCTTGAAGCAGCTGGGTCAGTGGAAGTGCCTCAGCTTACACTCCTTACCCATCCAGTCACTGAGGGGCTGGTGGCAGGGACTGTACTAGGTGCCAGGATGTACGATGAAGAGGGGACAGGCTGGCCAACATAACCATAGATAGCACAGGGGCTAGTTTGGAAGTAAGGGCATGAATGTAGTGTTTGAGAGCACAGGAGAAGCACTGACTCTTGGTGGGTGGGGCAGAGACAACTAAGGGTCCTCAAAGGAAGTGACATTTGAATGCCCTTGACAGGAGTAGGACTGACTGCCTGGAGAGCCAGAGAGTGAAGGAGTTTCCTCTAGTCAAGGGCTTCATGTGAACAAATCATCCCTGCACTGAGAAATGATAAACCCAGATGGCTGCATACCATCCAAATCCCGGGAGCCAGAGTATTTGGAGGCTGAGGACAGGAATGCACATGGCATGCAAGCACCCCTAAAGTGCGAAGCCCTGGTCCCTGCCCTGGCTGCAGACTGGGCTGGGGAGAGAGGAGGCAGCTCCTCGGAAGCTCAGAGGTGAGTGAAGAAGACACAGCAGCCCTCCTGTCAATGCAGGTACACACCATCAGTGGGCAGGGAAAGGAGAATCCATGATGTGCAAATAAGTGATTCAAAATCAAAGCTGTTGAAACTTTAAATTATTTTGAGTCTTAAAAGAATGTGATTATGAAAAGAGTCACATAAAAGGCAGCTGTGGCCTTTTCTCTGATTCTAGATTTGCCTTTTTCCTTACCTACATTGTTTTGTAAAATGTTGTAAAAGACTACCGGGCACGAGAGAAGACCCCTTCCCTCTTCACTGTTGATCTTCATTGACAGATTAACTTCCTTCTTTCTTCTCTCACACAAAGACCTCATGACTATCACATTGTCTAACATGGAATGTCAAATATACTCTTTTAAATTGGGGGAGGGGGGAAGCTGTAACTAATCAAATTGCTGTAACTCATAAACCAGCCATGTATGGAAAATGTAGTCCTTCTACATTTCTTTGTTTTCTGCCTATATGGATAAGAATAAGACCTTAACTTTTCAGCTTTGGAGCACTGATCCCATTCCTTTGGATTCTGTGTTTCCCAAATGGCTATCCTCAGCTTTGTGCTTGAATAAATAATTTTAAACTGGGTTCTGATATTTTTTATTATTTCAGTTTGACAGTGACAATGTCACCAAGTTTGTGACGTTCAAGGAGCCAGGAAACATGGAGCAGGCGGCTCAGGCTTCTGGCGGTTTGTTTGCAGAAAGAAAAGAAGATTGAGGCTGCAGGCCTGGCCCAAGGCCCTTCATCCCAGAAGGAAGCATCTGTAACTTGCCCTCCAGGACAGCTCTCCTCAGGCAATTCCAGAACCACCCTGATTTGTGCCCAAAAAGGACCTGCAAGTTTGCAGGAAATTGAGTTTTCTTGTGAAACACATATACAGGGTTTCTCAACTTCATCACTACTGACATTTGTGCTGGATAATTCTTTGTGGTGGGGGCTGTCCTGTGCATTGCAGAATGTTTGGAGCATCCCTTGCCTCTACCCTTAGATGCCAGAAGCATCTCAGCCCTCAGTGTGACAACCAAAAGTGTCTCCAGACAATGCCAACCTCACCCCTAGCTGAGAAACCCCAGCCTGGTAAGACAGCCCATCAGAGCTTTGTGCATGCATGAGTGTGCGTGTGTGCTGTGCAGTTGCTGCAGGGTTATGCTCAAGGCCATCTGGAAATTAATATCCACAGAATATAACCACCGGAATCATGAACATCTACTACAATAAATTGTCAAGGATCTGGCAGAGGTTAAACATGTCCAATAAAAATTCGTGTCTCAAGTTCTCCAGCATACATGCCAGGTGCAATGCTCAGAAACTCTTACTTTCATATGAGGGGGAAAATATCTCACCCTTTCTCCTGTAAGGAATTCCTCAGCAAAGGAGTGTTTTCTGTAAAGCAGGAATCTTTAGACCTGGAGCTGGACATCTGGGGCAAAGAAGAGTGAGACCTGAAAGAGACAGGGTAGGAAACAGAATCACCAACACAGAAATAATGTATGTGTTCCCAGCACTCAGGTGCTAGATTCAAGAATGTGCCCAAGATTCAGTGATAAATCTTACAAGGAAATTTGCCTAAGGGTCTGTCTGAATTGTAAAAGGCTGAAGTTTTAGAAGACACCATAAGAAAGACCTCTTCTCCCCAACTCAATTGAAAATGCATGGCAGAAACTCGCACAGGAGACCAAATACTATGGGATGACACTTTTAGGCTCACTTTTGCATTAGCAGGAGATTCAGGCCACCTTTGCTATTTCATGCAGAGCTTCTCATCAAGAAAAACATTCAGAGGGACGGGCGCGGTGGCTCACGCCTGTAATCCCACCACTTTGGGAGACTGAGGCGGGTGAACCACAAGGTCAGGAGTTCAAGACCAGCCTGGCCAACGTGGTGAAACCCCACCTCTACTAAAAATACAAAAAAAAAAAAAATTTAGCCAGGCATAGTGGTGGGTGCCTGTAATCCCAGCTACTCTGGAGGCTGAGGCAGAGAATTGCTTGAACCTGGGAGGCGGAGGTTGCAGTGAGCCGAGATTGCACCACTGCACTCCAGCCTGGGTGACAGAGCGAGACTCTGTCTCAAAAAAAAAAAAAAAAACAAAACAAAAAAACATTCAGAGTCTCATTGGTGCTTTTGTAGGCAGAAAATTCTATTTCCTAAAATCACAAGCAGTTCACATTTAAAATATCCTAATGGCGTCCATTGGAAGACCAAACAGAACAAATCAGGACCAAGGGGTTGGAATGAGACGACAATCAGAATGGCAAGGAGGAAGCTCTCCAAGGACAGCAGCCACAACTGAAGCAAAGCAAAGGTTTGCACTGGGCAGGATGGTCCTCCACCACACTGGCCTGCCTGCCATATGGAAGGACCACCATAAATGTATCATTTAAATCAGGAGCTTGTGGAAAAGGAAGTAACTGCACAACCACAACCGGCATGTATGGTCACCCTCATTAAAGGACACATGATGTTAAAAGACAACCAGCTTTCCATGAGAAGTTGTAGGAACAATTTTCGTTCCTGATCACTGAGAATATGTCATTTTATATGCTGATGCATTGCCTTTCTTACAGGATCCCAGGCCAGGTAGAGATGCTGTAGATGCTATGAAACATTCACCTAGGGAAATAACAGTAATTCTTTCTGATCACGAATGCACAACAAAGGAAGAAATTTTAAGAAAAATATTTTTGCTTGCTTCTTTCTCATTCAAGCATTCACCTGTGAGATAGACAATAAGACTTCTGTGGATGAATAAAACATGGGCCCCTGAGTTGTGTCTAACACCAGCACCATGCCTCTGGGAAGTCAGAAAAGGAGTCTGTCTGGGGCCAGTGAATATCCGCTGGGCGTCATCTCTGGGCAGCACTGGGCCACTTCCCATGGAGAACACAGGTAATTGAGGACTCTCCTCAGAGACTTAACGGCCAGTAGAGGTCAGCAGGGCAGGAGAGAGAATTACAAAGTAGGTGGTTTAACTTTGCCAGATGAAGGTAGAGAGATTTGGAAGAATCTCTCTGCCCAAGAGATTTAATAATTAGCATGCTTTTAGCTGCTCAAACTGGCTTATAGTTGAGATCCTCCCACCCCTGTTTCCCATAACTATAAATCTGTAACTGTAACTCCCTAGGTACATTTAGAAAATGTCACAGTGAGTGGACCAAACAACCAGATGTTTTCTGATGCTCCCTGGGGTGGTCTAGGGGAGCTGAGTGTTACGGAGACGGTGACCTCCCTCCCATTATTGAGCCCTGAGCTTCCATTTTCTCAGTCATGCAATGTAGATTAAAAGAAAACAAGGCCAAGCATGGTGGTTCCAACCTGTAGTCCCAGCAAGGTGGGAGGATTGATTGAGGCCATGAGTGCAAGACAAGCCTGGGCAACATAGCAAGACCCCATCTCTATGGAAAATAAAAATAATAAAAAATTGTCTGGGCATAGTGGTGCACACTTGTAGTCCTAACTACTTGGAAGACTGAGGTGGGAGAATCACTTGAGGCCAGGAGGTCAAGGCTGCAGTGAGCTATGATGGAGTCACTGCACTCCAGCCTGGAGGAGACCCTCTTGCTTTAAAAAAAGAAACAAAAATCCTTGGTTTTCTTACATTAACTAAGGAGATGTAAATGGAAAACATAAAGATAGATTGTGGATATTGATTCACTGAGGTTCATTAGACTGTGAGCTCCTTAAGAATGGCTGCCATGTTTTCATCTTGTTTTATTTGGTACTGTAAGTGGCACCCAGTTCAAAGTAAGTTCTTAATAAATACTCAATAATGAGCCGGGCACAGTGGCTCACACATGTAATCTCAGCACTTTGGGAGGCCAAGGCAAGTGGATTGCTTGAGCCTAGGAGTTCACAACCAGCCTGGGCAACATAGCAAAACCCTGTCTCTAAAAAAATTCAAAAATTAGCCGGGTGTGGTGGTGTACTCCTGTAGTCCCAGCTACTGGGAAGGCTGGTGGAAGGATTGATTGCTTGAGCCTGAGAGGTCAAACCTTCAATGAGCTGAGGTTGTGCTACTGCACTCCAGCCTAGACAACAGACCAAGACCCTGTCACAAAAACAAATACATACATACACACTTAATAATGAATGGGTTAAAACCTAGTAATCATAGCTTTTTTGCATGAGATTGGCTTTTTAACTCAAATAAAACAAGTTTTCTAAATCATTAAATCAATAATGTTTATAGACTCAATATCAACCCTCTGACGAGAGGGTCAGGAGACCCTCAGGAGAGGGAGAGTGCTCAGGAGAGTGCCCAGGAGAGTGGAGGCGCTATTGCTCCTTGGAAAGCATGACCCATGGGGTCTCAAAACAGCCCACAGCAGCACCACATCGCACAATGTGGAGGATTTACCTTCTTGCCACTAAGAAGGAAAATTAGAAATGGGGAAAAATCCAAAGTCCATTTTATCTTCTCTGTGGTGGCCACATCTGGCTGATTTTTATTACTGTTTAACACTTACATTTATGCACTTTGTGTATACAAAGTATTTTATAATTGTAGTTAAGCATATAGGTAATCATTTCTGAGCTTTTTTATGTAATTATATTTCTAAAAATCCAAAAATAAAATGAGTTTCACCAGGCAATTTCCTAAAGAGACTTTGGGCCATTCCAATTTAAACTTAACACCATCCGGATACCATTTTCAATGTTCCAAATCCATTCCTCTCTGCAAATAGGGGAAGCACCAAGGAGGCCTTGGGGCCCTGTTGCTTGATAGAATCCCTGGCCTGTGATCCAGAGAGCTCACAGATCACATGTAGAGAAGATGCAGGATTGCCCAAAAACATTTTCCAGAGGTTGAAAATAAAAATGGTGGTCCACAAAGCTGAAAGCCCAATTTTTTCTCCTTTTGACTTCAATAAGGTAGAAAATATTGATGAGATCTATATTATTCCTGACTTTTCCTCTTCTGAAAAAAGAAATCCCATTGACATTTTTCTGACTTCAGTCTAAGACTGGGCACTGTCTAGTTTTACTAATTTCCACATTGTCTGATTTCCCCCATGTCTCAATAAACTCTGTATATACATTTACAAAATCCCTATGTGCCTATACATTTATAAGCATTTATAAGCTTATAAATGCCTATACATTTATACTTATTTTAAAGGAAATTACAGAAGATAACACATAAAACAACTGCAACTGTACATAATTCTATAATTCAGAGATACCCAATGTTAACATTTAGAGAATTTCCTTTCAATGTTCTTTTCCTACATATAAATGAATATTTTCAGGTCAGATTCATACATATGAGTGCAGAGACACACATTCACACATATACATATTCACGTATACAAATTGCCTTGTCCTCTAATTGTTCAGCTCAGCTATCTCATTAGCATTTCACAGGTTATCAAATATTAGCTATTCTTCTACAATGTGATTTTTAAATGCCAGCCATCATATTCCATTACATGGATCATCAAATTATGCCTGACCATCTGTCTGTTGATGGAAATTTAGGGGATTTCTGGTTTTTCACCTGGGTAAATAACAAACACTATGTGAGTCCTGGTAGATAACTCTTTGTGTGTGCCTTTAATTATTTCCTTAGGATAGATTCCTAGACGTGAGGTCACTGGATCAAGAAGTTTCTTGGTGCCCATGGTCCTTTTGCTGGAAGAGAGCCTGTCCCCATTACTCCCTGTTTCAGTTACAGGCAGGAACAAACCGCTATCCCCACTAGTCCTCGGTATCAGCCATGTTTAAAATCCTCAAACAGTAAGTTTTAAACAGCCAGAATTGATGGATCTGAGGCAGATCCACCATTGTCAAGAACCCTTGCTACCATGATTATTAATAAGACAGGTTCATGTCAGACTGTGAGATGGAAACAGTTTCTTGCCCATGCCTCTGCCTCTTCTGCCCTCTTCTTCAACAGCTTCCTCATCCCTAGATCCCTTGGTTCTTTCTAGATCAAAACACTTAACAATCCTATGATGCTTATATCATCATATTGACAAAAAATGAGCTAAAAAATGTTGAAAATATTGAGTACCTAATATATGAACACTTCCAAAAGAATTTACATTTTTAAAGGCCAAAAAAGAGACAGTGGTTAGTGCAAATGACAGCTTGGGGAGGTGGTGATTGGGGTACCAGGCATGGAGGAAGAGGTTTGCCCTCAGTCTTTCTTAGGCCCTGTGCCACATAGGCACCATTTATGCAGCCATTGCTGAGGTCAGTTCTGCTGGACAAGATGATACAGAGCCGGTAACAAGGAATACAAAGTGCTTTCACTGCCTTAACCTGTGCATGACCAAATTCACATCCACAGATTCTCCAAGGGATGCCTGCTCAAGTCATATGCAGGCTCTTTCCCAGGCACCACTCAGGAAGACCACAGAGCAGGCAGGAAGGTCGAGAGCCAATGGCTCAGGACAGAGGGCAGGTGGCAGATGGCATCAGCCATGCAGAGCCGTGTAAAAGAGCTGCTGGGAGTGGGACCAGCCTGGGAGTGGGACCAAGAGAAATCAAGACAGGGCCAGACTGGGAGTGGGACCAAAATAAATCAAGCAGAAGTCAGAGGGCAGGAAGGCAGCTGGTGGTCCCTCTACACCCAGGTCAGGAGGTCTGTAACAGGAAGGACCCCAGTGGTTGGTAACATTGGAGATCAGCTGTGGGAAAACCAAGCTGAGCAATGAGGCCTTCTCTGTAACAGAGCCTATGCAGCAGTGACCAGGAGGGGTCCCTCATGGGAAGTATCTCCAGGGCAAGAGACAGGCCGCAGACAGCAGAAGCGGGTTTAGGCCTTCTACTTGGGGCCCTTCACTCTCTGTCCCAATTGCTTGACAGTATCTCTGAAGTATCCTGTAGACAAAAGGCCTTTTCCCCACCATATTATTACCAGGATTTTAGTTGATGAGTATTAATAACAACCATGGTCATTTAAGCAAGTACTTTCTATGTTAGGCTCTTGCTGAAGCTATCACCTTTTTTATCTCATTTAACCTTCATGATAACCCTGAAGGTAGATAATATTATCCTCATTTTAAAAGGAGCAAATGGGACTCAGGATAGGCTCCCAGCTGCTGAGGGCAGGGCCAACATGTGTCCAGCACCTGATGCCATCCCCCAGCCCTTCCCTCCCACCAGAAGGCAACACATCCCAGCCTGAGGATTGTGCCAGGCATGGTACCCTCTGTACAGATGTACTCTGCATGGAGCAGCAGTCATGGGGAGCCACAGCAAGCCAACAGAACCCAGCCCTCCTGTAGCCCCCTCTGCCCAGCAGGCTGACTAGCAAGGTTTCACCTGTCTGTTTCTTTCTCTCTTTCTCTTTCTCTATCCCTATCTCCTCCCTTCGCTATTTCTCTTTCTGTATCCCTATGTACTCTTCTCTCTTCTCCTCTCTTTCTCTCTCCCTCTCTCTGACAGGGACTCTTGTTTGCGGCCTGTTTTCATCCTGGCTTCACTGACCCAAGCTGCCTTTCCAGGAGGAAAAAGCAAACTAGCAGGCAGTGGTAAGGCTAGGTTTACCCCAAAAGCAACCACACAGAACACAGCCAAACATGTTTCCCATAGACAGAAGGCAGATCTGAGGAAGAAACATGAGTAAGGAAGCTGCCAGCTCTCATGGGCAATTTTTCAGAAGGCTTGGAAGGAGACTATGATTCCTCACCCGTGTACAGTCAGAGCCTCTGGGAGTCTGGCATCATTCTGTATGAGCAAGGTCAGCCCTTTAAGTGTAACGTAACACAGAAAAAATACAGTGCAAAGTTCAGCACAGCTTTGCATAGTGGCCCTATGCACACATTTTCAGGAGATAGAGTCACAGAACAGGGAGAGTACAGATTCACAGACTTCTCAGGAAAGAGATTATGGGTAAAGATAGACCACAGTCCATCTAAGGCACCAAGGTGAAGTTTGAATGAGACTCTTTGGGAAATTAAAATATTGAAAAGTGTACTGAAAAACCGAAAAAAACACAAACATGATCAAGCAAGATGCATGCTCAGAAAACATCTGAGAAGACTGTAAGCACTCACCTCATGCTGGTCTCTAGGTTCAAGGCACACCCAGCCAGTTATGAAGGATTGACCCAGCACAAAGCCATTTGGCAAAACATGGATAAATAACTAAACAAAATCAGTGTAAATGGACTAAGCTCTCCAATCAAAAGGCAAAGAGTGGCAGAATGGATTTTAAAACACACACACATACACACAGTTCAATTATATGCTGTCTACAAGAGATGCACTGTAGATCAAAAGACATAAATAGGTTGAAAGTGAAAGGATGAGAAAAGATATTTCAATGCTAGTAGTAACCAAAAGAGAGTTAAGACGAAATAGACTTTAAGACAAAAACCGTTACAAGAGGCAAAGAAAAATATTATATAATGATAAAAGAGTCAATTCACCAAGAAGTTATAACAACTACAAATAATATGCACCAAACATTAGAGCTCCAAAATATATGATGCTGACAAAACAGGAGGGAAAAATCACTCTACCATAATGGTTGAAGACTTCAATACTTCACTGTTAATAATGGATAGTATAGCCAGACAGAAGATCAATAACAAAACAGAAGACTTGAACAACATTATAAACCAATTGGACCTAACAGACATATACAAAACACTCCACCCAACAATAGCAGAATACACTTTTATCTAATGTGCACATGAAACGTTTTCCAGAATAGACCATATGTTAGGACACAAGTTTTAATAATTTTTAAAAATTTGAAGTAATACAAAGTATCTTTTCCAATCATAATAGGAATGAACTGGAAATCAATAACAGAAGGAAAACTAGAAAATTCACCAAAATGTGGAAATTAAACAACATACTCTTAACCAATCCATCAAAGGAGGAATTAGAAAACACCTGTTATGGGCTGAACTGTGTAGCTTTGAAATTCCTATGTTGAAGCCCTAACCCCTAGTACCCCACAATGTGTGAATGTGTTTGGAGATGAGGTCTTTCAGGAAATGATTAAGTTAAAATGAAGCCATTAGGATGGATCTAAACCCAATCTGACTGGTGTCCTTATAAGAAGAGGAAGTTTGGCCAGGCGCGGTGGCTCATGCCTGTAATCCCAATGCTTTGGGAGGCCAAGGCAGGTGGATCACAAGGTCAGAAGTTCAAGATCAGCCTGGCCAACATGGTGAAACCCTGTCTCTGCTAAAAATAAAAAAATAGCCGGGTGTGGTCGCACGCACCTATAATCCCAGCTACTCGGGAGGCTGAGGCAGGAGAACTGCTTGAACCCAAGAGGCGGAGGTTGCAGTGAGCCAAGATTGTGCCACTGCACTCCAGCCTGGGTGACAGAGAGAGACTCCATCTCAAAAAAAAAAAAAAAAGAAGAGGAAATTCAAACACTTCAAACACACAAAGAGACACCAGGAGCACACATGCACTGACAGAACCATGTGAAGAGGAAGGAAGAGTGGAGCCATCGCATGCCAAGGAGACAGGACTCAGAAGAAACCAACCATACCAGCACCTTGACCTTGGACTTCTAGCCTCAAGAACAGTGAGAAAATTAATTTTTGTTGTTTAAGCCACACAGTCTGGCATTTTGTGATGGCAATTCTAGCAAACTAATATAATACCTTGAGACAAATGAAAATGAAACATAACACATCAAAATTTATGTGGTGCAGTGAAAGCAGTACTAAAAGGGAAATTTATAGCTGTAAATGCTGACATTAAAAAAGAAGAAAGATCACAAATTAGCAACCTAATTTTATACGATAAGGAACTGGAAAAAGGAGAACAAACTAAACTAAAAAGCTAACAGAAATAATAAATATTAGAGAGGAGATCTGTAGTGAATTTTAAAAATAAAGAAAATTAATGAGACCAAAAGTTGGTTTTTTGAAGAGATTAACAAAATTGACAGATCTTTAGCTAGACTGACTAAGGAAAAACTCAAATTATTAAAATCAGAAATGGAATCAGGGACATGACTACCAATTTTTAAAAAATAAAAAGTATTATAAGAAAATACTATGAACAACTGTATGCCCCAAAATTGGATAACCTAGATGAAATGGACAAATTCCTAAGTACACACAACCTACCAAGACTGAATCATGGAGAAATAAAAAAATCTGAATAGACCTACAACCAGGAAAAAGATTGAATCAGTAATCAAAAACTTCCCAACAAAGAAAAGCCCTGGATGAGATAGCCTTACTGGTGCATTCTACCAAACGTTTAAAGAAAAATTAACACCAATTCTTCTCAAACTCTTCCAGAAAATTGAAAAGGAGGGCAAACTCATTCTGTGAGACCTAACTTCCTAACTTATTCTATGAGGCCAGCATTACCCTGATACCAAAGCCAGACAAAGACACTATACGAAAAGAAAACTACAAACCGATATTCCTGGTGAATACTGATGCAAAAATCCTCAACAAAATACTCAATACTAAGCAAATCAAACTCAGCAGCATATTAAAAGTATTATACACCATGATGAAGTAGGATTTATTCCTGGTATACTGAGATGGCTTAAAATGGGAAAAATCAATCTATGAAATACACATTAACACAGTAAAGAAAAAAAAACGTGAGCATCTCAACTGATGCAGGAAAAACATTTGACAAAGTTCAACACCCTTTCATGATTAAAAAAAAAAAAAATGCACACCCTCAGCAAACTAGGAATAGAAGGAAACTACTGTAACATAATAAAGACTATTTATGAAAAACGCACAGCTAACATCACACTGAATGGTGAAAGACTGAAAGCTTTTCCCCTATGACTAGGAACAAGGTAAGGATGCCTGTTTTGCTACTTCTACTCAATGCAGTATTGGAAGTTCTAGCCAGAACAGGTGGGGAGAAAAACAAATGAAAGGCATCCAAACTGGAAAGGAAGAAGTAAAATTATCTCTATTTGTAGATAACACAACTTTATGTGTAGAAAACTCTAAAGACTCCATTTTTAAAATCATTAGGATTAATAAATTCAGCATAACTGAAGGATACAAAATCAACACACAATGGTATATTCACACAATGGAATTTCACACAATAGTGGAAATAAATGAACTACAGCTAAACAAATCAATATGGATAAATCTTAGAAACATAATGTTGCATGAAGAAAAATAGAAGAATACACACATGATGCAATTTTTATAAGGCTCAAAACCAAGACACACTGAAGAATACATTGTTTAGGATAAATTTATTTGGTTTTAGATAGAAAGAGTGAATGTGCATGAGATGAGAGAGAGAGAGAGGCATGCGTACACATACAGGAATTTTAAATACACAATTCCAGAGAGAAGTCTCCATGTTGGGAAGCAAAGAGATGGGGTAAAAGAGGAACAATTGGTTGGTGAGCATACAGGGGTTTGTAAAAACTAAACTTCATAACCTATCCATATGTTACATATATTATTTTGTGTAGATCAAATATTACATGCTATTTTTAAAGGAAGAATGAACTTATCAACTTGAAAACAAGAGAAATTTGCACAGTAAATAAATGATACAGGGAAGGATAGAAAATAGGAATTCAAGAAATGATGGGATGAAAGACTGTACTGAAACCCTGAAATACAAGATGAAAACTAATCATTTCTACTTATCATTTCTAGCTATTCTATGAAATGAAGAAACTCTTATTTTAAAAATGCCTTCGGGCCAGGTGCGGTGGCTCACGCCTGTAATCCCAGCACTTTGGGAGGCCAAGGTGGGTGGATCACTTGAGGCCAGGAATTCAAGACCAGCCTGGCCAACATGAGGAAACCCTATCTCTACTAAAAATACAAAAAAAAAAAAAAAAAATTAGCTGGGCGTGGTGATACACACCTGTGGTCCCAGCTACTTGGGAGGCTGAGGCAGGAGACTCACTTGAACCCAGGAGGTGGAGATTGCAGTGAACCAAGATTGCACCACCGCACTCCAGCCTAGGTGGCATAGTGTGACTCTGTCTCAAAGTAAATAAATAAATAATAAATAAATAAATAAATAAATAAAATGCTTTCTAAAAATTAAGGGACTTGGAGGTAAAGTGAGTATTAATAGGAATATTAAAGTTTCAAATGAATTGCCAAACCAAGATGCCCTGTATATTATATATTAATAGTAGCAGAAAAAGGGATTAAAAGAATGCAGTCTTTACAAGTGAAAAGTTTTTTCACTTTCTCTCTCTGCCAACATAATAAAATTTTATTCGTTTATACTCCACCAATCCTAGCAGTGCCCCCTAATTGGAAAATATGTTAGGGTTGATGGTAACCTTTGTTCGAACAACTAGTTTCATTACAGAGGGTGCAAATTAATATTTTTAAGAGAATGTCTACAAACTGTTTTTAAAATGCTTCCAGACAATTTGTAAGGACAGTTAACACAAGAAATATTGAATATAAATGGATATTAATAATTGGCAAAAAAGTATAATCATATGCCCCAAAGCCTGGGGAGGTATTCACTGAGAAATATTTACAGGAGCAATTTTAGGATTACTTGGATGTAAGAACATCACCTGTATTTAAGGTCTAATTTCAATTGTCCTTTCCCCTAAGGAAAGTAGTTTAAACAGCAAGTAGGCCCAGTGGTAGGATTTTTGAAGTTTACAATTCAACAGAGAGACGGAGAGGTGGTAGGGTAGTGCCTGAGCCCAGTGAGACACAAGAAGTAGACATACCAGAAATAAAGCCAAACATGCATGGCTGTTTCTATCCAGCTTGCTGTGAAGCTGGTGATCGCTCAATAAATCTCCAAAAATCACAATAAAGAAGATTGGTGCCCATTTTTTCTGGGGCTTACACACAGGTAGTAAAACAGAACATTCGATCCTTGGGCTTAAGTAATTCCTCAGACATAAGGATGCAATCCTTCCTTTTCAAAGCAAACGGATGGAACATGAAAGACTCCTGTTTAGAGAACCACTGCCATGTAATTAAGCAAGTTTTCAAATCTCAGCCCAGTGTGCAAAGAAATCAGTATTGGAAGGATTGTTTTCAGGCAGAAAAAACCCGAGGGAAGAAATCAGACCAACATTCACTCCAGTTAGCTGGAAAGCCCCAAAATTAATTATTAACATTAGATGGGCTTGTGACTGGGCTGGTTATTGAAGAGATAAATCATTTTTATTGCACAAAGCACAGAAGTATACTCCTCCCAAAACAAACCAGATGGGCTATGCTTTTCAAGGAAGAAAGATAAGATTCTTCATGTTAATGAATGATGTGCAGGCCATGAGTTAAAAGCTGTATCTTTTCCTAATAGCCATACTTTCACAGAAAGGCCAATGAATGCTTGAGTCCTGGAAAGGAAAACATTGAGCAATGTCAACAGGAACACAGATGGGCAGACAGTACCTCCATATGTTATTGGATGAAGCCTGAGCTCATTCCATTTTGCCAGAGTAGACAGCTCTCTGAAAGACCATTTTACAACTTGTGTTAACATTTTTCATATTATATATGTGTATGTGTACAACTTGCTCAACAGTGATATCCCACATAAAAAAAGGGGAAGTATAGTCTTAAAAAATTATTCTAACCAATATCTAATTTGAAATCAATGAAACATTCAAGGGCATTCTCTGAAATGATAGTAGGTGGCAACGCATGCATGAAGCAGATGGCAGATTGTCCCTATCTCATGTTCCTAGGTAGACTCTGCCAGTGACACAGTGGCTAGGTATATTTCCTAAGCTCTTCTTCGAAAACCACTGGCCTTCCTGGATACTTATCCAGGATGCTTGTCCAGGATGCTTGTCCAGGAGATTCTTGTCCCAGTGGCCTGGCATGGACCTGACACATACACGGCCTGGAGACTCGTCACAGTGAATAATAGCACATTTCTCTGCAGATGGCAATTATCCCTGCCACGTGCTACAGGCATCTGAACAAGTCATGGCTTTACAGGATTTTCTGTCTATTTGTTCTATTAATTAATAAGAAGGGGGTATTGAAATCTCCAACTATGATTCTTTCTTGTGTTCTATCAGTTTTTGCTTCGTGTATTTTGCAGCTCTGTTACTAAGTCCATATGCACTGTGAATTATGTCCTTGGGATCAATTGACCCCTGTATCATTATGGTCTGGCCTTCTTTGTCCCTAGTAATATTCTTTGCTCTGTAACCTACTTTTTCTGATATTAATATAGACATCCCATTTTTCTTTGGACAGTATCAGTTTTAGCACTGTATGTCTTTTTTCATTTTTGTATTTAACCTATCTCCATATGTTATTTTAATACTTAGAATGATTTTAATACTTAGAATTGGTTCCTTTATAAGTAGCATATAGTTCAATTTTTATTTCTTTCCCAATATGACAATGTCTACCTTTTAATCGAGATAATAAGTCCATTCACATATAATGTGATTAGAAATATATTTAGATTTAAATCTACCATCTTGATACTTGTTTTCTATTTGACAATCTGTTCCTTGTTCCCTTTTTCTGCCTTATTTTGCATTAATTATTTTGTATGATTCCATTTTATCCTTTTATTGGCTTATTAGTTATAACTCTTTTTTATTCTAGGTATTGCTTTAGGGTTTACAGTATACATCTTTAACTTCCCACAGTCTAACTGAAAATGATATTATACCCATTGCTAGAGAGCATACAATAGGAATATATACATGTATGTACACATATACAGTATATAACACTTTACCTCTATGGTACACTGTGGTTCACATACAAGAAGAGTGTGCTTCCATTTCTCTCCTCAGCCTTTGTATCACTGCTGTCACATTTTTACATGTGATATGAGACGCACACTTCATTTTGATTATTTTTATTTCAATTGCCAATTACCTTTTAATGATAAGAAGGAATGTGTAGATTTACAAAGCTGTCAGTGTTTCTGGTACCCTCCATTCCTTTGTGCAGACCCATTTTCCTCTGATGGAGCTGGAGCTCATACACCCTCTACCTGGCTGGACCTCACACTCACCAGTACCACATTTAACTCAACATATCAGGGCCACTTGCTTATGTAACTGCCTCCCAGCACAGCACCCGGCACATAGCACAGAAAATGCCAGAACTACTTAAATCCAGGCTACAGTATTTTACAGAGAAATCCAGTATTTCTCTCCAACAAATACTTCTTAGTTATCTGTCACAGTTTCCTCCAAACTCATATATACTAGTCTCTAAAACAGGGTGTTGTGCTATCATCACTCTTAAGACACCTAAAATATCCTGGTGATATCAGGTTAAGTGATACTGAATATTCATACCAAAACCCTCAGTCTTGAGAACTGCCCCTTCCTGCAACACAGACCACCAGCTCTTCACCAGGGCAGCTGCTCAGTGTGGAGTTGCTGCTATGAGATGGCTCGCTGGTTAGGGACCACGTGTCCCACCCCTTCTATTTCAGGGGACCACAGAACCAAGTCCCAGATAGTGGCCAGAGGAGGACATGATGGATGACACTCCAGACTCTCTCTTCCTGTGCATCATCCTCCCTCTCTCTTCTTCCACACTCCAGATGGACTTTACCCGCAGTGCCATCTTGGAAGCTATTCTACCAGTCAGGATACCAGAAGGAAATGGGTGGCTCACTAAGTCAGAATAATTCAAGGAGGATTCAATAAAGGGAAAATTTGCAAAAGTGTAGGCAGAGTGTAGGGAAAACACACGTGCAGTATGATGGGGTTAGGAACAGCAGATCTGTTACCACCCCTGGCCTGAAGGGGATAAAGGGAGGAGGCAGTTGTCAGAACCCAGCAGAAAAGAGTCTTGCAGAAGAGCCATTCTGAGATGAATGGAGGTCTCTTGTTAAGGACACATCAGCCACAAGGGTCTTTCTGGGAGGACAGGAAAGGGAGGACTGAAGAAATAAGAGCCCCAGTCGCATCATGCTCCATCTCCTACCATGCCCCATGGGCTGAACCCAGCCAGAAGCCACCAGGGAGCTCTAAGAAGTCCCTAGAGGTCATATCCCAGGGCAGAGGGCAGGGGGAAAGGAGGGAAGGGGCAACCAACCATGCACTGACAACAACAGGACAGGGTACCTATCATGCTGGTGCTGAATAATGACCACAGCACTACCACCATGCTGCCAAGTGGACTTCATCCATACAAGCAAGAAATGAACCGATATTGTGATGGAAATTTGGGGTTATTCCTTTTATAGAGGCTGTGCCTCTTCACACAGGGTAGGCAGCCACAAGCCTGGCTTTACTCTTACTTCAAATCGACATGCCTAAAAATGAATTAATGTTTTCCTAAAAGCCACCTGCTCAAGATTTCCCTCTTGTCATCCTCTTTGAAAATTTTGGGATCCTAGAATTATTGGGAACAACTCTAGATCTGGAACAATCCAAAGATCACTGGACTCCCCTCTCCGAAAAAAATTTGCCAGCACACACTCCCATGCCTGCCTGTGCATCCCTCTCTTTGGTCAGGCCCTGACACATGCCCTGGCCTATATCCCAGGCCATCTCACAAACTTCAGACTCCCCAAAACACCATTCTCACCTCATTCTCTCCCACCATGACCTATAGCAGTGGTTTCCAAAAATAAGCCCACAGTCAAATCACCTGAGGAATTTACTTCAAAGACAATTTCCCAGAATCCTCCTCCAGAGACTCTGATTCAGAAGAGAGTGTGGCTCAAAGAGCTATATTTTTAACACCTAGGAGATATTGATATAGTACCACATTATGAGAAACACTGGCATAGAGGATGAATTCGGACCTCTCCAGCTTGGCATGATTATCTGTCCATGGCACCATCCTTTGAACATTGTCAACTTCATCACCATTAAGACATACAGACAGACCTCATGTCATATAGATGGACTCCAGGGAAACACGTGGTCTAGGCTTCTTCCCCCACTTGTTATGTCTTCCTGCCATCTTCCATCTTAAGCATAAGCTCTCTGGGAGTAGGGTGAAAATTACCCAGAAAACTAGGAATAGAAGAGAACTGCCTCAACGTGATAAAGGATATATATGAAAAACCCACAGCCAGCTAACATCATACTCAATGGTAAAAGACTGAAAATTTTCCCCCTAAGATCAGGAACAAATCAAGGATGCCTACTTTCACTATTGCTAATTCACCATTGTACTTGAAGTTCAAGCCAGAGTAATTAAACAAGAAAAAGAAATAAAAGACATCCAGATGGGGAAGGAAGAAGTAAAAATATCTCCATTTGCAGACATGATCCCATGAATCTATATGTAGAAAATCCCAAAGAATCCACAAGAAAGCTACTGAGCTAATAAATTAATTCATCAAGTTGCAAGTACAATTTTCAATGCAAAATATTTGTTGTGTTGCTATACATCAGCAATGAACTATCTGAAAAAGGAAATTAAGAAAACAATTCCATTTACAATAGCATCCAAAAGAACAAAATAGCTAAAAATAAATTTAACAAAGAGGTAAAAGACGTGTACACTAAAAACTGTAAAACATAACTGAAAGAAATTAAAGAAGACCTAAATAAATTAAAATGCACCCTATGTTCATGGATAAGAAGACTTAATGTCATTAATATTTTAATACTATCCAAAGTGATTCAGTGCAACACCTATCAAAATTCCAAAGAAATGTAAAAGCTGGTCATCAAATTCATATGGAACTTCAAGGGGCTCTGAACAGCCAAAACAATCTTGACAAAGAACAACTTTCCAGTACTCACATTTTCAAATATCAAAACTTACTACAATGGAATACAAATGAAAGTCCAGAAATAAACTCATACATCTTATGGCCAACCAGTTTTGTGGCAAGAGTGCAAAGACCATTCAACAGAGAATAAATAGTCTCTTCAACAATTGGTGCTGGGATAACTAAATTTCCACGTGCAAAAGAATGAAGTTAGACCCCTACCTCACACCCTATAAAACAATTGACTCAAAATAGATCATTTATTTAAGATAAAACCATAAAATTCTTAGAAAAAAACAAACATGACCTTGGATTTGGCAATGGATCTTTAGCTATAGCACCAAAATCCCAAGCAATAACAGAAAAAAAAATAGATAAATTGAGCTTCATCAAAATTAAAATCCTTTGCGCTTCAAAAGACATTTCAGGGCCGGGCACGGTGGCTCATGACCATAATCCCAGCACTTTGGGAGGCTAAGGTGGAAAGATCACTTGAGTTCAGGAGTTTGAGACCAGCCTGGGCAACATGGTGAAACCCTGTCTCTACCCAAAATACAAAAATTAGTGAGGCATGGTGGCATATACCTGTAGTCTCAGCTATTTGAGACGCTGAGGAGGATGGCCTGAACCCGGGAGACAGAGATTGCAGTGAGCCATAATGACACCACTGCACTCCAGCCTGGGTTACAGAGCAACACCCTGTCTCAAAAACAAGAGAACAAAAGACATTCTCAAGAAAGTGAAACGACAACCTATGGAATTAAAGAAATTGCTTGCAAATCATATATTGATAAGGGTCTAGTATCCAATATTTTAAAAACTCCTACAACTCAACAACAAAAATACAACCCAATTTTTAAATGGGCGAAAGACTTACATGAACAGTTCTTCAAAGAAGATATACAGAAGGCCAATAAGCACATAAAAAGATGCTCAACATCATTAGTCATTAGAGAAATGTAAAGCAAAACTACTATGAGATATTACTTCACACTGACTAGGATGGCTAGAATAAAAAAAGGAATATAAATGTTGGTGAGTATATAGAGAAACCAGAACTCTCATGCACTGCTAGTAATAATGCAAAGTGTGGAAAACTCTATGAAAAACAGTTTTGCAGGTTCTCACAAAGTTAAACATAGTTACCACATAATCTAGCGATTTCACTCCTAGATGTATATCCCAAAATAATGGAAAGCAGGGACTCAGATACTTATACACCAATATTCATTGCCACATTATTCAAAATAGCCAAAATGTGGAAACAACCCATGTCTATCAATAAAAGATTAATAAAATATGGTATATACACACAATGAAACATCATTTACTCATAAAAGGAATGAAATTCTGACACATGCCGAATATGATGAACCTTGAAAACATCATGCTGAATGAATAAGCCAGGAACAAAAGGACAAATGCTGCATGAGTTCACGTGTATGAAATATCTACAAAAGGTAAATACAGAGACAGAAAGGAAATTGCAGGTTCCAGAGCCTGTGGGGAGGAAGGCACGGAGAGTTATTGCTTAATGAGCACAGAGTTCATAGTTGGAGTGATGAAAAAATTTTAGAATTTGTGCTGATGGTTGCCCATTAGGAATGTAATTAATGCCATTGAATTGTACACTTAAAAATGGCTAAAATGGTAGATTATATGATATATATTTTTTCCACACTAAAAATAATTGAAAAAATTGGGCTGGGGTGGTAGTTCACACCTGTAATCCCAACTCTTTGGGAGGCTAAGGCAGGAGGATCATTTGAAGCCAGGAGTTTGAGACCAGCCTGGGCAACATAGCAAGATCCCATCTCTCCAGAAAAAAAAATGTTAAAAGTTAGCTGGGTGTAGTGGCACATGCCTGTAGTCCCAGCTACTCAGGAGGGTGAGGTGGGAGGATCGCTTGAGCCCAGGAGTTTCAGGCTGCAGTGAGCTTTGATCGCACCATTGCACTCCAGTCTGGGCAACAGAGCAAGACCTTGTTTCACAGAAAAAAAGGAAAAGATCAATACCCTCTTGGGAGGCTGAGGCAAGCAGATCACCTGAGGTCGAGTTCGAGACCAGCCTGGCCAACATGGTGAAACCCCGTCTCTACTAAAAACGCAAAAATTAGCAGGCCAGCAATAGTGGCAGGCGTCTGTAATCCCAGCTACTTGGGAGGCTGAGGCAGGAGAATAGCTTGAACCCGGGAGGCGGAGGTTGAAGTGAGTCGAGATCGTGCCACTGTACTCCAGCCTGGGTGACAGGGTGAGACTCCATCTCAAAAAAGAAAAAAAAAAAAAAAAAGACCAGTGCCCTCCAGTGGTGGGAAAGCATGGGAATGAGCATACGCACGCATCCTCTTCATCTAGGAGACAGACATAATACGCACCTATTGCTTCATACACCTCAGGTTGTCTTTAATCCATTTCATGATGATTGTTGTGTCATTCTTGTTGCCGGCAGAACTATCCTCTCCTGGACATGAGGCCACACAGACATGCCGAGTGCAGGTAAAACACATGGCATGGAGTGGCTCTTGGTCAGGAGCAGACCCTGAGAAGTCAGTACTACTCTCCCTCATGCCACTAGGGAAAATGAAACCGGTTCCATCCCCATCTCACCCATCCCGCCCCATCCTTGCCCTGCAGCACCCCTCCTCTGCCCTGCACCCCCTACTGCCCTCCACCCCAGTACAGCCACTCGGAGCTGGGCTGCATGTGTGGCCCTGCACAGGGCATGGTGACTTGGGTTGTGCCTGCCTCCCACCCATATGAGGGTGGATCCTGCCTGGAGGCCTCTGGAGCTGGGACCTCTGCAGGTCTTCCCACAGGGATGTGTTGAAGCAAGGGGGCAAGTTTACTCACACTTAGAGAATGTTGTGGAGGGCGCTGGCCTCAAAAGGACATCCTGGCTCACTGGCTGCCAGCACCACCACACTGTGCAGTATGCTATGCTTCCAGGCAAGGAACTACAGTTGGGAAATCTACAGACATTTCCCTTTATGGTTTTGTTTTGTTTTGTTTTGTTTTTTGAGACAGTTTCACTCTTGTCACTCAGGCTGGAGTGCAATGGTGTGATCTCTGCTTACAGCAATCTCCGCCTCCCAGGTTCAAGCAATTCTCCTGCCTCAGCTTCCCGAGTAGCTAGGATTACAAGCATGCGCTACCACGTCCACCTAATTTTGTTTTTTTAGCAGAGATGGGGTTTCTCCATGTTGATCAGGCTGGTCTCAAGCTCCTGGCCTCAGGTGATCCGCCCGCCTCAGCCTCCCAAAGTGCTGGGATTACAGGCATGAGCCACTGCGCCTGGCCTTCCTTTTTTTTTTTTTTTTTTTTTTTTTTTAATAGACACAGGTCTCACTAGGCTGCCCAGGCTGGAGTGTAGTGGCTATTCATTCAGAGGCCAGACCATGGCACACTGCAGCTTCCAACTCCCAGCCTCAAGCAATCCTCCTGTCCCAGCCTCCAGACCAGGTGTAGTCTCCGAAGGGTGCAGGCGGGGACCATGGGATGCTTGGGCACTGGTTGATTGGGTCAGATTTCGTCCTCATGTGACCAGGAGTTTATAGATATGCCCCATGTTATCTTTCCTATAGCCTTGTGCCCTGTAGCACACTATTCTGCAAAAAAATCAGGAACATACATTCATCATGAGAAGAAAGCCAGCATTTGTAGCTACTGTCTAACCCCCCTCTGCTTCACTGAGCTGGAGAGGATCCTCCTATCAGAGGCTGGGCCTGGCCGGGTAACCCACAGATCAGTGACCCCCCTCAGGAACCAGATCCCTGAGGCTGGCTGGGGTGCTGAATGGCCCTGACCACCTCACTGGAATCCAGTGGCTCTGCTTCCTAGGGCATGTTTACTGCAAAGCCCCAGCTCAGCTTTGCTGTCCCTGCATTTCACTAAACTCTGCCGTTGAACTCAAGCACCAAAACTCCCCCTTGTGAATCGAGAGTCCAAGTTTGCCACAGGCTTATAAAATCACAGATATTAGAGATACTGTGAATTATGCACCAGATGGACCCAATTAACTCCCCAACTAATGTGATTGGGGAAGGAAATAGCTCATTAGAAACTTGTAAACTACCAACTCTCACAGCTGTGTTCTAATTACAGTACAGCCACAGATAAAAATAATCACGCCTTCTGCTGAGAGGCCGTTCATGACCCTTCCAAACTTGGAATCATGCAGGGATCAACCTCAGTCTAGCTCTGAGCATTGCTGGCCTCAGAGCTAATCAACCCAAATGCAAATCCACAAGTTAAAAAGGGAAATCAGTAGAAGCTGGTGGGGAAACATGAGAATAAATCCATAAACCCCCAAAATAATTCCACCCCATCAGATACTCTATAAACTGTGAATAGATGCAAAGCAAATAATGACACTACGATACGATGTAAAACTAGAATACTATTTCTGCATTTTCACAGAGGTCTAATGCCCTGCATTAAGCAAGCTCACAGGCTTCGACAAAATTCCAAATTGAGAAATGTTAAATTTTGCAATTCTGTATTTTATCAGAATGTTACCAATAATTCCTCAATGGGTACTGGCCCAGGTGCTGTTCTAGGAAGGGGGTAATGGACAGGTGAGTTGCTGGCCTATCGCCTTACTCAGGCACGTAAGACTCTGTGAGCAAGTATAACGCAAGGTGAAGACCGTAGAAGCAGACAGGGATGGCGATGGCAATGACTGCGCTGCCAGGTAAGGCTTCACAGAGGGAATCTGAGGTGGGTCTTCAAGGCAGGTTTGAATTTCATGTAGATCAGAATGAAAATATTAAATGGGATTCCACTTTCAAAAGCGAGACTGGAAAGGCCATTCTGATATAGCCTCAGTTGCGTGTGTATGTAACTATACTGATATCAGAAAATCACCAAAGAGTTGGTTGGAGAGGCTTGTGGCCACAGCGTCATCGTTACAGTCATTGGTACCTTTCCTTGGCACACACATGGTGTGTATCTCCAGGCAGCACCCACATGGGTGGGCCATGGAGGGCACAAGACAGCCACGTTCACCTTCACACACCTGGGAAGGAAGATGCCTCTTAGGAGGTGTGGGAGGGAAGAGGGGACCAGGAAACGCCCCCCAACCTCAATAGCCTGACCAAGGTGGAGGTGCTCTTCCTTCATCACAAAGCACAGTGACAACCCTCTCCCAGCCCCTGTGCCAGATATTAGGCCCTCAAAGTGACCCTGGCTGATTCCAAGCATTTCTCAAGGCATCACCCACACTGCCCAAGAGATGGTCACTGTGCTGGGCACAGCTGTTCCACTCAGGGCTACTACCATGGCTACCTCCCTCCAGGCTCCCAAAACAAGCCTGGGCTCTTGCTGATGAGGCCCCTGGAGTCCAGACATGCTGCCCCAGCCCATGAGGTCTCCCAAAGAGGGGGACCTCACCTCAGAGGCCCCACCTCAGAGGGCCTCCCAGCACAAGACCACACTCTCTGCTCTTGCAACTAGCTGAGCCTATTCTGGGCACTTTGTCTCACGATGCTCAGCGCAACCACGGGCAGGAATTGTTGTTATGTCCATCTTAGAATGACAAGACCAATACCTGGCAAAAGTGGTAGCCCACTGAGCTCAGGTCATCTGCTCCCAACCACTGCCCCCACAGGCAAGTGGACAGCTGTCTCCGGATCCCCCACCCTGGCTCACCCCCTTCTAAACTCATGAGGGTCCAGAGTAACAGAAGATAGAAATCGCTATATGAGTGTGGGTGTGTGTTTGTAAATGTGTATATATGTATGTGTATAAATATGTGCATGTATATATGTGGGCATGTGTAAGTGCATATATATGTATGTGTAAATATGTGCATGTATATAGGTGCATGTGTATGTAAATATGTGTATGTATACAAATACTGTACATATATGTATTATAGGTATATGTGTGTATGGGTATGTGTGCACACATGTATGTGTGTATGTATGTGTATGTGTGTATGCATATATACATGTATAAATGTGTGTGGATGCATATAATCATGTGTGCATGCATGTACACATGTATAACTGTGTGGGTATGTATGCATGCATGTATGAAGTGTGTGTTTATGTGTGTGCATAGCTATGTACATGTGCGTGCTGGTCCTCTGGAGATGGCCAAATGGCTCCTGCAGGCACAGCAGCATGTTTGTGGCCAAGAGGAGCCCCACCTCAACGTGTTTTCTGATCCTGGCAACACCTCCCACACCCATCTTGACTGGCTCCAGAGCCTGGCCGGCTCTGCCCTGACACAGGGCCCAAATGTTGAGACCTCAATACATCACGTTTCATGAAGACAGTTCTATGTTGCTGCCATAGAGATACCCCTCTCCCAAAATTACATAAGGATTTCTTCACATGTGCTTTTTCTAGTACTCTTACATTATTGTTACTTACACATAAGTCCAAGATTTATCTTGGCAAAAAACTGAATGCAACTTTTTGTTACTGTATTAGCCCGTTCTCATGCTGCTATAAAAAAACTGCCTGAGACACTGGGTAATTTATAAAGAAAAGAGGTTTAATTGACTCACAGTTCCACATGGCTGGGAAGGCCTCAGAAAATTTACAATCATGGCAGAAGGAGAAGCAAACATGTCCTTCTTCACGTGGTGGGAGGAGAGAGAAGAATGAGAGCAGAGCAAAGGGGGAAGCCCCTTATAAAACCATCAGCTCTTGTGAGAACTCATTTACTATCACCAGAATAGCATGGGGGAAACCACGCCCGTGATTCAATTATCTCCACCTGTTCCCACCCTTGACATGTGGGGATTATTACAATTCAAGGTGAGATTTGGGTGGGGACACAGAGCCAAACCCTATCAGTTCCTCTCCAAATGCGTGTCCACTTTCGTAACATGGGTGAGCCACACTTTTGCAGTTGTCTAAGAGGTTGGGTTTGCTGAGTTTGTCATACACCTGTATCTGGGACTTTCCTGTTATTCCTGTGTTGGTGTGGCATTATATAAAATGTGGCCAGTTACAGGACAAAGTTCCCTCATTCCTTCTCGTCTTTCGTGTTTCTCTTCACATATTTGTTTTTTCACATATCTGATCTCACACTTGCATTTTTCCCCAAAACTTTTATCTGCAAAAGAAGCCTCGTCAAGTTGTAAAGCAATTGCACTGAGACTTCTTCCAGGTTTGCTTTCATTTCAATGCTGTTTCCCCTGAGAACCGCTCATTGCAGAAGTTCGAGGGCTTTGGGCAGAGTTGGCCTTTCACGTAGGTACTGAACATCCATGGAAGTGTGCTCCTAGATGGTTTGTTTGGGGTGGTATCCTCAATGGGTGTCTTCCTTACATTTTCCAAGGCTTAGGAAAGCTATGTGTGGAATGCTGTGGGGCCTGGCCCCTCCCAGGCCACATCACAGTGGTTTGGTGCTCCAGCCTCCTCAAGTGAGTGGGTATGGCCAGCGGGGAGCCAAGCCCACCTGAGCAGGGAAGGCCGGCTCCCTCACCTGCAGCCTCCTCGAGGGCCACCTCCCCTCAGGGACATCTCCCCGGCCTATGTCCCCCACCCCTAGGTGCCTGGCCATCCTCACGGTGCAGCAGGACAGAAGAAGCTGGGAACCCCAGCTGACCCCTGCTTCAGATGCAGAGCATGGATTGCTCATCTCCGGAGGAGACAGCAAGTGGTCAAGGACCTGCCAGGAGCCCTGGGATTCCAGAACTCAACCGGGATCTGACTGGGGGAGCAGAAAAGGCCAGAGAGAAAGGAGAGACACAAGAGGGCAGAGACCCAGAGCAGTGTCTGTTCCTAGGACACTGTCCCCTGGTCCCCTGCACTCCAGGGGCCCCTGGAGCCTCGTGGCCCTGGGCTCTGGCCACCTTGCTGTACAAGTGCCTGCAACGCTGACTGGGGGCTGGCCAGTTCAGTCTGGGTAACCAGAGGGAGAGCCTCGCTCCACAGCCCACCATGGGACCTGCCTGTGTGCTTCCCATGTAGAAACAGCGTTTTCATATGCAGAGAAGTCTGACATGAAACAGTCCACTTGGCCATGATTTCTCAAGAATTCCCACTGACAGGAGCCTCTCTTCTTGAGCACTGGCATTCATGACAAAATTCTACCACTGGCTGGATGGGAGACGTTCCTATTGCTTGTGCAACTTTAAGTTTTCCCCCAGAAAATTTGTCCACAGGAGGAACAAGACGGGCTGTCTGGGACTCACTGGCCGGAAGCCAAACCCAACACCTGTCAAGATGTAGGACCCTGCACTGGGAAAACGGTTGCCCTCCCTGCTCAGGGACATCTGCACAGCACACTGCATTCCTGTCCTTTGGGGTGACGTGGGGGCACGCTGCTTTACTTCTTTCCACTGCTCTTTGAAAACTGAGTCGTTAGGAAAGCATCAGCAGTGGACATGTGTGTGTGGAGGATGGCAGTGTGGCTCCCAGGTGACACCTGCATCACTGCTGAGCTCCACACCCTCCAGGGCTGTCCATGTGACACCCCAGTGGGGCTCATCACGCGCTCCTATCCCTGCCCCTGCAAGTCCCTGCCAGGGTGAGCTCAACAGGGCTCCACACTATATGAATATTCAGGTGCTAGACCCTTAGTGAGTACCACGATGCTGAGTGTCTCTCTCGGAGCCAGGCAACGAGGACAGGGACATAGGCCAGTGGGGTGGCCCCTGCCCCAGCTGCCTGCCCCCTGCCTCTGGTGCATGTGTGACCTTGGGCAGTCGGTGCACCCTCTCAGGCCCCCCTCCTAGTTCAGCAGAGGCAGTGGCTGCATTTCTAGAAAGGGAGGGCCCATAGGAAAGCATGCTTTAGGTTTGTATTGCTTTTCTGAACACACTTCTTCCATTGCAAAGTTGCAATGATTGATAGCATAAAATAGAACACATGTTTCAGAAAGGATTCTGGCACAAAAAGTCTGATTCCTAAGAGCTTCAAATAGGAAATGCATTTAGACTTTACATTTTATGAATACATTGAAGAAAGCACCTTTTTGAAACTATCCAATTCTCCAGTGCTTGTAGGTGATGGTCTCATTATTTTTGATCCACAAGAACACCTGGCAACCTACAGGAGCTAGAATCCAATGCTCATGGAAATCAACTCTATGAAACTCCAAGACATTGCCCTGTGATGTTGCCACGGCCCTCAACATAATAGCAGCTCTCTATGGGGCCTGCACTGTGAGAAGCCTCCATGCCCTTGTCAGGGTATCTGTGCCCCTGAGATGTCCTGGAGACCAGTGAATCCCTTGGCCTGCCCAGCCACTGTCACTGCTGCATCAGCTCTGTAACAGACAGGGCCCCACAGACAAGGCTCCTACACTCCCAGAATGTCTGCTCCCCACCAAGAAATGGCCCTACTACACATACTCCAAAAACATTGGCCCAAAAATACATATAAGCTACTCTTGCATTCAAATATTTATCGAGCACTCGCTTGGCCAGGGGCAGGCATGAACAAGACACACTCCCTGCTCTCAGACAGCAAAGCCTCCTGGGCACAAGCCCTCTGAGAGTAAGACAGGTAAGCAGCCGCTGCTGCAGGGGAACAGGTGGGAACAACGTCATCACAAAGACGGGTGGGATTTGTACTCAGAAAACTCAGGAGTAAAGCAGGAGGGGAAAGTAAACTGTCCAACAAGACTGATCCCTTCCCAGATCAACCAAACTAAGCCACCAGGCTGGACCCTGTGACTACTGGATCGTAAACAGCCTCACACACCGGGAGGCAGCCTGC
This sequence comes from Homo sapiens, assembly GCF_000001405.40. NCBI lineage: Eukaryota > Metazoa > Chordata > Mammalia > Primates > Hominidae > Homo > Homo sapiens. The sequence goes on from NW_011332701.1 coordinate 192,270, forward strand.
CTGGTCCTGGCACAGCGGGGAGTGACATGTGAGGACCCACCCAGAGCTGGGTACCTGCAGCAGGTCACCCTGGCCCACCAAGTGCCCTGGTACCCTGAAGGGCTGGTAGACATTCTCTCATAGCCTTATAAGGGCCTGGGAACTGACCCTCAAAGCTTGAGGGTCCCCCCCAATAATGAAATGAGAGACTTTGGGGAAATGCTATCCACATGCATAGCCACTTGAATGCTGAAGGCAAAACTGCAGCAGGAGGGTTGATAAGGGGTGGCTCTGGGTGCTGGTCCACTGCCCACAGGGAAGGACGAAGGCCAGGAGCTGGGCCTGGCTGCTGCCACCCTTGCCTCTACCGCCTCTTCCGTCTGCAATGTCCTCTGGGAATTGGCCTTCCTCTGTGGTGGGGCCTTTGTCCGATTTTTTCTGAGCGCTCCCTCTTTCATCTGCCTCTAGCAGGGAAGGCTCCCTCTGCAGCTGCAGGAATCATGCAGGAGGTACTGGCCCAGGGCACGCTGGCCACCTGGCTCAGGCCCCACCACCCACCCTGCCACCCTGTGCCCCTCCACTGCTCATTTTCTGGACTCCCTGTCACCTCCTCATCCCCCTGAGGTGGCAAACCCAGACACATCTCAGAGAGATGGGGTGGTGCCCTGCTGGGAACATGATGTCGACTTCTCTATTTCTTAGAGACCAGTGTTAGTGACTTTATGTATGTTGCTCTTTTGTATAAATAGTAATAATCCAGGTGACCAAAACACTTAACAGAAAATTGTCACTATTTCAGCCCCCAAAATAGCTATGAACAGCTCCTCCCTTGCAGGCAAGTGGGACTAGAAGAGGTAATAAACGTAGCATCCCAGAGCCCAGTCCAGGGGGCAGGTGTGCAGGGGAGAGTCTGCGCTGGGGTGCAAGCCTGTGGTCCAGGGCCTGGGTCCTCTCCCTGCTCCCAGAAGTCCTGAGGGGATGCAGTGGAGGTCCCCAAGGGCCCCGCAGATGAGGACAGCTCTGGTGCTGGATGAAGGGGCACATTCCCACTGGGTCCAGAGAGCGCTCAGTGAAGCCTGCCTTCCCCTAGGAAAAGGAGAGTGCATAGGACATTAGATCACACCAAATGCACCTCACTGCTTAGAAGGCGACAAACTGCACTTTCTGAAGATGTTTGAAAGCCTGCCCTGTCCACTCAAGCTCCAGTTCCTCCCTGTGCCCACAAGAGAGCAGAAGACTGAGAAGGTGAAGGCTGGCCTGCAGGAGCCACGCAGGGCAAAGCTGGTCTGCATTTGGGGAACATCCTGGAGCTGCAGGGAGGTGGGGCGTGAGCTACTGCAGTGGCCAGGGAAATCAGTTATTCATTTGAATAACCCAAAACTTATCAGCAAAGGAATAAGGTAAATCTTATTTTTTCCTTATTAAAATCATCAGAAGGATAAGATAGGCTGAGTGTGGTGGCCCTTGCCTGTAATCCCAGCACTTTGGGAGGCCAAGGCAGGAGGACCCCTTGAGCACAGGTCAAGCATGCAGTGAGCTATGACTGCACCACTGCACTCCAACCTGAGCGACAGAGCAAGACCCTGTCTCAGAAATAGTAATAATAATAATCATCATCATCATAAGACAAATCTAAATTTGAGATTAACTAAAAGATGTACTACATTAAAATTATGTGAAAAGAACAATTTTTAAAGACTTCTAAATGCCTTTTGCTCCCTAGTAGTAAAGTCTTCTGCAGATTTTCCATTTTATTGACCCAAAAAGGGAAGAGCAAATCTCCTCTTGGAAGGAAGCATGCCTGGGCAGAGCTGGAACACGCACTGGGTCACTTCGTGTGTAATTCATTCACTCCAGTTTCTATTAAATATAACCGGCCGCTAGTCCCCTTGATGAATGGGAGCATGTGAAGTCAATTAGTACTTACTCCGTTTCTTTCTATTTAAGAGTCTCTCTTTATGTACACATTCATTCAAGCCAAAGTTCAGACTCCCAATCAGGATTTCTCCCCACCCAAGGAGCAGCACACACAATGGCACCATGAAAGGGGAAGGCTGTGGGCGAGCACACGCCGCATGCCCCTCATGCAACCCGCTGCTTCCACCAACCCTCATGGCATTGCAGGAGCTCCCACCCCTGGTGCCAGCACCTCTGCTGCAGTCTCATGTTTCACCTGGTCCCTGCCAGGCTCCTCAGGGTGCCGGCCCCGCACTGAGGCAGGTGGGAAGTGTAGGTCCCCAGCATGCCTGCCTGGAACTGGAGGCCAGGAATCAGTCTCAGACCACCTCATGGACACTGCTCCAGCAAGGCCTGCACGCCCTCTAGCTGGGGCACTGCAGGCTGGGATGTGCTGACCAGACCAGCACCTCCTGCCCAGCCTTGCGAAATGATCACCTTGCTGCTATGAATTTTATTTTTTTTAATCCTAGCTTGAAATACAAAATGAGCAATGACTTGTCTGTTCTAAGCCAAACCTAATCTTCTTGCACCCTTGTGGGGATAGAAAAGCACTTCCACTTAGTATCTCAAAAGTATTATTTTTGTAAGATGAGATTTGCTTTCAAATCAAAGGAAGACGAGGTAACAGCAGGAATGGCACAGAAAGGACGTGTAGACATTCTCTCCTCCATAGAAGCAGCAAAAACAGACAAAACTTGTCAAAATCAATATTTTCAGAACTTTGGAAGTTAACAAAAGTATAAAACAATCCATGGAGCATGTATTCTAGAGGATGGCCAAGTCTCAGTGAGAAAATTTTAACTTGCTCTACTGCCATATCCCTTTACCCAGTTCTGTGCTGGGCTTGAAAATCAGCCCTGCCATGATGGTGAAAACCAGAGGCCTAGTAGCCATTGAAGAGAGCAGAATTGGACTAGGGCACTTCCAAATCTCCTTTACAGAGAACTGGCACTATTGGAGCTGTCTGGCAGTACCTTGACTACCCCTCTCACAGGTACCATCTGTATTGGACCAGGCTCAGAGCTCCAGAGGTGAATAGCCTTCTCTCCTGGGCGTTTGCCACAAACAATGAGCAGCAAGTGTTTAACATCACAGCTTCCTGAGGCAGCAACAGCCACTGGGGCTAACAAGAAGCCAACCAAAAAACACAAAAGAAAAAGCAGTTTGTAAAGCTTCAACACATTCCTAGGCATTCAAGCACAGGGCTGTACGTGTGCCCAAGAGGGACCTGTGAAGTTCTACCCACTCACCTCTGGATGACCGTGAGGCTCTGCAGAAGCCAGAAGTGAAGAAGAAGGCAGAATGTCTGGCTGGAAGCTGAAAGCCGACCCCAACATGCACACACAGCCCCTTGACAAAGGCAGGGAGACTTAATGGTCCCAGCCCTTATTTAAGAATACCTCTGTCCAGTCACTAACTGAACAGAGAATTCACTGGCCATACACAACAAAGAATACAGACTCAAAAACATGAGTTCAGGAAAGTCACTAAACAAACAGGAACAGCAAAAAGCCCTGGGAAGGGGGAAGAATCTGATTACTAGAGCTTCCATATTATATTCTTTTAAATGTCCAGTCTGACAAAAATATACACATGCAAAGACATGTATGGTCCATACACAAGAAAAAAAAATGGTAAATAGGATGGAGTCCTTGTGAATGGAATTAGTGTCCATATTAAAAGAGGCCCAGAGAGTGCACTCACCCCTTCCACCAGGTGAGTACACAGAGAGAAGGCACCATTTACGAGGAACAGGCCCTCACCAGCACCTTGACTTTGCACTTCCCAGCCTCCAGAACTATGAGAAATAATGTTCTGTTGTTTATAAGCTACTCAGTTTATGGCATTTTGTTACAGTAGCCTTAATGGACTAAGACATCTAATCTGACATTTCATATAAATGAAAACATACAATTTATCGTTTTTTATATCTGGCTTCTTTCACTGAGCATGTCCTTAAGGTTTATCCAAGTGGTAGCACATATCAGTACTTCTTCTATTTTTATGGGAACTATGTTCTGTTGTATGGATATGCCAAATTTTGTTTATCCATTCATGAATTGATGGGCAATGAGGTTGCTTCTTTCTTTGGCCATTAGGAATAATGCTGCTTTGAACACATATGCACAAGTTTTACACAGGCATGTCTTTTCAATTTTGTTGTGTACATACCTAGTAACAGAAATGCTGTATCAAATGGCAACTCCATGCTGAACAGTTTGAGGAACTGCTGAACTGTTTTCCAAAATGGCAGCACTATTTTATATTCCCACTGGCAATGCATGAGAGTTCCAATTTCTCCACATCAGCCCTAACACTTGTCATTGCCATCTTTTTTATGATAGCCATCCTATTGGGTGTCAAATGGCATCTCACTGAGCTTTTAATTTGCATTTCTCTAAATACCACTGATGTTGAGCATCTTTTCAGTTGCTTACAGGCCATTTGAATATCTTCTTTGGAGAAATGCCTATTTAAATATTTTGCCTGTGGGCATGGGGGGAGTCTTTTTATTATGGAGTTGTAAGAGTTCTATATATATTCCGAATACTAGTCCCTTATCAGATATATTGTCAGCCATTATTTTCTCCCGTTCTGTTGCTTGTCTTTCCACTTCTTGACAGTGTCCCTTTTATTCACAAAAGTTTTTCTTTTTGATAAAGTCCAATTTATGTACTTTTTTTGTTTGTGCTTTTAGCATCAAATCTAAGATACTGCATAATTCAAAGTCACAAAGATTTATAACCATGTTTTCTTCTAGGAGTTTTATAGTTTTAGAACTTGCATTTAGGTCTATGATCCCTTTTGAGTTAATTTTTGTATATGATGTGAAGTAGGGGTCCAACTTCATTCTTTTGCATGTGGATAGCCAGTTATCCCAGCACAATTTGTTGGAAAGACTATTCTTTCTGTATTTATTTGTTTTAATACCCTTGGTGAAAATCAATTGAATTTACATATAAGAGTTTATTTCTGGAGTCTTGATCCTCTTTCATTAATCTGTATGTCTATCCTTATGCCAGAAACACACAGTCTTAAATTACTGTGGCTTTGTAGTAACTTCTGAAAGCAGAAAGCATGAGTCTTCCAAGTGCTATTCTTTTACAAGGTTGTTTTGGCTATTCTGGATTGCTTGCATTTCTCTATGACTTGCAGGATCAGTGTGCTGAAAATGTAGATTAATTTGGGTAGTAATGCCATTTAACAATAGTAAGTATATCTTCTTGATGAATTGACACTTTTATTACCAGAAATTCTTGTCTCTAGTAACAATTTTTGTCTTAAAGTCTATTTTGTCCAATATTAGTATAGTCTCTCTACCTCTCTTTTGATTACTGTTTTCATGATATACCTTTTTCCATTCTTTTACCTTCAGCCTATTTGGGGTTTTGATTCTAAAGTGTGTTTCTTGGCGATAGCATACAGTTGGATCATTTACTTTACCCAGTCTGCCAATTTCTGCCTTTTGGTTGAAGTATTTAATCCATCTATGTTTAATATAATTACCATTGAGGTAAGATTTATCTGCTACTTTGGTATTTTTTTCTATATGCCTCATGTTTTTTTCTGTTCCTCACTTCTCCATTACTGCCTTCTTTGAAGTCAAATAGATATTTGCTAGTGTATCATTTTGATTCCTTTCTTCTTTTTTTACTATATGTTATTTTAGTTATTTTCTTGTGATTGCTGAGAGGATTACAATTATCATCTTAAAACAATCTATTTAGAACTAGTGCCAACTTAATTTCAGCTCTATACAGAACCTTTGCTCCTACATAACTCTATTTCCTCTCACCTGTTTGTTCTATTGCTGACTATAAAGTACACGTTTACACATTGTATATCCTTTAACAAAGATTTATAATTACTGCTTTATGCAACTGTCATTTAAAGCAGATGGTAGAATGAAGGAGTTGCATAGAAAAACATACATTTATGCTGTGTTTTATGTTTTCCTATACAGATTTCTTTACTGGTGCTCTGTTTTTCCTTATGTGGATTTGAGATACTGTCTAGTGTGCTTTCATTTCAGCTTGAAAAACTCCCTTTAACAATTTTTGTGGGAAAGGTATAGTGTTAAAGAACTCCCTCAGCTTTTGTTGGTATGGGAATTTCTTAACATCTCCCTCATTTTTGAAGGGCAGTTTTGCCAGATATAGAATTTTTAGTTGACAGTATGTTTCTTTTAACATTTTATATATGTCATCCCACTGCCTTCTGGCCTCCATGGTTTCTGATGAAAAATCAACTGTGCATGTAATTAAGGATCCCTTGTATGTGACAAGTCACTTCTCTCTCAGTGCTTTCAAGATTCTCTCTTTGGCCTTCACATGTGTCTTGCTATAAGTCTCTTTAAGTTTACCTTATTTGGAATTCATCGAGCTTCTTGGATTTGTACATCTGTGTCGTTTTCAGTTATTATTTCTTTAAAATGTTTTCTGGTCCTTTCTCTCTCTCTCTCTCTTCTCTGTCTGGAACACCCATAATGTGTATGTTGTACTATTTGATGGCTTTCCACAGGTCCCTTGGGCTCTATTCACATTTCTTCATTCTTTTTTCTTTCTGCCTCTCAGATTAAACAGTTTCAATTGTCCTATCTTCAAGCCTGCTGATTCTTTCCTCTGCCTTCCTAAATCTGCTGTTGAATGCCACTTGTGAGTTTTTCATTTCATTTATACTTTTCAGCTCAAGAATTTCTTGCTGATTTCTTTTTTATAATTTCTATCTCTTTGTTGATAGACTCATTTTGTTCATACGGTGTTTTTCTTATTTCCCATATTTATTTGTCCTTCTTTTTCCTTTAGCTATCTGAGCATATTTAAGATAGATGTTTTAAAGACTTTTTTCAGGAGGTATTAATATGATGTCTGGGCTTCCTCAAGGATGGAAAGAAACAAATCCATTTAAAGGATTTAAATGGATTTGTTTCTTTGTATGTCTTGGGGTTTTTTTTTTTATTATTATTGTTGTTGAAACACTTTGTTGTTGGTGGCAGTGGTTGCTGTTGTTGTCACTGTTATTAAATGCTGTAGCAGTCCATTGGTTTAGGTACTTTTCCAAACTATTTTTCCAAGGACTGTATCCCTTTTCATGTCTGTTTCCTAACATCATGTTCAGCTAATGTTTTGACAGAGATTTTCTTCAATACCAGGAGATTTTACAAGCAAACCAGAAAAAGAGAAAACACAAAACCAAAGAAGCAAACACCTTTCCCAGTCTTTGCAAAGTGGCTCTGATGGAGCACTTCATCAACAATTATCAAGTCTCCCACTGAGACTAAGATTAAGCTTGAGGTGAAAGTTTAGGGTTTTCTATGGTCTTTTCTGAGCATGCATCTCACCCTAATTATGTATGTGGCTTTCTAAGTTCATCCACACACAGGTACTTTTGAGTATCCTAAGTTCCCAAGGAATCTCCTACAGCTTTTGCACCTAGGTTTTAGGCAGTCTATTGTATGCCTCAATCAGTATGCATCTGCCCTAGGCCTCTATAGTTTGTCAGACTCTCTGACAGTATCTTCAAGCAATGCCCATCACTTTTCCAGCTTATGTTCTGAGTTAGGCAAAACAGAGCTCAGAGTCTTGTGTCAATCCTTCAGTGAGCCCACAGACAAATCAGAGCAAACGCAATAATTTACAGTTTCCACAACTCTTAGTGCTGGTTCTAAGAGTTTCTGCTTGTTTTCAACGTTTCTGGGGGTCGAATAAGAGCTTGGAACTGCTCACTTTGCCATTTTGCCATCACTATTCCTCTGCAGTAAGTCATTGCTTTGGGGATTATTTTGTATCTAAAGATAAATTAGGGGGAAACTGTCATCTTAATTATGTTGTTTTCCAATCCAGGAACATTGAAGGCTCTCTACTTATCTAAATCTTCTTTAAGTTCTCTCAGCAATATTTTGTGTTGTTCAATTATAAATCTTGTACTTTTTATTAAATTTAATCCTAAAAATGTGATTCTTCTTAATGATTTTGTGAAACAGTTTTCTTAATTTTATTTTCAGATTATTCATTACTAACATATAAAGACAATTAGTTTTTGTATGTTGATTTATAAAACTGTCTTTATTCACAGACATGATTATTTACTTAGAAAATCCCCCACAAAAAAATCTACAAACAAAAAAGTTGCTATACTTAATAAGTTACTTTAGCAAGTTTGCAGAACACAAGATCAATGTACAAAAATCAATTCTGTTTTATGTACCAACACTGAACAAATGTAAATTGATGTTTTACAACAACACCAAAAAATGAGTCACTTGGAGATAAATCTTACAAAATATGTCCAACACCTATCACTGAAAACTATAAAATTTTGCTTAGAGAAATTAAATAATACCCAAACAAATGGAAAGATAAGCCATGTTCCTAGAGCAGAAGATTCAATATTTGAAACCAAAAATAAAATTCTAAGCCCCTCACTGACTAATGGGAATCCTCCCCTTGGCCAAGGGAGTTTCAAAGAAACCTAAACGATCAGTTCAAGCCATGATGGGAGAGGGGGGTGGGAGGCGTTAGATATGCCTCATTATACTCTCCTCCCGTTGGAATTCAGGCACAGCTGATTAGCATTAACATTTAAAACAGAGACATTAAAACTGATGAAGCAGACTCTTTGTAGCAATAAGATACCAAATTCCAACCTCACCCTAATATAGCATCACATGACAGACAGCAGACCCTAAAAGAAAAGTATTTTGCCCCAAAATATATTTCTTTGACACATTTTTAATGGCCCTACAAAGCTGTCTCTTGTGGGGGCAATCTAAATTCTGTAGAGAATCCCCTTCCCTTTCTGATCCTGAAGAGATTAGCTGAGAGTCTAGCACCTTTTAAAGGTCTAAACAGGAGACATTTGCCATCTATTGCATCTAAAGGTGGCCACCTATGAGATTTCATCTACTTAAAAAGAACTTTGGTCGCCACAACCTTATCCTAATCCGGACATTCCTTTCTATTGATTCCATGGCTTTAGATAATAACTTAATTCTTTCAACCAATTGCCAATCAAAAAATCTTTTAATCTACCTACAACCTGTAAACCCCCATTTCAAGTTGTCCCACCTTTCTGGATCAAACCAATGTGTACCTTACATGTATTGATTGATGTCTGCCTGTAACTTTTGTCTCCGTAAAATGTATAAAATCAAGCTGTAACCTCGGACCTCCTGGGGTTGTGCCCACAGGTCATGGTCCTCACATTTAGCTCAGAATAAATCTCTTCAAATATTTTACAGTGTTTGACTTTTCTCATCAATAATATTATTAAGGTGTCAACTCCATAAATTCATCTTATAGACTCAATGCCATTCCAATAAAAATCCTACCAGGATCTTCTCTTTCTCTTTCTTTGTTAATCTAGCTAGGAGTCTATCAATCTTAGTTATTTTTTTGAAGGACAAACTTGGTTTCATTGATCTTTCGTATGGATTTTTGCATCTCGATTTTATTAAGTTCTTCTCTAATTATTTCTTTGGATTGGTTTGTTCCTTTCTCTCTAGTTCCTTTAGGTGTAAAGTTAGATTGTTAATTTGGGACCTTTCTAACTTCTTGATGAAGGCATTTAGGGCTACAATCTTTCTTCCTAATGCTGTATCTCAGAGATTTTTGAAGATTATGTCCTTATTTTCATTAATTTTAAATAATCATTTTTTATTTCTACCTTAATTTTTATGTTCACTCAGGACTTATTCAGGAGTAAGTTGTTTAATTTCCATGTATTTTTGTAGTTTTCCAAGATCTTATTGGTATTTATTTCTATTTTCATTGCACTATGGTCTCAGAATGTGCTTGGTATTATTTCGATTTCTTTTGAATTTATTGAAACTTGCTTTATGACTGAGAATGTGGTCAATCTTAGAATATGTTCCATATGCAGATGGGAAGAATGTATGTTCTGTGGTTGTTGGAGTGTTCTGCAGATGTCTATTAGGTCCAATTGGTCAAGTGTTGAGTTTAAGTCCAGAGTTTTTTGGTTAGTTTTTTGACTTGGTGATCTATCTAACACTGTCAATAGGGTGTTGAAATCTCCCACTATTATTGTGTGGTACTGTAAGTCTTTTTACAGCTCAAGAAGTTGTTTTATGAATCTGGGTGCTACACGGTTGGGTGCACAAATATTTAGGATAGTTAAGGTTTCTGGTTGGATTGTATCCTTACTATGTTATGCCCTTCATTGTCCTTCTTAATTTTTATTGGTTTAAAGACTGTTTTATCTGATGTAGGAATAGAGTCTCCTGCTCTTTTTTAATTTCCATTTGCATGGTAGATTTTACTCCACCCTTTTATTTTGAGCCTGTGGGTGTCATTACATGTGAGAAAGAGAAGATCCAAATAAGCACAATCAGAAATGACGAAGATGACATTACAACTGATCCCACAGGATTATAAAAGATCTTCAGAGATGAGTATGAATAACTCTATGTACACAAATTATAAAATCTAGAGGAAATGGATAAATTCCTGGAAGCACACAATCTCCCAAGACTGAATTAGGAAGAGATTGAAAACCTGAATAAACCAGTATCAACATCTGAAAGAACCTATCAACCAAAAAAAGCCCTGGGCCAGATGGATTCATAGCCAAATTCTACCAGAAGTACAAAGAAGAACTGATATCAATACTACTCAAACTATTCCAAAAAATCAAGAAGGAGGGGCTCTGCCCCAACTCACTCTATTAAGCCAGCATCAGCCTGATACCAAAATCTGGCAGAGACACAGTGAAAAGAGAAAACTTCAGAACAATATCCCTCATGAACATAGATGCAGAAGTCCTCGACAAAATACTAGCAAATAAAATCAAGTAGCACATCGGAAAGTTAATATGCCACAATCAAGTAGGCTTTATTCCTGTGATGCAAGACTGTTTCAATGTACACAAATCAATAAATGTGTTTCACCACATAAACAGAATCAAAAGCAAAACTGTATGATCATCTCAATAGATGCAGAAAAAGCTTTAGATAAAATCCAACAGCCCCTCATGATAAAAATCCTCAACAGACTAGGCACTGAAGGAATGTACCTCATAATACTGAGAGCCATCTATGACAAACCTACAGCCAGCATCATACTGAATGGGCAAAAGCTCAAACCATTCCCCTTGAGAGCTGGAACAAGACAAGGATGCACATTTTCACCACTCCTATTCAACAGAGTATTAGAAATTCTAGCCAAAGCAGTCAGGCAAGAGGAAGAAGTAATAGCCATCCAAACAAGAAAAGAGGAAGTCAAGCTATCTCTCTTCACGGACAATATGATTCTATACTTAGAAAATCCTAAAGACTCCTAGAATTGATAAATGACTTTAGTAAAATTTCAAGATACAAAATCAAATGTACAAAAATCAACAGCATTTCTATACAACAATAAAGTCCAAATGGGAGTGAAATGAAGAACACAATCCCACTTACACTAGCCACAAAGAAAATGAAACACCTGCCCTCTCCCTCTCCCTCTCCCTCTCCCTCTCCCTCCCCCTCCCCCTCCCCCTCCCCTTCCCCCCCCCCTCCCCCTCCCCCTCCCCCTCTCCCCGGTCTCCCTCTCATGCGGGGCCGAAGCTGGACTGTACTGCTGCCATCTCGGCTCACTGCAACCTCCCTGCCTGATTCTCCTGCCTCAGTCTGCCGAATGCCTGCGATTGCAGGCACGCGCCGCCACGCCTGACTGGTTTTGGTGGAGACGGGGTTTCGCTGTGTTGGCCGGGCCGGTCTCCAGCCCCTAACCGCGAGTGATCTGCCAACCTCGGCCTCCCGAGGTGCCGGGATTGCAGACGGAGTCTCGTTCACTCAGTGCTCAATGGTGCCCAGGCTGGAGTGCAGTGGCGTGATCTCAGCTCACTACAACCTACACCTCCCAGCCGCCTGCCTTGGCCTCCCAAAGTGCCGAGATTGCAGCCTCTGCCCGGCCGCCACCCCGTCTGGGAAGTGAGGAGTGTCTCTGCCTGGCCGCCCATCGTCTGGGATGTGAGGAGCCCCTCTGCCTGGCTGCCCAGTCTGGAAAGTAAGGAGCATCTCCGCCCGGCCGCCATCCCATCTAGGAAGTGAGGAGCGCCTCTTCCCAGCCGCCATCACATCTAGGAAGTGAGGAGCGTCTCTGCCCGGCCACCCATCGTCTGAGATGTGGGGAGCGCCTCTGCCCCGCCGCCCCATCTGGGATGTGAGGAGCACCTCTGCCCGGCCGAGACCCCGTCTGGGAGGTGAGGAGCGTCTCTGCCCGGCCGCCCCGTCTGAGAAGTGAGGAGACCCTCTGCCTGGCAACCACCCCGTCTGAGAAGTGAGGAGCCCCTCCGCCCAGCAGCTGCCCCGTCTGAGAAGTGAGGAGCCTCTCCGCCCGGCAGCCACCCCATCTGGGAAGTGAGGAGCGTCTCCGCCCGGCAGCCACCCCGTCCGGGAGGGAGGTGGGGGGGGGGCAGCCCCCCGCCCGGCCAGCCGCCCCGTCCGGGAGGTGAGGGGCACCTCTGCCCGGCCGCCCCTACTGGGAAGTGAGGAGCCCCTCAGCCCGGCCAGCCACCCCGTCCGGGAGGGAGATGGGGGGGTCAGCCCCCCCACCCGGCCAGCCGCCCAGTCCGGGAGGGAGGTGGGGGGGTCAGCCCCCCGCCTGGCCAGCCGCCCCGTCCGGGAGGGAGGTGGGGGGGTCAGCCCTCCGCCCGGCCAGCCGCCCCGTCTGGGAGGTGAGGGGCGCCTCTGCCCGGCCGCCCCTACTGGGAAGTGAGGAGCCCCTCTGCCCGGCCACCACCCCGTCTGGGAGGTGTGCCCAACAGCTCATTGAGAACGGGCCAGGATGACAATGGCGGCTTTGTGGAATAGAAAGGCGGGAAAGGTGGGGAAGAGATTGAGAAATCGGATGGTTGCCGTGTCTGTGTAGAAAGAAGTAGACATGGGAGACTTTTCATTTTGTTCTGCACTAAGAAAAATTCCTCTGCCTTGGGATCCTGTTGATCTGTGACCTTACCCCCAACCCTGTGCTCTCTGAAACATGTGCTGTGTCCACTCAGGGTTAAATGGATTAAGGGCGGTACAAGATGTGCTTTGTTAAACAGATGCTTGAAGGCAGCATGCTCGTTAAGAGTCATCACCAATCCCTAATCTCAAGTAATCAGGGACACAAACACTGCGGAAGGCCGCAGGGTCCTCTGCCTAGGAAAACCAGAGACCTTTGTTCACTTGTTTATCTGCTGACCTTCCCTCCACTATTGTCCCATGACCCTGCCAAATCCCCCTCTGTGAGAAACACCCAAGAATTATCAATAAAAAAATAAATTAAAAAAAAAAAAAGAAAAACACCTAGGAATACAGCTAACCAAGGAGTTGAAAGATTTCTATAAGCACTACAAAACATTGCTGAAAGAAATCAGAGGTGACGCAAATAAATAGAAAAACATTTCATGCTCATGGACTGGAATAATCAATATCATAAAAATGTCCATACTGCCCAAAGCAATGTACAGATTCAATGCTATTCCTATCAAACTACCAACGTTCTTTACAGATTCAGAAAAAACACTATTCTAAAATCCATATGGAACCAAAAAAAGAGACCAAATTGCCAAGGCAATCTTAAAGCAAAAAGAACACAGCTGAAGGCATCACGTTACCCAACTTCAAACTACACAATAGAGCCACAGAAACCAAACAGCTTGGTATGGGCACAAAAACAGACACACAGACCACTGGAACAGAATAGAAAACTCATAAATAAAACCTGACACCTACATCTATCTGATCTTTGACATGGCCAATATAAACAAACAATGAGGAGAGGACTCCCTATTCAATAAATGGTGCTGGGATAACTGGCTAGCCATATGCAGAAGATTGAAGCTGGACCCCTACCTTTCACCATTTGTAAAAAGTAACGCAAAATAGATTAAAGATTTAAATATAAGACCTCAAACTATAGAAATCCTGGAAGACAACTTAGGAAATACTCTTCTTGACATCAGCCTTGGCAAATAATTTTTGACTAAGTCCCCAAGAGCAATTGCAACAAAAATTGACAAGTGGGACCTAATTAAACTCAAGAGCTTCTGCACAGCAAAATGAACTATCAACAGGGTAAACAGACAACCTACAGAATGAGAGAAGATACTTACAAACTATGCATCTGACAAAGGCCTAATATCCGGAATCTATTAGGAACTTAAACAAATCAACAAGCAAAAAACAAGTAACCCCGGCCGGGCACAGTGGCTCACGCCTGTAATCCCAGCACTTTGGGAGGCCGAAGCGGGTGGATCACCAGGTCAGGAGGTGGAGACCATCCTGGCTAACATGGTGAAACCCCGTCTCTACTAAAAATACAAAAAAATTAGCTGGGCTGGGTCTTCTGAGGCAGGGCAGAGTGTTGAATCTGGGCTGCCATCTCCACCACACTGACTATTAGAATATAGTGGAGCAGGCCGGGTGCGGTGGCTCACGCCTGTAATCCCAGCACTTTGGGGGGCCGAGGCGGGAGGATCACACAGTCAGGAGATCAAGACCATCCTGGCTAACACGGTGAAACCCCATCTCTACTAAAAATATAAAAAAATTAGCTGGGCGTGGTGGCGGGTGCCTGTAGTCCCAGCTACTCGGAAGGCTGAGGCAGGAGAATGGCGTGAACCTGGAAGGCAGAGCTTGCAGTGAGCTGAGATCGCATCACTGCACTCCAGCCTGGGCGACAGAGCAAGATTCCGTCTCAAAAAAAAAAAAAAAAAAAACAAGTAACCCCATTAAAAAATGGCAAAGGACGTGAACAGATACTTCTCAAAAGAAGACATACAAGTGGTGAACAAACATATGAAAAAGCGCTCAGCATCACTAATCACCAGAGAGATGCAAATTAAAACCACAATGAGATACCATCTCACACCAGTCAGAATGGCTATTATTTTAAAAATCAAAAAACAACAGATGCTGGTGAGGCTACAGAGAAAAGGGAATCCTTATGCACTGCCGGTGGGAATGCAAATTAGCCCAGCTACTGTGGAAAGCAGTCTGGAGATTTCTTAAAGAACTTAAAACAGAGCTACCATTAAACCAAGCAATCCCATTATTGGGTAGATATGCAAAAGAAAAATCATTCTACCAAAAATTCATGCACTCATATGTTCATCACTGCACTATTCATAATAACAAAAACATGGAACCAACCCAGGTGTCCATCAATGCTAGACTGGATAAAGAAAATGTGGTTCATATACATCATGGAATACTATGCAGCCATAAAAAAGAGTAAAATCCGCAGGGCACGGTGGCTCACACCTGTAATCCCAGCACTTTGGGAGGCGGAGGTGGGCGGATCACCTGAGGTCAGGAGTTTGAGACCAGCCTGGCCAACACGGTGAAACCCCGTCTCTATTAAAAATACAAAAATTAGCTGGGCGTGGTGGCGAGCAACTATAATCCCAGCTGCTTGGGAGGCTGAGGCGAGGTAATCGCTTGAACCCGGGAGGTGGAGGTTGCAGTGAGCAAAGATTGCACCACTGCACTCCAACCTGGGCAACAAGAGCGAAACTCCATCTCAAAAAGAAAGAATGAAATCATCTCCTTTGCAGTAACATAGATGGAGCTGGAAGCTATAACCCTAAACAAATTAATGCAGGAACAGAAAACCAAATACCTCATGTTCTCACTTATAAATGGGAGTTATGCATTGAGCACACATGGACATGAGTGTAGGAACAATAGACACTGTGGAATACTAGAGGATGAAGGAAGGGGGAGTGGGTTAAAAAAATAAAAAACTACTTATCAGGTACTAGACTCATGACCTAGGTGACGGGATCCATACTCCAAACCTCAACATCACATAATATTCTCATGTAACAAATCTGCACATGGGTACCCCCATATCTAAAATAAACGTTGAATTTTAAATTTTTACACACACTGTATGATTTCATGTATATAACATTATCAAAATGGCAAAATTCTAGAGATGAAAAACAGATCAGTGATTTCCAGGGGTTAAAGATGGCAGGGGGAGGGGTATGTAACTTAAGGGTTGTGTGAGGGATTTCTGTACGGAATCTGAGATTACGATGGAATAGGTCTATATCTTGATTATAGTAGAGGTTACATAAAGCTACCCAAGTGATAAAATGACAGACAGACACACACACACACACACACACACACAGTACAAAAAAAAATCCCAGCAGGAATGTTACATAAATCAACAAAATGATGATAGAATTTATATGGGAAGGCAAGTGGCATCGAATAGCCAAAGCAATCTTGAGAAAGAACCACGTTAGAGGGCTCACACCATTTGATTTCAGAACTCTTCATAAAGATTCAAGATAGTGTGATATTCATGACATGATAATCACATAGACTGATGGAACAGAATAGAGATTTCAGGGGGCCAGGCACGGTAGCTCACGCCTGTAATCCCAGCACTTTGGGAGGCCGAGGTGGGTGGATCACTTGAGGACAGGAGTTTGAAACCAGCTGGCCAACATAGTGAAACCCCGTCTCTACTAAAAATACAAAAAAAATGGCCGGGCGCGGTGGCTCACGCCTGTAATCCCAGCACTTTGGGAGGCCGAGGCGGGCGGATCACGAGGTCAGGAGATCGAGACCATCCTGGCGAACATGGTGAAACCCCGTCTCTACTAAAAATACAAAAAATTAGCCAGGCGTGGTGGCGGACGCCTGCAGTCCCATCTAATCGGGAGGCTGAGGCAGGAGAATGGCGTGAACCCGGGAAGCGGAGCTTGCAGTGAGCCGAGATCACGCCACTGCACTCCAGCCTGGGCAACAGAGCGAGACTCCGTCTCAAAAAAAAAAAAAAAAAAAAAAAATTAGCTGGGTGCAGTGGTGGGCACCTATAATCCCAGCTACTTGGGAGGCTGAGGCAGGAGAATCGCTTGAACCCAGAAGGCAGAGGTTGCAGTAAGCCGAGATAACACCACGGCACTCCAGCTGGGCACAGAGCGAGACTCCGTCTCAAAAAAGAATAGAGAGTTCAGAAATAAATCAACAGATAAATGGACAATGTATTTTTGACAAAGATACAAGGCAATTTAATGGACAAAGGAGTCTTTTCAACAAACGGTCCTGGAACAATTGGACATCTATAAGCAAAATATAAATAAACCCAGCAGCATATGCAAAAATTCACTCAAAATGGATTATATGCCTAAATGTAAAACCTAAAACTACAACACTTCTAAAAGAACAAACAGAAGAAAATCTTTGTGATCTTGGGTTAAGCAAAGATTTCTTAGATACAACACCAAAAGTATACTCCATAAAAGAATAATTGATAAATTGGACAACATCAAAATTAAAAATTTCTGCTCTCCAAAAGAAATGAAAAAATAATAATGCAAAGACAAGCACAAACTGTCAGAAGATAATTGGGAAAAATGCATTTTATAAAAAAAAGTTGTGTTGAGAATATATAATGAATCACAAACCCCATAATAGGAAAACAAGCAGACCTCACTCTCCAAATATATAAAACCATAATAAGGTGCCTCTAAATACTTATTAAAATGGCTAAAATTAAAAGTACAGTCAATATTAAGTGCTGACAATGACGCAGAGGACTGGAGCTCTCATGTATTGCTGGTGAAAATGCAAAATGGTACAGCTTCCTTGGAAAGCAATTTGGCCTTTGCTTAGACAGTTAAACATATATTTATCAAATAACTCAGCAATCTCATTCTTAGGCATTTATCCAAGGGAAATTAAAATTTACATTCACATAAAAACCTGTATGCCAATGCTTATACTGGTTTTATTCATAATTACCAAAACTTGGGAACAATCCAAGTGCCCTTCAAGAGGAGAATGAATAAACAAAGTGTGATATGTCCACACAACTCCACTCAGCAATAAAAAGAAACACAACTTGGATGAAGCTCAAATGCATTATACAAAGTAAAAGAACCAAACTCAATGGTTCCATTTATTTGACATGCTTGAAACAGGCCAAAATGTAAAAACAGAAAACAGATTGATGGTTAACAAGTGCTGACGGGAAAAGGAAGCAGCCAAAGGAGTTTTTGTGGGGTGATAGAAATATTCCAGATCTTGATTTGCTGACAATTACACAATTGTATGCATTTGTCAAAACTCATAGATCTACTCACCATTTCTGGTGAAATTATACCTCAATTAAAAATACATAAAATAATAGCTTTGAGCAATCTGCAACAGCACTGATAGTGTTTACAACATATTGTTACATTTAAGAAACTACAAAGCAAGAGATACACTCTGAGCACAATTATGTAAAAACTTGTATTACATATAGGAAAGACCAGAAGGGAACACAGATAAATGCAAGCAGACAGTAATGATTGTGTTAGAGGCACGATGTTGTGTTCTCCCTTCGACCTCCAAATTTTCAGCAATATATTTATTTTCACTTGATAATGAAATACAGTAACCAATCCATGACAGATGTAAACGCTGCCTTAAATAATTTATCTTCATTATTTTTAACATATTCTCTCTAATTTGCTTCCCTGTCCAATCTGCCATCAAATATATTCCTGCTAAGTGGAAGACCAAAAGGTAATTAGCTAATTTTGAAAGGGCAAATTTCAAGGTCAATTAATTCCTGATTTGTGAAAACAATTAGAAAAAATTAATTACATTTTCCACTGATTAGAAATAAACCTTCCCACACAATCTTGCCTTTAAAAAAAATAGATAATTTGGCCGGGCGCGGTGGCTCACACCTGTAATCCCAGCACTTTGGGAGGCCGAGGCGGGTGGATCATGAGGTCAGGAGATCGAGACCATCCTGGCTAACAAGGTGAAACCCCGTCTCTACTAAAAATACAAAAAATTAGCCGGGCGCGGTGGCGGGCGCCTGTAGTCCCAGCTACTCGGGAGGCTGAGGCAGGAGAATGGCGTGAACCCGGGAAGCGGAGCTTGCAGTGAGCCGAGATTGCGCCACTGCAGTCCGCAGTCCGGCCTGGGCGACAGAGCGAGACTCCGTCTCAAAAAAAAAAAAAAAAAAAAAATAGATAATTTAAGTCTGTCAATCTGACAACCAATTGTATTTAAGTACATCTGTCATTCTTACATACTATTTTGAGATACAAAAAAAATTGATTCAAAATTTTCTGAGATTTAATTAGGCAAAGCAAATGGGAAAGAGAGAGTGGAGAGAGTGGGGAAGTCTGTGTGTCACTCTGTGCTTAATTTGTTTTTTTTTTTTTTTTGAGACAGAGTTTCACACTTGTTGCCCAGGCTGCGGTGCAATGGTGAGATCTCAGCTTACTGCAACCTCAGCCTTCCAGGTACAAGCAATTCTCCTGCCTGAGCCTCCAGAGTAGCTGGGATTATAGGCATGTGCCACCAGGCCCGGATAATTTTGTATTTTTAGTAGAGACGGGGTTTCTCCATGTTGGTCAGGCTGGTCTCGAACTCCTGACCTCAGGTGATCCACCTGCCTCAGCCTCCCAAAGTGCTGGGATTACAGGCATGAGCCACCGCACCCAGCCCTGTGCTTAGTTTTTTTATGAATAAAATTAGCATATTAGATTAAAAAATTCATCTTTAATTTGGCAATTTTGTTTGTTCCATGTCATTACGATTGTATGGACAAGACGTATTCCTCTAACAAAAGGGTGGAAGTCCTCAGCTAGGACAGGGGAAACAGCCCTGAGGAATGTCCAGCAGCGTTCCAGGGCTGGACATACAGAGCAGGCGCAGGGTCCCAAAGACAAGGGTTGAGGTGCCCAGAGAATGAAGTCTGCTTTCTCCATATGTCTTTGTGGTTGGTTCCCTCTGTTATAGGACTACTATTAAAGGAGGGTAAAACTGCGACTCACGTCCCAATATAAAATGAATGCAGGTCAATATTTTGTTTAACTCATCAATTAGAAGAAACTGATAAGACGCAAAAAACCACACAAACATGGGCAATTAGAAATGCTGAATTGGGCCAGAAGCGGTGGCTCATGCCTATAATCCCAGCACTTTCGGAGACCGAGGCAGGTGGATCACGAGGTCAGGAGATCGAGACCATCCTGGCCAACATGGTGAAACCCCGTCTCTACTAAATATACAACAATTAGCCGGATGTGGTGGCGAGTGCCTGTAGTCCCAGCTACTCGGGAGGCTGAGAAGGAGAATCGCCTGAACCTGGGAGGCAGAGGTTGCAGTGAGCCGAGATTGCACCACTGCACTCCAGCCTGGGTGACAACGTTGAATTGAACTTACAAATAAATGCAAAACTGGACAATGCATTCCACGGACACAATCCAACTTTACTTCTAGGGAAAAGAGTTATTTGCATTATTGTCAGCTTTCTGATCAGTTGCAAACAGTGAAAGATGCAGATAACCTGGAAGGACTCCAGACTTCCCTTCACTTCCTATAAAAGACACCAATCATCTTTGTGTTCCATTTCCAACTTTTTCACAACAATTTCCTTCATCACTATTCATCTCTGGGGTTGGTGATGCCTGAGTGGCTCCCAGGAATTGGCCTGCTGCTACTCACAGCCTCCAGCAATCCCATCCCTGAGAGTGGGCTGGACCTAGTAGTGACTGGCTTCTAACCAACAGAATACAGAAGGGATGGTGTCACTCCATGATTAGGTCACAAAAGACTATCCCTTGTGCCTGCCCAGATGGAGTGGGCCCCTGGCAATGAGCTGAGATGGCCTCCAGTCAACAGCTGGCAAGGAACTGAGGCCATCCATCCAACAGCCCAGGAAGAACCACACCCGGCCAACAACCACACAGATGAGCTCAGAAGCAGACCTTGCTCCAGCTGAACACTGAGATGCTATGGTTAGAGCCATACATGACAACTTGTCCCAGCCTGTGAAGACCCTGAGCAGAGGACCTAGGTCAGCTGTGCCCAGATTTCTGACCCATGAAACTGAGAAAATAAATATGTACTCTTTTAAGCTGCTAAGTTTGGGAGAAATTTGTTACCTGGCAATAGATCCTGAATTCACTCTTCCTTCCAGCTTTCTTTATATGTATATCCTGCCTTGTTTCACACAGATTTTAATCATTTTAAGAAAATACCGAGTAACCAGTTTGTGCACAGGTGATGTAACTGACCCAAGAAATTGCACCTGAGCTGCCTGGGAGCCAAAGGAAAAAGGGGACACGGCAGGCTACAGCCTCTGCCTGCTTCTCTCCTGCAGAAACAACAGAAAACGAGGCTACAAGGGGATGATTCCCTGAGAGCTAAAACATAGGCCAGTACAGTCCCCCAAATTACCTTTTCAACGCAGTCTGAAGCAATCTATTTGCAGCATCTCATAGTGTTCTTTCGTTCTGCTCATTCTCTTCACAACTGAACCCATAATAGATGAGTTTGACTTCATTGAGGCTAAGGGGTTTGCTGGTTTCCACATACCTGAGACTCCCACCTATGGTAGATTCAAAGACTTACGTATCTTTTCTCTGATAAGATTACTGTTTTTTTTTTTTTCATTTTCTGCCTATTTTCATGAAACAAGAAGGGCAAAATGTAATAAAACTCTTCAGTAACCTTTAGCCTGAGATGACAGTGCTGGGATACTGTGTACATGGCCACCAGGCGACATGGCCACACACCTGCCCAGGAGTGTGCTGTTTCAGGGGGCTCACCTAGGGCCATGTGGGCAACAGCCTGTGCCCTCCACACTCAGACATTCACACCAGTGAGCCCTTCCCCCGAGAGCCCGCACTGTGGGTGGGTTGGGCCAACACACCATTCTCCTCATGGTGCTGAGAGCTGCCCCTTGAGGCTGCGGTTCCCTGTTGCTCCTCCTCCTGGGAGAAGCTCCGCATGGGAGGTGTGGCTCACTCATGAGGGCTCATGCCTGTGGACAAGGGTGGCACCTTCTGGCATCTCCACACTCAGCCTAGGTAGTTGCCAGTGCCATCCCGACACCCCCTCCCCGTGCCCTGCGCAGGCTGTGGGGTCAGGGCACCCTCACCCTCCCTTCACTGGACCACCACACCTGCCAGCTCCTGCCCCCATGTGCCTGCACCTGTCAGCACCTCCCCACGCTCTCCTTCCTCCTCCACCTGGAATCCTGCCTGGCTGCCCAGGGCCTCCTGCCTGTGGAGCTCATGACAGGCCCCAGTCTGCCCCTGGTACACCATACATCGAAGCAAGAAGTGAGGTCAAAGAACTTGGAACATATGCAACATATGCTCTTCTGGTTTTCCCAATTCTTGTCTCACTGGAAGCTGAACATTACCTTCCATCACTCACATCCTGGCTGGGACAATCCTGCTGCCTCATCTGCCTCCCCATGCACAGGCCACACAGTCCTTCCGGCCATATTAGACACTTCCCAACAAAACACTCTTTAAAGAAAAGGAAAAGGCAAGCTCCTCGCTGGGAGAAGATCCTGCAACATGGGACCAGAGAAAGTTAATACTCAGAATATTCCATATGAATCTGGGGGGAACAGACACATTCAGTGTATAACAGAGAACATTTGCTGCAGGCTGTTTTTAATAGCACATACTGGGGGATGAGGAGCAGAAACTGAAAAGCCGCCAACAGGAGAACATGTATTAATGGTAGCATATTCACATAATGAAATTCTATGCAAGGAGTTCACACGAATGAACGAGAGCTACAGGCATCAGCACAAAGAAACCTCAAAACACATTGCCAAAGAGAGCAACTCAAAGTTTCACCACTTGCAAAAGGACAGCATAGACTGTAAGTCAATAGAAACATTCAGTGAAAGCATGAGCACGCAAGCTGGGGAGCTCCCCCTGGAGCGGGCAGGATGACAGCAGCAGCATGCACCACACCCGCATGCAATTCTGTGGTGCTTTGTTAAAGGCTGGAGAGACCATCAGTACTGCAGGGGTCGGAGCTCTGGCTGTGGGAACGAGGATCCTCAGATCTGCCATGTAATCGATATGGCCCAACAAAGACAGTCAGAGACACCTACTCATAGGATGCTGCTTTTCTCATTACAAGGACATCTATGTGAACTGCAAATTATGGGTTTGCAGTATAAGCATTGACATGTAAAAACCATTCATTGTCTTTACATAAGTAAATATTTAAAGATGTATCAAATTTTTTCTTAAGGAATGAAATCATGTCTTTTGCAGCAACATGGATGTAGCTGGAGGCCATTATCCAAGCGAATTAACCCAGGAACAGGAAACCAAATACCACATATTCTCACGACAAGTGGGCGCTAACCCCCGGGTGCACATGGACATAAAGAAGGCAGCAGGGAACACTCGGACCACACAGGGGCGGGAGGAGGGATGGTGGAAAAGTAACTATTGGGTACCATGCTGACTACCCGGGTGATCAGTCGTACCCCAAACCTCAGCATCACACAATATACCCAGGTAACAAACCTGCACATTTAACCCCTGAATCTAAAATAAAAGTTGAAATTATTTTTAAATTTCCTTTTATGTAAATTCTGACTTTTCTGACATGAAAAACAATACTCAGTTAATTCACTTGCTATATGTATAGAAATAAGGCATGCCCTCAGAGACATACGCTTTCCAAAATTGCAGAATAATTGCAATACTTTAAATAATATATTAAGTGTTAAGTCTTCATGCTACAAACTCTTTTTTCTATTTTTATTATCTTTTGGAGCTAAATTAAGTTCATCATATTTTACAAATATCAGTCATCAAAAACTAAGCCAGGAAAGTGATCTAATGCTGGAAAAATTCTTGCAAAATTTCTGGAAATTTTTCCCACAACAAACGTGGGGGAACGATGCTCATGGAAACCCAATCTGTGTGAAGTCCACATTTACAAGATGGCACTATTTTAAACTCACCTCCCTTTTGTGAGGAATGAAGCAAACTCCTGGCCTGCAGGAGCCCAAGAGCTCTGCCCGGCAGCCCCCCTGGGGCAGGAGTGCGAGGGGTCAGCTCCACCGGCTCCCCGAGGAAGCCTGCGCTTGCCGGCCACAAGTTCAGCGAGTCCGCTGGGCACGGACGTCTGCAGGAGCTCCACCGCCGGCGCGCCGGGGTACCGCCTGCCGTCTCTGCCCTCCAGATGCATGCTCCACTGCCAGTCTTCTCTCTAGGGCAGCCAGAAAGAAACCACTCTTCATGAAAGGCACACTGAGACTAACGTTTGCACCTTGGGAGTCCGTACAATAGGAAGGTTGCTTCTTCGGAGGCGGTCCCAGAGTTCCAGCATCCTAACCACGCAAGAGCATTTCACCCTAGTGAGAAGTGAAGCCAGCTGGACTTCCTGGGTGGAGTGGGAACTTGCAGAACATTTCTGTCTAGCTAAAGGATTGTAAATGCACCAATCAGCACTCTGTGTCTAGCTAGAGGATTGTAAATGCACCAATCAGCAATCTATAAAATGGACCAATCAGCACTCTGTACAGTGGACCAATCAGCACTCTGTAAAATGGACCAATCAGCAGGACGTGGGCGGGGACAAATAAGGGAATAAAAGGCTGGCTACCCCAACACGCTGGACTCCCCTACTAATCTGTGGATACTTTCGATGTTTTGGTTTTCACAGTAAATCTTGCTGCTGCTCACTCTTTGGGTTTGTGCCACCTTTAAGAGCTGTAACACTCACCGGGAAGGTCTGCAGCATCATTCTTGAAGTCAGTGAGAGCAAGAACCCACCAGAAGGAACCAACTCCGGACACCCTAGCAGTGGCCTAAGTGTTCAGCAACAGAGAGCTAGTTAAGTAGATTGTGATGTGTGCACAGCATGAAATTCTGTGCTACATTTAAAATGATCTAAGAGATGGTTCTTGTTATTGGGAAATGCTATGGATGTGTAAAGAATAAGGACAAGTGGTACACTGTGATGTTTTTATTGAAATAAATATGTATAAATTACATACATACAACAGAGGCCCAAAAGACACACCCTCCAAAACATGGCTACCTCTGGATGGCGAAAGTGCCCACGGGGGTCCTTTTTCTTTGGTTTTGTTTGATCTATGATTTTCACATTTTTTGCATTTAGCAAATTAATACTATTCTGGTGAGAATATAATAATACCTACAATAAAAGTAAGAACTATTCCTATACCTCTAAAGTAATGCTGTCCTACTTTGGGGCTTATATTTCAAACCACTCACCATTTTATTTTTTGCATTTTCAAGCAGCCGACAGCACCAGAAATGACCTTTGGCCTTGCAGCCACTTGGTTTGCTGTCCAGGGTTGCTGGGAAGCCAGGACTGACTGTGCACTTTGGCCATGCAGGATGTCTGGCGCTGAGATGCAGAGGCACGTGCTGGGGCTGGAGTTAGCACAGTAGTGTATCACCACTCCTAATCGCCTGTTTCACATACAGTCTTCACAATGCCCCATGAGCACAGAATTCCAGTGGACCCAGGATGAAAGGAGTTTGCTGTGACTCAAAGCAAGTACAAGACGTGTGATGGCTACAGCTGAGTAAGCCAAGCACTGACAGCCCCAGACGCACACTTCCTGGTGGAGCCAGAACTTACTTCAAATATAGAAAAACATGACATTCGAAGAAACCTGAACGACCAAGGAAGTCCATATATCCTTCTCACCATTGTTATTTCCCTGCTTTAACCAACCACTTATGCTGAGAGTGATCACTCACAAACCAGTGAGCCGAAGGCAGGCCATGTCGGCAGAATGTTCTTGTATCATAAAAGTGAGATAAAACAGTTGCATTGGTTTTAGACAGTGGCTCCACTACCTGGTAAGAACAAAGTACAAATGTACATACCAGCTATAAAAAAGTTGTCTGATTTCACAAATTCCACGCATGAGCTAAATGTTTCAATATTTGCATTTGAAACTGATGTGGCATGATATAAAGATGACTAGTAAAAGTAATGCTAACAATTTAAAATTTAAATTTTTTTATTTAGAATAATGACATTAAATACCAATTTAAAAGCACCATGACAAGCCAAGAGAGAGAGACTATGGAAGAAAGGAGAAAACTTTATCCTTACCATTAATGGCATTTTCCCTGGTTTTTGAACAAAGGGCCTCACAAATTATGTAACTGGTCCTGCTGAGACTTTAGAGGGGGTCCTCCTGCTCTCCATTGACAATTCCAGGGCGCCATTGCCCCTCCTAAAACACCCAGCTTCTTTAGAAGAACATGCCATTGGAATTGCCACAGACTGAATGTGTATGTGCCCTCCAACAAACTCAGAGGCTGAAACCCTGCCCTGTAATGGGATGGTATTCAGAGGTGGGGTCTCAGGGAGGTGACTGGGATTTGGAGAGGCCCTGAGGGTAGAGCTCTCATGAATCAGCTCCAGACCCTTCTGAGAGTCGTGGGAGAGCTCAGCTCCTCTCTCCACCATGTGTGGACACGGCGAGAAGATGCTGTCTGTGAACCAGGAGGTGGGCCTCCCCAGACACGGAATCTGTTGGTGCTGTGATCTGAGACTTCACAGCCTCCCAAACTGTGAGAAATTATGTTTGTGGCATAAGTCATCAGTTTATGATGTTTTGTTACAGCAGCATGAATGGACTCACACAGGAACATACCACCCACCCTTAGTGCAACAAATGTCCATTCTCTTTCAGGCCATGTCCCTTCTCCAAGACCTCACTCCCCTCTTTCCCAGTGGAGCCTCTCTGGTCCAGCAAACACCCTCCTCTTACTTGCCCCAACTCATTCTCTCAAACTTACCTGATAAACGAGTTTTTTATTGCTGCAAAACAAATCACCACAAAGTGTACCTGTTAAAAAGCACACACGTGTATAATCTCAGAGTTTCTGTGGGTCAAGGCCAGGGTGGCTCAACTGGGTTGTCTGCTTGGGATCTCAAGGGGCCACTGGGCTGTGATCTCATCTGGAAGCTCAACTGGGGAAAAATCTGCTGCCAAGGTCACTCAGTGCAGACAGGATCCATGTCCTCGTGGCTGCATGACTCAGGGCTGCAGCTTCTTGCTGGCTGTGGGCCAGCAAGAAGTTTATGGTGTTTTGTTACAGGAGGCCCCCTCAGAGGCCCCCTTCACCCCAACAGGCTCCTGCATCCTCACCATGTGGGCTCCTCCAGTATGTTGGCTTGCCTTTTCAGGCAACAAGGAGCATCTGGAGAGCGAGCAGCAGTGAGGCAGAGTTTTATAGGCTATTACGTGTCAGGGGGACATCCACCACTTTGCTGTATTCTGTCAGCTGGAGGTCAGTCCTGGGTCCTGCCTGCCTACACTCAAAGGGAGGGGACTAAACCAGGGTGTGAACACCAGGAGGTGGGGACCATGGGCCCCTAGAGTCTGCCACCTGTGGCCAAATCCCAACCCTGCTCAGCAGCTGAACATGGCTGTAGAAAACCTTCCTTGCTGCCTATGCCTGCAGATGACATCATATTAGGAACCCCAGGTGGGCCCCAGTACTGCCCAGCAATCCCACCGCACCTCCCCAGACAGTGTACGCGCCTGCTCTCCTTCACTCCCCACTTAAACCCCACACACCCTTCCCCCTTTCACTCCCAGCTGCTGCCTCTGCCTCTTGCTCCCTTCACTGCCTGAATCAGCCGGGGTCCAAGAAGGAAATAGAAGCTACTCTGAGAACTTCTAGAAGGAGCTGGAGCCCCAGAAGAGATGCCCCAAAGAAGAGTGGGGCATCCTCCCTCCCCTAATCTTCTAGAAGAGTCTCCTATTGGCTGAACTCAAGCCAGAGCCCAAGCTGGAGTCAGACACTGGGATTCAGAACACAGTAGGGCAAGAGTGAGGAATGTCTCCAAGAGCAAAACGTCCCAGAATGGCTGTGCTGGCAAAACTAGAAGCAATGAGAATAAAAGCCCAGCCTCTCAAGGACACACTTGTCTACAGCCCTGCCAGGTACAGTGGAGCCCACCTGCTCCCACCCCCGCCCAGACTGCACTGTTGCATTCCTCCCCATCCCAAACCTCACAAGCTGGCATGCAAACATACTGTCCTATCTGCCAACACTAAAAATATACAGCTCAGGACTGGTGCCTTCAGGAAGACAGAGAAGACCTACTTTTCCCTGTTCTTCCTGCTAAGTACAACTAAAAACCTGATGTTTAGAACAAAAAGCCCCAAAGAAGCCTGCCCCCAGCCAAAGGACCAGGAAATGAGTAGCCTAGCAAGACAGAAAGCTTTTAGACAATATCTGTTCTACTGCAGCCTAATACTGCAGACCCACATCCACTCAGGAGAGCAAAGGCTG
Organism: Homo sapiens; assembly: GCF_000001405.40. Taxonomy (NCBI): domain Eukaryota; kingdom Metazoa; phylum Chordata; class Mammalia; order Primates; family Hominidae; genus Homo; species Homo sapiens. The sequence goes on from NW_011332701.1 coordinate 220,281, forward strand.
AGTGGGCACCCTCCAAAGGCTATTACACAGTGCCTGGCCCCCAGTCCTCACAGGGATGCTTCGCAAAAGGCTGAGTAGGGAGTTTGGACATTCACCGTTGCTGAGTGCTAGGGAGTTCCACCTCCTCCCTACACACTCCTCCCCCAATGGCTTAAGTGGGGACCACCATGTGAGGAGGCTGGACTTCATCCCTGCCCTGCAGAAAAGGGACCCCTCTCCTTCCTTGCTGACAGGGTGTCAGAGGAGGCCAAATGGAGAGTCAGGGCATTCACTTCTGCTCAGCAGTAATGAGGCCACTCCCCAGTGGTGTCACTAGAGGTCAGTAATGAGCAGTAATGAGGTGTCCCACCCCACTCAGCCAGGGTGATATCAGCAGAGTCCTAGCGAGAGGCAGAGGTCCCACAACCACCCAGCAATAAGGTGGAATCCTTCCCCATCTTGGGGAACCTGAACTTCTAACCCTATCTGGCAGCAATGAGACAGTGTCAGGCCCTTCTGCTGGCGTGGTGTCAAAGGAAGGCACCTAAACAGAAGGTTTAAGTGGTGATTAGAGTCTTATAAAGCAATACTCAAAATATGCAGGTTTCACTCAAAACCACCTGTCATAGTGATAACCAGGAAAATCTCAACTTGAAAGAAAATAGATGATGACACCAAGATGATGGAGATGTTAGAATTATCTGAAAAAATATTTTTAAATCAGCCAAAATAAAAATGTTTCAAAGAGAAATAAACACATTTGAAACAAATGAAACACAGAAAGTCTCAGCAAATAAGACTCAAATGAAACTGAAAACACAATAGCAAAATTCAAAATGCAAAAATGAACTCAACAGTAAAATGGAGGGGACAGAGAAAAGAATCAATAAGTGGAAGATAGAACAATAGAAATTACTCAACCTGAACAATAGAGAAATATAGTCTAAAACAATTTATCAGAACCTCAGAGACCTATGGGACCATAACAAAAGACCTAACTTTCATATAATCCAAATGCCAGAAGAAGATGATGAAGAGTATGTAGCTTAAAAAGTATTTGACGATCTCATGGCTGAAAACTTCCTAAATGTGGCAAAAGACATAAACCTACAGATTTGAGAAGCTGAGCAAACCCCAAACAAGATAATCCCAAAGAAATCCACACCAACATATATAGTGGGCAAAATTTTAAAAATTAAAAGCAAAGAAAAAGTCTTAAAGAGAGAAATTAAAATGTCCCTACAGGGAAAAAACAATTCAGATGACAGAAACCATGGTGGCCAGAAGAAAATGACATAACATTTTCCAAGTAATGAGAGGAAGGAACAGTCAAGCCAGAAGCCTATATCCAGTGAAAGAAAAATCAAGATGTTTTCAAAGAAAACTAAAAATTTATTGCCAGCAGACCTACCCTGAAAGAATGGCTACAGGAAGTTCTCTAAATAGAAAGGGAAAATGAAAGAATACATTTTAGAACATCAGGAAGGTAAAAGAATATAGGTAAGGAGAGGCATGGTGGTTCACGCCTATAATCCTGGCACTCTGGGAAGCCAAGGCAGGCAGATTCATTGAGCCCAGGAGTTTGAGACCAGCCTGGGCAACATGGCAAAATCCCATCTCTATTAAAAACACAAAAACTTAGCCAGGCATGGTGGTGCATGCCTATAGTCCCAGCTACTCAGGAGGCTGAGGTAGGAGAATCACCTGAGCCAGGAAAGTCGAGGCTTCAGTGAGTCAGGATTGTGCCACTGCACTCAAGCCTGGGTGACAGAGTGAGACCCTATCTCAAAAAATAATAATAAAATAAAAAGTAAGTCCAGGCTGGGCACGGTGGCTCACAACCTGTAATCCCAGCACTTTGGGAGGCCGAGGTGGGTGGATCACCTGAGGTCAGGAGTTTGCCACCAGCCTAGCCAACATAGTGAAACCCCATCTCTATTGAAAATACAAAAAATAGCCAGGCGTGGTGGCAGACACCTGTAATCCTAGCTACTTGGGAGGCTGAGGCAGGATAATCATTTGAACCCAGAAGGCAGAGGTTGCAGTGAGCTGAGACTGCACCATTGCACTCCAGCCTGGGCAGCGAAAGCGAACCTGCATCTCAAAGGAAAAAAAAAAAGGTAAGTCCAAGCAAGATTCTTAACAGATGCATCATGTGCTGTTTTCATTCAGAGAATGCAAGTGCTTAATGGAAATAATTCTGTCATCTACTGTTGATAGCATGCTATTGAATAACATTTATACGTAGGTAAATATGTTTTCCCTCTCCTCTTGATTTTCCTAAATTCTGTTGAATGTTTGAAGCAAAAATTTTAACACTCCTTGATGTGTTTATTAATGTATGCAGAGGGAATCATCAAGACAATTCTATAACAAATGAGAGAGGTAAAGGATGTAAAAGGAGGTACGTTTTCTTGATTTTACTCAAACTGATAAAATGATGGCATCAGTAGACTGTGACAAGTAACATGTATATATACTTTAATACCTAGAACAATGACTTTAAAAGAGATACACCAAGAAACATTATGGATAAATTATCGGGGGAAATTCACCCCCGATATTTCATGTAGGTTCTTTTCTATTTTCCCTAAGTGTCGGCTGGTCTGAGAAATAAAGGGAAATAGTACAAAAGAGAGAAATTTTAAAGCTGGGCATCCAGGGGAGACATCACATGTCGGTAGGTTCCGTGATGCCCCCTGAGCCGTAAAACCAGCAAGTTTTTATTAGTGATTTTCAAAAGGGGAGGGAGTACATGAATAGGGTGTGGGTCACAGAGATCACATGCTTCACAAGGTAATAAAATATCACAAGGGAAATGGAGGCAGGGCGAGATCACAGGACCAGGGCAAAATTAAAATTGCTAATGAAGTTTCAGGCACATGTTGTCTTTGATGACATCTTAATCAGGAGACAGGGTTTGAGAGCAGACAATCGGTCTGACCAAAATTTATTAGGTGGGAATTTCCTCATCCTAATAAGCCTGGGAGCACTACGGGAGACCAGGGCTTATTTCATCCCTCATCGACAACCGTAAAAGACAGACGTCCCCAAAGTGGCCATTCCAGAGGCCTCCCCTTAGGGACACATTCTCTTTCTCAGGGATGTTCCTTGCTGAGAAAAAGAATTCAGCGATATTTCTCCTATTTGCTTTTGAAAGAAGAGAAATATGGCTCTGTTCCTCCCGGCCCACAGGCCACCAGACTTTAAGGTTATCTCCTTTGCTCCCTGAACATTGCTGTTATCCTGTTCTTTTTTCAAGGTGCCCAGATTTCATATTGTTTAAACAATTTGGGCAGTTAACGCAATCATCACAGGGTCCTGAGGTGACATTCATCCTCAGCTTACAAAGATGATGAGATTAAGAGATTAAAGACAGGCATAGGAAATCACAAGGGTATTGACTGGGGAAGTGATAAGTGTCCATGAAATCTTCACAATTTATGTAAAGAGATTGCAGTAAAGACAGGTGTAAGAAATTATAAAAGTATTAATTTGGGGAACTAATAAATGTCCATGAAATCTTCACAATTTATGTTCTTCTACCATGGCTTCAGCTGGTCCCTCCATTCGGGGTCCCTGACTTCCCGCAACAACAAATCAAAATGGAATTCTAAAAAAAATGTTCAATTTACCCATAGCCCTAACATATCAGAAAAAAATGCATTACATGTAAATGGTCTGAATACATCAACTAAAAGACGGATTGGCAGAGTGAATTTAAAAATATGACTCAACTATGCAAGGTCTATAAGAAATTTACTTCTAAAATAACAGTATATGGGTTCACATGGACATAAAGATGGGAACAACAGACACTGGGGACTACTGGAGCAGGGAAAGAGGGTGGAGGTCAAGGCTTGAAAAACTACTTATTGAGGACTGTGCTCACTACCTGGGTGACAGGTTCAGTGGTACACCAAACCTCAGTGTCACACAACATGCCTTTGTAACAACCTGCACATGTAGCCCCAAATCTAAAATAAAAGTTGAAAAATAAAATTAAATAACAATATAGGTAGGGTGCAAGTAAAAGGATGGAAAAAGATATATCATTCAAGCATCAATCCAAAGAAAGTAGGAGCGGTTATATTCACGTAATATATGCTAAACTTCAAGGCAAAGAAAATTACCAGGCACAGAGAGAGACATCTTGTAGTGATAAAAAGGTCACTTTACCAAGAAGACATAGAAATCCTAAACACATATGCACAAAACAACAGAGCTGCAAAATATCTAACACAAAAACTAATAGAACTAAAAGGAGAAAGACACATTTATAGTATAGTTTTATAGTTAGAGACTTAAACATTTATCTCTCAGCAATTAATAGAACTAGACAGAAAATCAGTGCAGTTATAGAAGAACTGAACAACACCATCAACCAATAGAATATAATCAATATTTATGGAACACTCCATCCAACAACAGCAGAATATTCTTACAAAGTGCCTACAGAACATACACCAAGATAGACTACACTTTGGACCATAAACCAAACCTCAACAAATTTAAAAGAATTGAAATCACACAGAGTATTCTGTAGCCACAATGCAATCGAATCAGAAATAAGTAACAAAAAGAGAGGAGGAAAATCTGCACACTTAGAAATTAAACATACTTCCAAATAATCCAGGATTCAAAAAGAAAGTCTCAAGGGAAATCAGAATTATATTGAACTGAATGAAAGTGAAAATATAACATATCAAAATTGACAGAACACAGCTAAATCAGTGATGGGAGGAAATTTACAGCATAAATGCTGGTATCAAAAGGAGAGCAAGTCTCAAAAATAATATAAGCTCTCATCTCAAGAACCTAGAAAAAGAAGAGGAAAATAAACCCAAAGCAAGCAGAAATGAGAAATAATGAAGCTGAGATTAAAAATCAGTGAAATAGAAAACAAATCAACAAAAACAGTAGAAAAAAATCAATGAAACCAAGAGCTACTTCTTTGAAAATATCAATGGAATTAACAATCCTCTAGCAAGACTGGCAAAGAAAAAAAACAGAATGACAGTTATTAATGTCAGGAGTGAAACAGGAAATACCATTACAGACCCTGAAGACATCAAAGAATAATAGTGGTATATCAGATTGCCATTTTACAACTTTACATACATAACTTGGAAAACTTAGTGATTCCTCAAAAAGCACAAATTACTATAACTCACCCAATATAAAATGGGTAATGTCAATAGCTCTGTAATTTCTATTAAGTAAATTAAATTTGAATTTTTACAGAAGAAATCTCTAGGGTCAGATGGTTTCACTAGAGAATTCTACCAAACATTTAACACCAATTCTATACAATCTCTTCCAGAAAATAGAAAATGAGGTATACCTCATCAGTGAGTTTTATGAAGACAATATTACCCTGATACCAAAATCAGATACAGTACAAAGAAAAAATACTACAGGCCAATATCTCTTATGAATATGGTGCAAAAATCTTTAACAAAATATTAGCAAAGGGAATTCAGTAATATATCAAAAGAGCTACACACATAACTAAGTAGGGTTTGTTCCAGGAATGCAAGGCTGGTTCAATGTTCAAAAATCAATCAATGTTGAACATGGAGCTACCATATGACCTAGCAATTCCACTTGTAGGAATATGCCCATGAGAAATGAAAACATATGTCCACACAAAAATGTGTACAATAACATTAATAGGATCATTAGTCATAATACCCTAAAAGTGGAAAGCACCCGGCCCTGCACGGTGGCTCACATCTGTAATCCCAGCACTTTGGGAGGCTGAGGCAGGAGGATCACTTGAGGTCAGGAGTTTGAGACCAGCCTGGCCAACACGGCGAAACCTCGTCTCTACTAAAAATACAGAAATTAGCCAGGCATGGTGATGGGCACCTGTAACCCCAGCTACTTGGGAGGCTGAAGCAGGAGAATCATTTAAATCCAGGAGGCGGAGGTTGGAGTGAGCTGAGATCGTGCCACTGCATTCCAGTCTGGGTGACAGAGCAAGACTCCATCTCAAAAAAACAAAAGTACAAACAACCCAAATGTCCATTACTAAATAAATAAAATGTGGTATATACACACAGTGGATTATTTGACAATAAAAATGAATGGTGTCTGACACATGCTAAAACATGAATAACCTTTGGAAACATGCTCAGTGAAAGAAGCTAGTCACAAAAGGCCACATATTGCCTGACTCCATGTATATATAAAATCTTCAGAACAGGTAAATCCATAGGGAAATAAAATAAAATAAATTAGTTGCTGCTTATGGCTAGGGGAGGGGATAGGGTTGGAGGGAAATGAAGAACAAATGCTAATGAATGTGGAGTTTCACTTGGGTTAATAAAAATGCTCTAAAATTGATCATGGTGATGGTCACACAACTCAGTGAATATACTGAAAAAAAACATTAAATTGTACATTTTTTTTGAAACAGGGTCTCTCTCTGTAAACCAGGCTGGAGTGCAGTGGTGCAATCACGCCTCACTGCAGTCTTGTCCTCCCAGGCTCAGTGATCCTCCCACCTCAGCCCCCAAGTAGCTGGGACCACAGGCACACACCACCACACTCAGCTAATTTTTTATTTTTAGTAGAGATGGGGTCTTACTATGGTGCCCAGTCTGGTCTCAAACTCCTGGGATCAAGTGATCCTCTCACCTTAGCCTCCCAAAGTCCTGGGATTACAGGTATGAATTTGTACACTTTAAATGGGTGAATTATATGGTATTTAATTATAATCTCAATAGAACTGTGAAAAATATCAAGCAATGTAATCTACCATATTAAAAGCTAAAGAAGAAAAATCACATGGTGATATCAATTGATGCAGAAAAAGCATTTAACAAAATTCAACACCTATGCATGATAAAACAAAAACTCTAAGAAAACTAGGAATAGAGAGGAACTTCCTCAGACCTATTAAAGAACATCTGCAAAAGACATAGAGCTAACATTACGCCTAATGGTGAGAAACCTGAAGCTTTCTCAGGAAGACAAGGCAAGAATGTTCCCTCTCACCACTCCTAAACAATTTTCAAAATTCAAAAGTAAACAAAAAAAAAAGTAAAATGGGCAAAGATTTCACTAAGGAGGATATGCACACGGCAACTAAGCACGTGAGAAGACATTCAAGATCGTGAGCCATTAGGGAAATGCAAATTAAAACTATGAGCTATCACTGCACACCTATCAGAAAGGCTGAGATAGAAAACAGGCCAGGCGCAGTGGCTCACACCTGGAAGCCGAGGCAGGCAGATCACCTGAGGTCAGGAGTTCGAAACCAGCCTGACCAACATGGTGTAACCTCGCCTCTACTAAAAATACAAAAATTAGCCAGGTGTGGTGGCGGGCGCCTGTAATCCCAGCTACCGAGGAGACTGAGGCAGGAGAATCACTTGAAACCAGGAGGTGGAAGTTGCAGTGAGCCACTGCACTCCAGCCTGGGCGACAAGAGCAAAACACCGTCTCAAAAAAAAAAAAGAAAGAAAGAAAAAAGAAAACAGAGACAACACCGCCAGCTGCCTAGGACTCGAGAGGCTGGTTCACTCCTGCATCACCAATGGGAATGTAAAATTGTACAGCCACTCTGGAAAGCAGTTTGACAGTTTTTAAAAAAAAACTACAATTGCAACTACCAGCCAACAATTGCACTCCTGGACATTAATCCCAGAGAAATGAAACTTTCATTCACACAAAACCCTACACGCAAATGGTCATAGAAGCTATATGAAAAATTGGAAGCCACGCAGCCGTCTGTCCGTAGGGGAGTGTGAAATAGGCTGCGGTGCATGCATGCCGGGAAGACCACGCCACAATCAAAAGGAACAGACAATTCATACACAGCAACGTAGAGGAATCCAGAGTGAAAATCCTCAGTGAAAAAAAGCAAGTTCCAACAGACTATTTACTCTGATTCCATGACTACAACATTCTTGAAACGGCAAAGTTATATCAATGGGGAACAGGTTAGTGGTTGTCCGGGGTTGAGTAGGGGCTCTCGTTCCACCTCACTTCCTGCCTCTTCCCTGGGAGACAGAGGCCTCTGCTCACCCAGAACTCTCCCTCTTTCTCACACATTCCTCATCCAGTTCTTCCAAACACATCCTAACTCCTCCTAGTCCCACCTGGTCATCGCCTCTCATGCAGATGATGGAGCACTCCAATCCCACAGCCTGTCCCTTAGGGGACCCCAACACCCTAGCACACAGCCTGTCTCCTAGGGGACCCCAACACCCTAGCACACAGCCTACCTCTGGGGGACCCCAACACACTAGCACACAGCCCGTCCTCTGGGGTGACCCTCCCTTCACCCCAGCCCGTGGCTGCACTCTCACGGGAACCACAGCTTCAGCCTGGCTTTGCTTTATTGGGCCCCATGCGCTTGACTTGCCTAGGGCAGGGCCACCCTGGGCAGAGCTCCCGCCCGTAGGGACACCTGCAGCTGGCGGGAGAGGGGTAGGGGAGCTGTAAGCCGGCGGCACAGGGCGGAGTATGCCACAGCCCCAACCCACCCCTCCAGGTCCTCCCCGCGATGGCGCCCAGGACCCTCCTTCCAAGCAAGACTCACACCGAAGTCACCAAATTTTAGAAAGAAAAAATAGATAGTTGTGGCTTATTTTTAGAAAAAAAAAATAGATGGTTCAGAGTCGGTGGAACCTTCCAGTCCTCACACTCAACCCCAAATCGTTCGTGTGGGCTACTGCCGGCCCTCTCTCCGGCTCTGCGCTCTTTCTGCCTGCAACCGTGCCCCCGAACTCGGGCCCTGCGAGGTGGGGGTGGGCCCGGGCCCCTCCTGCCGCCCCTGCTGCCAGCACCGTTCTCTCCGAGGCCCTCAACGCCCCGCCGTGCCGTGGCCTTCAGAGCGCGCCAGACGCTCACCAAGCCTGCCCGAGCCCCGCCTCCCGCAGCCGTGCCCAGGGCGGAGTGGGGCGACGGCACCGGTGCCAGGACCGACAGAGGCCAGGGCGCGGCGCCGGGCGTGGTCCTGACACCTGCCCTGCCGGGAAGGGGACGGCGTTCCACGCCTGGGCCCTTCTCCACTGCGTACAGGAGCCTGGGTCACCTGCTCGGCCCAAGAAAAGGCTCCAGGCCTGCGGGTGTGAATGAGCAGCAGCCAAGAGAGCGGTGCTGCCGGCGCTCAAGCTAGGCCGGGTCACCGCCTCCTGCCCAGGTCCAGGCAGCCCCGGCCTTTCCCGCTGGTACTGGCACGCCCGTGGCCGCACGGCTGAGTGCTCCGGGCATGGTGGGTCTGCGGGACTCGGAGCAGAGCTCGAGCTGGCGGATCCCCGGTTGGCGCCCGGCGGGAGGGCAGGAGTGGCCCAGCCAGGCCGCCCTGCGCACTCCCCGCCCGGGTGCGCCCGGGGGACCGCGGCCCTCCCACCCCGCCCCTGTGAAACGACAGCCGGCAGCAGGCGCCGCACGCCGACTTCACAGTGGCGGCGATCAACAGCGTGTGGAAAACAGCTTCTTCGTAAATCTTAAGAACATTGTGGCCGGGCGCGGTGGCTCACACCTGTAATCCCAGCAATTTGAAAGACCAAGGCGGACGGATCACTTGAGGTCAGGAGTTCGTGACCAGGCTGACCAACATGGAGAAACCCCGTCTCTACTAAAAATACAAAAATTAGCCGGGCGTGGTGGCGCGTGCCTGTAATCCCAGCTACTCGGGAGGCTGAGGCAGGAGAACCGCTTGAACCAGGGAGGTGGAGGTGACGGTGAGCCGAGATGGCGCCATTGCACTCCAGCCTGGACAACAAGAACGAAACTGTCTCAAAAAAAAAAAAAAAAGAACATTGTTCTTCGAGTTCTTTAAATATCTGACATAATACCGGCAAGGAACGAGAAGCACCAGGTTTAGGCGCTGAGGTGAAAATTTGGCTGTTGAAAGGCAGTCCCTCTGCAGCCAACTCCCCTCTGGTGGACAGTGTCTAACATCCAGAGAAAACACCCGTCACTGAACGCTCCCCTCCCCACAAAGCGCTGCTTGGCCCCAAATCGTCCCTAATGCGCTGCTCAGCCCCAAGGCGTCCCTCTGAGCGAGAAACCGCCCCTGGCTATGCTTGCAGGGGCCTGGCTGGGTCCACAGGGCATGGCTGTGTCTCTCGGAGCACGGCCCTTCTCTCCGGGGGCCTGGCTGCGTCTGCAAAGGCGTCAATGTGTCTCCGGGGGCGTAGCTTGTCTCCGGGGCGTGGTCGTGTCTCCGGGAGGTGGCTGGTCTCGGGGGCGTGGCTTGTCTCCAAGGCGTGGCCGTGTCTCTGGGGGCATGGCTTGTCTCCGGGGCGTGGTTGTGTCTCCTGGGGCGTGGTCGTGTCTCTGGGGCTTGGTAGTGTCTCCGGGGGCATGGCCTGTCTCCGAGGTGTGGTCGTGTCTCCGGGGGCGTGGCTTTTCGTTGGAGGTGGTCTGTCTGTGTCGGGCGTGACTGTGAGCCGGAGGCGTAGCCGTGTCTCGGGAGCCTGGCGGTGTCCGCAGGAGCGATGCTGTGACCGTTGCATTTGAAGCATTCCTTCTAGTTCCCGGATACCAGGGAGGGGGCAGGAGAAGCCCTGCGGCCAAGAAGGCCTGAAGAAGCCCGTCCAGGGGTCAGCCTCCTCCTCAGCCGGTCCTGGGCTGAGACAGGGGTGTCCCGCTGAGGGCAGTGTAGGGTGCGGTGCCCCCACCCCACTTCGGGCCTGGACCGAGACCGCGAGTGTGACCGTATATCCCTTCAGGTGGATTTTTCAACATGTGAACTTGGTTAAAAGCTTCTAGAACGTTAAGCCAAACATCGTGGCTTTCCATCCGTTTTCTGTTCTTGTTTGAAAGAGTACGCCTCCTTCCAGCCTGGGAGGAGGGGCGGGGCCCGGGAGAGGGCCTCGGGAGGCCGCGGGTGGGCTCTGCCGAGGGCCGCGTTCGCAGGGCCCCCCGGGACTGGCGGCCCCGCGGCAGGCCAGGCGCACCTCTCGGGGAGAAACGAGCAGCGCCAGCAAACGCGCAGCCGGGCACGCGGCCGCCCAGCCCCGCTCCCAGCCCGGGGCCAGGACCCCTCCCCGCGGCGCCGCTGCCGCAAGCCTCCTCTGCTACCCCAGCTGCGGGCAGTTTGGCCCGGCGCTGTGCCGCTGTAGTTCGGTGTCCCTTCGCCCATCCTGCAGGCCAGCTTGGAAACTGTGTCCCATGCTCCTCGAAACACCGGACCTGCTCCCCGCCGCCCTGCGGAATGCGCCTCCTGGCGCCTCAGTGGGTGGCCGGGCCGAGAGCACAGGCGCGCCAGCCACACCTCCCCACGGGTCGGACCCACACGGACCCCGCCGCGCTCCGCCGAAACTGCGCGGGTCCCGCGGGTGGCCGGCGCAAGAGCCACAGCCCGCGACAAGCCGGCTGCCTGCAGGTCAGTGACAGAACCCCAAATGGAAACTGCGGAAACCCAACAACCAGCGAGTGAGCTGGTAGAGCCAGCGGCCCCAAGGAGCTGAGGGAGCTCCGGCTTGTGGAGTCTCTTCTCACATTTCCAGCATATGGAGAATGCCACACTGGGTCAGCCCCTGCCCCAGATCCTGCCCCCTGGCCTCCAGGCTCTGGGCTTTCCTCCCCTCTGTGGTAGCCTTTATCTCCATTGCAAGCCATCTTTCCACTACTAACAGTTAAAAGCCTCCCCTTTCTCTCTACTCTCCCAAGAAACCTCATCCTCACCTGTGGACAGGTGGCCGCCCAACTCTCTTCTGCAGCTCAAACCACTGTGTCCATCTACCTCTTTGTGTCCCTAGACATAAAGGTACCCAAAACTCCCAGAGTGCTGAAGCCACACCTGGCCTTTCCCAGGGGCCCACTGATCCCACCATCCATCACCCATCACCAACTGGGAATCCCCCCTGCAACTCACCAGTGCTTCCCTGCCCCGGCCTGGCAACCACACTCAGTGGGAAGGCCTTGGCAGTGGCTTTCTTCAACTCCCCAGCTGCTCCCAACCCCCCAGCCACAGTGATCTTTCCAAAATGCATATGGCCTCAAACTCAAAATATTTCCTTGCTGCCTGCCACTCCAGCATAGAAACGGGGACCCAGGTGACACAGGTGTCATGCCGCTGGGTTTCCAGGGACAGCCAGGACCTCCCCATTCCTGGTATTCCTGATATCCTCAGATCTCAGCTGCTCCAGGGGCTGGAGGTTGCGTTCTTCTCATAAAACAAGAACAGTATAGGCATTTGCTTTTCATCAGTGTAATGAAACTTTAGGGACTTATGATCCTAAATCACATTACACCAATGTGAACTGCACTCAAATTGTTGTAAACTAAATTTGCAGAACAAGCAGTTTTTGTGCAATTCTTTGCAGTCTACTCAGCTCTTTCATCTCTGTGTTCAGGTTCAATCCTCATTAGTTCTTCTATGAGAGATAGTTATCCCCAGATGCGTTCAATGCTCAGCTCCTTGCCCTGGCAGGCCCCGTCCCAGGGTCCTGGATGGCAGATGCCATGCCCGCCCCGCGAAGCTCAGGCTCACCAAGCAAGCAAACCGCAGCTGGTTTAGGTAGACAGCAGCTGCCCACAACTGCTAACAGCCTCGGGTTTCTTTTCCTCAGAATCACTCACCCTAAATCTACACATTGTAGACTGTCACATTGGTCTAAGTAGTGCTCCTCAAAGTGCACTGCACATTAGAGTCACCTGGGGAGCTTCACCGCCGGGCCCCAGGCTCTGATTCGCCCAATGGGAAGGGAGCACCGGGCACTTGTCCTGAGCCCCTGGCCCCTGCCTGGTTCTGCAAACCCAGAGCGTCCACATACCAGGCTTCCTGTGCTTAACATTGTGTCCTTGAAAAGAGCTAGCTGCACTAATGCCCATTGATTTCACTGTGTGTGACCACAGTAAAGAGAAGCAGCTTTGAGGGATTTAGTGTTTTCACTCCAGTGCATTCCATTCTAAGGAAACGCCTGACCACGGCTCATGGCTAGGAGGCCCCGCAGTGCCAGATGCTGCCCTGGAGTTCAAGTGGAACATTTGCTGTCTGAACCTTTCCAAACTCCCCCCACCCATGACCTCATGGCCCACCAGGGGGCGACTTTTTCCTGGGTCGCCTGGCAGAGAGCCGGAGGGGGTGCTCAGGGGGCAGCTGCTGCAGGCCCAGGCGGACTCAGCCGCGCTAGGTCGGCTCCGTCGCACCCGTCTGTGCACACTAACCTTTAGGGGAACTTGCCTTGCTTCCTAAGCCGCGACTCAGCCGGGGCTGTGTAAACCCTCCCTGCCTGTTCCCAGGCTAGTCTGGCTCCTCGCCTCCTTCCTCCCGACCGCGGAGCACGTGCACTTTACCTGCGCACTTGCAGATCTTTCTCCAGGAGTGAGTTTAAGGTCCGCACCTCCGCTCTGGATGGTGAGCGGAGCACAGCCTTCGAAGTAAGAACTCAGAGGGAGCTCGGCGCTCCCGCAGCGGGTCCCCCACCCAGGCACGCCCCCGGCCCGGCCCCGCCCACAGCACTCCCCACTCGGCCCCGCCCACAGTGCGGCCACGCCCGTAGCACGCCCCTCCCGGCCACGCCCACAAAGCTGCCCACATGGCCCCGCCCACAGCTCGCCCGCTCCGCACCCCCGGCCCCTCAGCTCCCCAGCCCCCGGCGGCGCGGGCTGAGAGCAGCTCCGTCTAAGGCCACGCCGCCCCGGCGTCCCCGACAGCGCTCTCCGCGGGGATAGTTTCCAGCTTTACCTCTGAAGAGGCGGCCCAGGACTGCGGACAGGCTTTTCCCTATGAACAAGAACGGGGAAATGCTCAGTGAACATTCTGTTCCCTTCAGAGCTCTCCCAGCGGGCACTGAGAGGCCCTCCAGCTAGGACGCCAAGGTTACACTTGCCGACAGCCCCTCCTGCAGCACAGACACACACACGAGATACACAGACACACACAGATACACAGACACACACAGATACACACAGACACACACACAGATACAGAGATAGACACGATATACACAGACACAGATACACAGATACACATACACAGAGACACACACAGAGACACAGCAATACACAGACACACAGATACAGGACACAGATACACAGATGACACACAAGGACACATGCAGATACACAGACACACATACACAGATACACACAGACACATGCACAGATACACAGAGACACACACACAGGCACAGAGATACACACAGATACACAGATATACACACAGACACAGATACACAGACACACACAAATATATACAGATACTCAGACACAGATACACAGACACAGGTACAGACACACAGATACAGATACAGAGATACATACAGATACAGAGATACAGAGACACACACAGATACACACACGGACACACACAGAGATACACAGACACAGATATACACAGGCACACAGATACAGACACACAGATACACACATGCACAGATACACACAGATACAGAGATCTACACACAGAGATACACAGACACACAGATACGCAGACACAGAGATACACAGATACATAGACACATACAGACACACACACAGATACATGCACAGACACACACGCAGATACACATATACAGATATACAAACACAGATATACGCACAGACACACACAGATACACACACAGATACAGACACACACACAGATACACGCACAAACACATGGAGACAACACAGCTACAGACACACACACAGCTGCAGTGGCCAGGCCCTGCACAGGAATTGGCAGGAAGTAAGAGGCTCCATCCACAGTGTAACAGCAGAGCTGAAAGAGATCTCATGCCTTATAACAGAGCACATTGCACAGCCACAGGGTGGGCCAGGGGTTGCCCTGGTAGCAGGGACCGAGGATGTCCTCGGCATGGCAGGCTCCAGGACACTGAAGTTCCCAGCCAGGGCCCTGACAGCAGGAGAGCCCGAGATCTCTGAGACCACATTCACTGTCGCATGTGCAGACCCCTCAGTTCAGACCGCCGTGTGCGTTAGGTGTGGATATGGCTGGCAAGCAGCCTGCATGGTGACCCCATCCTTGTGGGATGGCGGCTCCAGGGAGCCTGTGACCACCGATGCACCAGTTCCCGTCCCAGAAATACTGTCTCCTCCTCGCTCATCACTGCACCTGCTCCCCTCCCAGTGCCTCAGGGACACTGTTACAGGGCGGGAAGGGGCTGGGGCACAGAGCCCGGGGGAGGCTCCCTGAGTGGGCAGAAGGCTCTTGGTGTGCACGCAGATCTGTCGAAATGCGGGCTTTGAAACGCCAGCAGGACAGCTGCGGCCAAGCGTGTGGCTCTCTGTGCCTTGCAGGTCACAGTTGTTTTTGTGTAACTGCTGAATGTATGGGGAAGGAGCAACCCTACCCCAGCTCCAGGGATAGACCCTGAGTGGCCACAGTAATGGAGGAAACCCAACTTCCATGCCAGGGACTGGCTCGGGTGAGCCAAATCTATGTGTCCCAGCCCTGGCGGCAGCTGAGGGGTGACAAAGCCCCCCCGCGAGCAGACAGGCACCCACACCCAGCACAGCCACATGCTCACTGTCTCTGGGCTTCTTAGCTGCCGTCAATCAGTCCCCTTGGTTGATTGACCCTCAGGGCCAGATGGGGTTTCCTTTCCTGGTGGCTGAGAGTGAGTGTTGCCTGCAGATGCATCAATGGAAGCCTGTGTGTGACTCGAACAGCCAAACTTGCCTTCAAGGGGCACCGTGCTTCTTCAGTTACAAGTGATTGGGGCCAGTCTCAGAAATGATGTGGTTTCTCCTGAGCATGAAGATTTGGGTCCCAAACAAGATATGATATAGAATTAACTTTTTTGGCTGGCCAAGGAAATTCCAGAAGGAAATCCCAAAATAAGGTCCCCCTAAATGTTCTTGGCAAAGAACAGCACCATTGGAATCAGATATAAAAGCCAAAGGTGGCTATTTCCAAGCAGAGGGCTGGGATGCGGTGTCGCTTTTGTGTACGTGTATGTGCATATTTTATGTTTGTGGGTGACCCAGTGAAGGCACCCTTGGCTTCTTGCCCTGGACAGGCAGTTGTGACTCAGAGGACAATGGTCCAGGAAAGTGAGAAGCTCTCAGAATTGGGCAGGCCTGAGGGTGCAGGAAAGCGCTGCCTCCCCAGACCACAGCATCCAGAGAGAAGAAAGCGCCTCCCAGCCCAGCCCTCCAGCCCCGTCATGGGGAAATCTGTCTACAGCTTCCCTTTATGAATCCTTCCCCAGGGGTCCCCGGGGCCACCTGCTGTGCAGGCCTCTGCAGTCCCCAGTCTCTGCCTGTTCCTGCCATGGTTCAGCCCACAAACCCTATGCACCCACCCCTGCCCGAAGTTGGCTTGATTCAGCAAGCATTCTGTCAAGTTCCCAGATCCTGCGGGTCTGGAATTCAGAAAGGCACAGTGGAAACAGCTCGTCTGCTCCCCACTGCAGCCAGGGCAATGTGAAAGCTGGAAATGACTGGAGTCTGGAGGATCCGGAGGTGCACTTGCTCACTCTAGGGCGGGTCTGTCGGCTCTGCCACGTGGCCCCTGCACCAGCTCTTGGACTTCCTTACAGCATGGCAGCTGGGGCCCAAGAGACAGGAAACAGAAGCCACCAGTTCCTTAGGGCCTGCACCCAGGACTGGCAGGTGTCATTTCTGCCATATTCTATTGGCCAAGCAGTCAAGGAGCCCAAGGAAGGACACAGACACCAGTTCTTGAGGGGAGGAATGTCAAAGAACATTGGAGCCATGTTTTTTGTGTTTGTTTCTGTTTTTGAGACGGAGTCTTGCTCCGTCGCCAGGGTGGAGTGCAGTGGCGTGATCTTGGCTCACTGCAACCTCCGCCTCCCGGGTTCAAGCAATTCTCCTGCCTCAGCTTACTGAGAAGCTGGGACCACAGGTGGGCGCCACCACACCCAGCTAATTTTTGTGTGTTTAGTAAAGATGGGGTTTCACTATGTTGGCCAGGATGGTCTCGATCACTTGACCTCATGATCCGCCCACCTCGGCCTCCCAAAGTGCTGGGATTACAGGCGTGAACCACCGCGCCCGGCCAGAGCCATGTTTTAAAGTTACCACGGCTTTAGGAGGCAGGAGCTGCATAACATGAGGGCATGATGCTACCTTCTGAACTTAAATTCCGGACTTTAAAGACATGTTTAAATGTAATGAGCTGTGGAGTCACAGGAACTCCCATTCATTGCTGGTGGGACCGCAAGATGGTACAGCCACTTTGGAAGACAGTTGGGCCGTTTCTTACAAAACTAAACACTCTTAGAATATGATGCAGCAACCAATGTTCCTTGGTATTTACCTAAATGATTTGAAAACTTATGTTCACCCAAAATCTGCACACGGGTGTTTATAGCAGTTTTATCTGTCATTGCCAAAACTTGGAAACAACCAAGATGCCTTTCAGGAGGTGAATGAATAAACAAACTAGGGTACATTCAGACAATGGAATATTTATTATTCAGAGCTAAAAAGAAATGAGTTATCAAGCCATGAAAAGACACAGAAGAACCTTAAATGCAGATTACTAAGTAAAACAAGCCAATCGGAAAAGGCTGCATACTGCCTGATTCCAACTAGATGACTTTCTAGAAAGGTAAAACTATGGAGACAGTAAAAACATTGGTGGCTGTCAGGAGCTAGTGGGGAGCGGAGGGATGACTAGCTGGAGGGGATTTCAGGGCAGCGGCCCTAGTCTGTATGATACTGTAAGGCGGATACAGGGCATTAAACATTCGTGCAAACCCACAGAAGGCACTGCCCGAGTGAGCCTCGATGTAACCCGAGGCCTCTGGATAATGCTGGTGTGTTGGTGTAACCCATGGGCCAATCTGGTGGGCAGCATGTGCACTGGGGCAAGCTACATGTGTGGGGTGGGTGTATATGGGACTTCTCTGTACCATCTGATCGATAATGTCTTTCTTTTAATGAATTAGAGGAAAATAGAAAGTCTCATTTGTCTGTGGGGAAAAAATCAATTTTGAAAAGTGAGTGGGATGGGCAAAAACTCCAGGACTGACTCAGGAATAAAAACGATTATAAACTTCATCCTGAAGAGGGTGGGTCCTGTGACTGGGAGGGGCTGGCCCAAGTCCCGGGTCATCCTGAGCTGAAGGCTCCATGCGGAGGGGCGGCCCTGGGTGGCAGGAGAATGGGGAGGCCAGGCCCGTGGGGGTGGGAAGAAAGTGGGGTCCTGAGAGCTGGTGCTCCAGCGGGGAGCGAAGCTGGACACGGGAGTCTGCAGCTTGAGGGACGAAGGTGCCTGCTATTGCTTCTGGATGTTGAGTAGTTGGTATCTCTGTGCGTGTGTGTTTCCATTTGCATTTGGATCCCATGAGACATGAGGCCCAGGAGGTCCTGCAGACAAAAGCCTCCCACCCTGTGGAGCTGGCCTCCATGCAGAATGGACCCATTCGAAGACCTTTTTAAAACGATCTTTTGTATTTTCTTGTTTTAGAAACGGGGTCCCTCTGTGCAGCCCAGGCTGCAGGGAGGGGCATGGTCATAGCTCACTGTAGCCCTGAGCGATTCCCTGTTTGAAGTGTTGACTATCTTGACTATCGGGGAGGAGTGAGGTCTGCGCGATTCGGCCTGGAGGACCCTGAGTAGGACTCACTCGCCAGACTGGCTGCCAGTGGGCCTGGCCCTTCCTGACATGGTGAGCCATCATGGCATGTCCCTGGCAGTGACAAGGAATGTCCTCAGGCCCCGACCCTCCTGTCCAGGCCACCCAGGGCAGGCCTGTCAGGGGCCTTCCTTGTTCCAATTTTTCAGAGGCCCAGCGCTCTCCTTCCGCATCCTGCCCACCTGCCCAGCTGCAGGCAGCATGGGGAGGGGGATGGGGTGGGGAGAGGGTAGGGAAGACGGTGTGTGTGAGGGTGAGTGTATGTGAAGGGGCCAAGATTTATGTGTTTAGGAGGTGTGTATGTCTGTGGGGGGTGTGTGTGACGGGCTGTATGTAAGGGATGTATGTGTGTGGGGGGTATATGTGTATGTGTATAGAATGGGGTGACCGGGTGTTTTGGGGTTTGGGGGACCGGGGGGGGGGGGTGTGTGTTTTGGGGTGTGTGTGTGCATGTGTGTGGTGTGTGCATGTGTGGTGTGTGGGGTGTGTGTGCATATGTGGTGTGTGGGGTGTGTGTGCATGTGTCGGGGTGTGGGGGGTGTGCATGTGTGTGGTGTGTGTGCATGTGTGTCTGGGGTGTGGGGTGTGTGTGCATATGTGTTTGGGATGTGGGGTGTGTGTGCATGTGTCTGGGATGTGGAGTGTGTGTGCATGTGTGGGGTGTGGGTGTGTGTGTGCATGTCTGTGATGTGTGTGTGCATGTGTGTCTGGGGTGTGTGTGCATGTGGGGTGTGAGAAGTGTATGTGTGTGTGCATGTGTGTGGGGAGTTCTGTGGGGTGTGTTCACGTGTGTGAGGTTTGTAGGGGTGTGTGTACGTGCCTCGGGTGTGTGTGTGCGCACGTGTGTGTGTGGGGTGTGTGTATGTATGTGTCTGGGGTGGTGTGTGTGCGTGTGTGGGTGTGTGTGCATGTGTGTGTGGGGTGTGTGTGTGTGCATGTGTCGGGGGTGTGTGTGTGCGTGTGGGGGGTGTGTGTGCGCGCGCGTGTGTGCATGTGTTGGGGGTGTGTGTGTATGCATGTGTGTGGGTGTGTGTGCGCGTCTGGGGTGCGGGGAGCATGCGTGTGGTGGGGGTTCTGCCTCTCACTCCCTCACCCAGGAGGAGGCTGTACCCAAGGCAGTGTTGCCAGACTGGGCCAAGCCAGGAGCAAGGCTGAGCGGCTCCACCCGCGGGCTCCCGGGCTGGGACCCGGGGTGTCACCCGCAGTGCTGAGCGTTTGTGCTCTGAGACCTCGTTGTCCCCAAGGGTCTCTCCACCCTCCGGGCCCCGGCCTCCGGCCCCGCCTGGCATGAGGAGCGGGGAGCGCACAGCAGGGTGGGGGCACCGGGCGCACGCGGGGAATTTCCCCACGACCACGGCCACGCCAAATGCCTGAACCTCCACGGCTGCCGGCAACAGCGAGCGCAGGGAGGGGGCTGTGCGCGCGGGGGCCCTGGTGGCGGAGCAGGCATCACCCCGAGAGCGCCGAGGTTTGTGGTCGCAACCCCGGGAGCACCGCTGCGGGAGGAGCGGCGTGGCCGGGCAGAGGCGACTTCCTCGCAGGCAGTACCGGGCCCCGCGGCCGCCTCCGGGCCTGTCCTGGTGCCCCGGGCTTCCACCCGGCGGGCTGGCGTGCGGGGGCTGGTCTTCGCCGAGATCCTGCTGGGAGCGGGCTCTGGCCCCACGGTGAGCCCGGCCCCAGCCTCGGTGATGCGCTTCGCTGCCGCGCGGGGAGGGAGAGTCCGGCAGGGTCACGAGGCGCCGGCCCCGGGGCCGCTTGAAACCCGAAGAGACCCCGCTCGCTCGCGCGCCCGCCGGACGAATCCTCGCGGAGGTCCCGGGGCGCAGCCGGCGTGAGGGTGGGGTCTCATCGCAGGGGCGCCGGGAGCCTCCCCGCTCCGCTAGCTCAACCAAGGACCGCTCAGAGGGGCTCTCACCCTGAACCTCGGCTTTTCTAAAGGAAGGGCAGACCCCAGATTTCCCCCTTCTCTTCTCGAACGTGCTTTGGGTGTTTTTCTGCTTTCTTTTTTGGCAAGTCAGGACAGCGCACAGTGCACGGAGCTCCGAAGCTCTCTCAGCTACTCCCGGATTTCTGGTTAAACCTGAGGGTGAGCCCGAAAGACCGCTGCCGCCGGCGGCCACCCCAGCGCGGGTCCGCTGAGAATGGAAACAGCAAGTGCGCGCCGGCCAGGCCGCCACCTCTCCCTCCTCCAACAGCCCGGGCAGCCGCAGGGGCCAGCCCCGGGCCAGCCAGGGCCCAGCACAAAATGCCTTCCAGCGACAGCAGCGCCGGAAGCCCCTTCTGAGGTCGTGGATAAGCCTCCGCGCAGGGGCCCCGCGCTCAGCCCACCCCGCATGCCTCCGCGCCAGGGCCTGCTGGTGGGTGGCCGCCTGCCCCGGGCTATCCCGGGCTGGGCACTGGCGCCGATCCCGCCTCGCTTGTGGAGCTGCATTTGGGGGGAAAGATGGACCGGCAGCGTGGGACGCAGAGCCAGGCCAGGCCGCACGGGCTGTGCACAAAGATATGCCCGACAGGCGGGGAGAAGGCATGGCCCACCGGCTCAGGAGAAAGTCCTGGAGGGGAGGCAGTCCGCCCCTGGGGACAACGCGGGGGGCCGTATTCGGACACCACCAGAAGTTCCTGTCGGAGACGCTAAGGGTGCCCACGGTGTCGGGCACCATGTAAAGCTCTCCTAACTCTAAGCAGACTGCAGTTTCATGCACATCATAAGGGCACAGCCACTGTCACCGATTCTATCAGCAGAAAAGCAAACAGGCAGGAAACCACAATTAATCCACAATTCACAATGCTGGTGAGCTTCCAAACAATTGTCAATGTGACAAGTTTCCACTCCTAGCACAGATGGGTCGTCTGTCTTTTCTACAGTTTAATGGTCTCGGCTGCACACATTTGTCTGTCAAAGTGAACTATATAACTTCAGGCTTTGGAAGTTGGATGAGAGTAAAAAGTTAAACTGAAGGTGACATGGAACTGTCCGAGAGAGTCCTCCTGTCCAAACATGAAGAAGCTGTGGCTACAAAAATCACTTTTTTTTTTTTTGTGGGAATGAAGTGCCCTCTAGTATGCTTTTAGTTAAAAAAAGAAAAAAAGAAAAAAAAAAAAAAGGCCGGGTGCGGTGGCTTACGCCTGTAATCCCAGCACTTCGGGAGGCAGAGGCGGGCGGATCACGAGGTCAGGAGATGGAGACCATCTTGGCTAACACGGTGAAACCCCGTCTCTACTAAAAATACAAAAAAAAAAAAAAAAATTAGCCGGGCGTGGTGGCGGGCGCCTGTAGTCCCAGCTACTCGGGAGGCTGAGGCAGGAGAATGGCGAGAACCCCGGAGGCGGAGCTTGCAGTGAGCCGAGATGGCGCCACAGCACTCCAGCCTGGGCGACAGAGTGAGACTTCGTCTCAAACAAACAAACAAACAAAAAAACCATAACACTTACGCCATTGCTTCTAACTGCAGAAAGCAGAGACACAGCCCCCGCAGGGCAGCTGCATGGGGGTCCCGCCTTGGTGTCTGCGGCCGGCCTCTTCTGGCACATTAGCTTCCCCCTCAGGACTCTTATACGAAAGCTCTCAATCCTCAATCATTTTCGTCTGGGTTTTACCTATCACATTGGAAATTACAACTGAAAAAATTTAAAATATTGAATACGTTTAGAATAAAAACAAACCCATGACTTGTTAACATGGACACAATTTTGAAAAATCGTTTTCCAAAACGAAAACAAATTAGTGACAATGGCATTAATACTTTTATTAGCCTCTTTAACTGTCTGGCTTAATGGAAGTGTAAACCAAAAAAAGTGGCCCAGCGCAGTGGCTCACGCCTGTAATCCCAGCACTTTGGGAGGCTGAGGCAGGCAAATCACGAGGTCAGGAGATCGAAACCATCCTGGCTAACACAGTGAAACCCCATTTCTACTAAAAATACAAAATTTAGCTGGGCGTAGTGGCGGGTGCCTGTAGTCCCAGCTACTCGGGAGGCTGAGGCAGGGGAATGGCGTGAACCTGGGAGGTGGAGCTTGCAGTGAGCAGAGATCGCGCCACGGCACCCCAGCCTGGGCGACAGAGCGAGACTCTGTCTCAAAAAAAAAGTGAGACAGGCCTCAATCCACTTAGAGGTTGATTTTGCCACAGCTGAGGACGTGCCAGGGAAAGAGACAAGCCACAGTAGGCTCTGTGTCCGGGGCTTCTTCCAAAGAGCTTTGAGGATTTCAATATTTAAAGGGGAAAAAGGCAGGAGGGGAAGGAGGAAAGAATAAAAAGGAGGGAGGGTAGGAAAAGTGAGAGAAGTGGGGCACACCCTTGTGAGGTTTTGATGAGTGCTCGCTGAATCGCAGGGGGCAGAGGAAGAGTCAATTATACATTCGGCTCACGCTCAGTAAATCTGCACTTTACATCAGATAAAGTCAACCTAGAGTCGAGGAAGAAGTCAAATATGCATTAGTCTGGGAATGGGCGTACAGACAATTTCTAGTCTCTATCCCTTACGGAGCGATGAGCTGTGACTTTACATAGTCTGGGTCCGGGAGGCCACCTGGGGAGATACCTGTTCAGGCACACAATGAAAAGGCAGTTTCCCGTGTGACCGTTTCCAAGCTCACGCTTTTCTTCTGGCCTAGTGGGCTTGCGGGTGGAGATTTTCTTTCCTTTCACAGAAGACAGGTGAATTCTCATTTCTGTCTGTGCATCCCCACATTGTGAAGTTTTGGTGGAAGGAGCTGAAGAAAATCTGGCCTCACAGAGAGACGTAGTAGGAGATAGAGGCTCTCATGGACACCCTGAAAGGGCCTCAGGAACTCCAGGGGTCCTCAGCCAGGACTTTGAGAACCCACATTCTAGAGGCAGAAGGCATTTGCCAGCCTGATTTGGGGGTTGGCCAATGGAAAGTGGGTGGAGGGGACAGTGCAGCTCTGGGCCCTCTTACACCTGTGTCACCACCGTGATACACACGCCCAAAGCGAGAAGAGAGATGTGAAGCCTGACACCTCCTAACCGCGGGCCCAGAGCCACTCAGCAGAGGCCGGCCCAGCCAGGCGCGCGAGTGAGAAACGCTGCTTCTCACTGACTTCAGGGGCAATTCTGTTATGCCGCAAAAGCTGACAACAAAAGGGTTGGTGATATTAACAAAAATAATACCACACAGCTTATGGACGTTTTGAGCTAAGCTGAAAATAGACTAATCCTGGCATTTACCAATTCAGTCCTGGAAAGGTTCCCAGAAAAAAAATAAAACTTTCCCTCTTTGGATCTTCTGTGCCAGTGCTAAACATCGTGTCCCTGAATAAACTGTCTCCCAACGTGAAATACATAGTTTTGCCTCAATCTGATAGTCTTCAGCTCAAGCTCTAATGCGTTAGACCTGCCAGCCAGTTTTCCTAGCCTGTTCTCAGTTCTACCCTTTGCAGAGTGCGTGCCATACACAAGCAGCCCAAACCGTGTACCATGGCTGCCTGGACGGAAGACTCTCAGCCCAGGCCAATGAAAGCAGAAGCCAAGGCTGTGCAGACAGATGGGGCTGGGAGGAAGTCGGAGGAAACCCTGAAGGCTCCAGAGCCCTTCAGCCCCTGCCACCAGCTGGTCCCGTGGAATCTTCCATTCTCCTAATCACTTCTTTGTGACTTGAGTTTGGTTTAACAAAAAAATAATCTCAACTTGGCTGAAATCTTTACTACTGCTGTATCAAGAACTAATTGATTTTTTGGTTGTACTGGTTAAGAAAGCTCAGCCTACACTTTTATGTCAGATGTTTTATTTATAGATAATTAAAATTTAGGCATATACATGACACAAACATTATATATAGTACACTTTCCATGATAGAAGTTATGATGCTGTTCACAGAAAGGCCTCAATTCAGATGACATAATGCATATGCTACAAGGGGACACCTGGGAGAGGGGACACCAAATGGCCTTCTGGTTTTTCATTTTGGTTTAAATATCCTCTGGATGCATTCAAGTAATACTAATCATTTCATGTTCAAAAGTCTTTTAATAAACAAATTCAGAGTAAAATTAATTGAAATATTTATAATACGATTTGTTACACAGTTATTTCCAATATACAATCAAGACGACTCACGACACTTGAAAGAAAGGAGAAAGAAAAAAAAATCGATTGCACCCACAAGTAAAAAGGCTTTATTCATTTTGGGGATGCTGCAATTTGGTATTTATATAAACATTTACACACTTTAGTAAACACAGTCCTACATGTAATGCAGCATTACGGGTGAGAAGACCCTTGGAAGTCGAGCGTCCACAGTGTTCCACGCGCACAGGCGGACCTTCTCACTGTCATTCCCATCACGGCCAGTCAGTCTCTCCACTCCCTCCTCCCGCCTGGCTCGAGGACGGACGCTTCTCATCAGACACACCAGGCAGCCTACAGTCTACACAGCAGCGAGTGCTCTGCTGCCTGGCTCAGGCTCTCATCTCACGAGGACGTTTCCCCATCTTAGTGTCCTGTTAAATAATCTTGTGTAGAGTCCGAAGCAAAGGAGTCGACATCCTCGTTATCTGAATCGTCGCTGCTGTCGTCGGCGGCTGGCTCTCCTGTAAGTGCGATGCGAGCGTAGTCATCTGTGTCTATGGACTTGCAGAAGTGGATGGCGTACTTGAGCTTCTCCTCCAGCACCTGCTTGCAGGAATACCTGGGCAGCTTCAGCAAGAAGAAACAGGTGTAGGACTCAGGGAGGAAGTGGTCTGGAGGGTTGTATTTATCCAACACCTGTTGAGCAGAAACATGAAGTGATTAGAAATTGAGTACGGCTGCAGTCTACTTTACTGTGCTCATTAGACTCTTCGTGCTCACAAAACCATATTTTTTGCTAAGAACAAAACAGCAGAAAACATAATCCAAACAACTTTAGGAGTAACGAGGAGCAATTAATTCCTAGAACTTGGAGTAAGAAACAGCACCTCACTATGGAGATGATGGCTCTCTATTGTCATCCCGGGAAGAGGGCCCGAGGACCACACCACCTGTGTGGATGCGGGGCGGCCTGGCTGGCGGAGGACCAGGCACGTGACCACGGGAGAGCTCTTCATGAGTCTACCAGCCCAACTTTGACCCCTACAGATTAAGATACTAGGAAACGGCAAGAATTATGGACAAAAACTAAGAATTACTGACCTTCTAAGATAGAAAACTATGCATGCTCTCCAAGGTGACCCTGAAAGACGGCCACTTTTCTAACCCTGGCAGAGACGCAGGTCAGGCTGTGCTGGACACATGCTGGGAACAGTGGACCCCATCGATCCATCCGCCCAGGCACTGCTGTTACGGTCCCAACAGAGAGTGGGGGCATTAGGCCATCCCCTCTCAGTGACCCGGCAGGTCCATTGAGCTTGTTTCTGACCACCGGCCCACAGAGTTGGAACCCAAAGCAAAACCCTTGTTCTCAATCCAACGAGCGGCCTCATTTTTCTCGGTATGTAGGATGTTACTTAGTGACTCACCTAATTCGACCAGATAACTGAATGAGTGCTTTACGTGTGTTTGAAATCTAGAGCAGGCTGACACAGCAGTGATGTATTCTGGGGATGGCCAGATACATTTTTAAAAAATAGGTAATGGTACCCAAAACACATAATCATAACATTTTGAGCCTTCACATCAGAGAAGTTCGATGTTTTCCATTTTCATTTCTGTAAAGACTCAAGAGGCTCGTTTTCCATGTGCTGCAGGACTGTGGGTGAGGAGCCAGCCACCCACCGTCGGCCGACATCAGCCCAGGGCCGGCAAGCCCAGCCAGGAGCCTACCTGGATGACGAAGTCTCGGCCCCGGAAGTCGGCGATGGTCCTGGGCAGCCTCGTCCGGCCCCAGACGAAGCGAAGGAAAAGAGAGCGCTCTGTGTTGGAGAAGGACTCCATCACCTCCCAGAACCACTGGATCAGCGATGCGGAAGGCTCGATGCCTTTATAGGTGGCCACCGACTTGAGAAGGTGCAGCGGGATGTCAGGGCTGCCACACACCTGCGGGAGGATGTCTGTCAGGGCCGCGTGATGCTTCCCACCCTGGCATTTCCGCAAGACTCCGTCACGCTCCCTCTCTACACCAAGGCCTGTTTGGGGTGGGGAAAGGTCTGGGGGCTCTGGGTGGGCCCACACACAGCCTCCTGCAGGCGGGTGGAGGGACGCGCTCAGAGTGCACTCCCTTCAGTCAACACACAGGGCAAGGTTCTGACTCTAACTGCTGTCACTGATTTGTGGGTCAGCAGGCAAAAGGCAGCTGCAGGGCAGCCCCACCTGGGGGTCGGCATACCATCGTCTCCAGTTCGTAGCCGGTGAACAGAGAGAGGAGGGGAACAGGCACAACGCGGGCCATTCCTTCCCGAACAGCAGCCACCTGCTCATCAAATTCATGGAGTCTGGAAGAAAAAGCTCACTTTACACTTCTGTCTTCAGTGACACTGACTTTATGCTGCTCACACCAAGCCTTGGCATGCAGCACTGTGGCCGCACACGTCCCAGCTGGGAGAACAGAGGGAGCAGCTCCAGATGGCATGAGCATGCTTAGCAGCTCGGCACTGCAGAGCTTCTCCTGACACTGGGCTCATCTCGTCCAGCCGACAGGGTACGGCCTAATGACCACCTACAGCTATGCACACCCCAAGACGCCACTCTCAGTACCCACAGGACACCCCAGGAGAAGCCAGCACCAAGAGGGGAAACACATGTGCATCCGCCCCAGGCCCGAGACACTGTGCTGACCCACAGCAGACACGATACGGGGGACAGCACCGCCCAGGACACCTGCCAGGACTACCCCCACCAGAGCCCACAGGGCCCACCTGCCACACGAGGCCTCACCCAGACACTCTCAGGTGCTTCCAGGGGACATGGGACAAGCAGTGGAAGCTGTGGGTGGTGGTAATGACCTGCCAAGCCTGAATCACGGCACCCAAAGGACCGTGCACAGTCACACCTGGGCGCCTGGCAAAGGCTGCTCTGTGTCACTCAAGCAGCCTGGAGGGGGTTGAGACAGCCCCAGACACAGCCCTGTCCCAGGGAAGCCAACAAAGAAAGCACACAGGGGCAAAAACTATGGCCTCTCCAGGTGCAGTGACCCAAATGGGTGGATTTTGTTGATCTTGGTATTCTGGTTAGAGCCAGGAATGTCAGAGTAATAAATACCGACCCTGATCACAAAATAAGCTTTATACCCACAGATCAGCAATAGTTGGAGCCAAATCCATTACTTTACTGTGTATGACACTCCTGAAAAACACACATGTCCACACAACCACGTTCTGCTACTTTTGCTATTTATGTCAATGCAACAGAGACAGATGACCACCAACCTATAGTTTATCGCCAGCCGCACGTACTCCGCGCGGTTGTCCAGGGTGATGTGTGTGTGCTTGGAGCTCAACTGAATGTCCTGGCCACTGGCACTTGGCACTGTGAAGGGCAGGCTCATGGCTTCAAACTCCTCTGAGGTGGCTTCATTGTCTCGGATGTACATGAGTCCAGGAATAAAATCCTTATCAACCTTTTAAGGAGAAAAAGAAAGCCCATGTGTCGACTCACGGCTCATCTCCATCCCAGACTCCAGTCCACCCAGCACACTCTGTCAAGCAGGAACCAGGGTCAGCCTCAAGTGCATCTCGAGGCTGCAAGTGCACGGCACACACCAAGATATAAGAGGAGCAACGAGAGAGTACTTCACCCAAGGAGCTGAACGAAGAATTCACAATTCAGCCAAATGCTTAAAACTAACCACCGAGAAAGTTACAGCAACTGGCTAGCAAGGGTTCCCTCCCTGCAGCCGAGGCACAACACAGCCATGGGGAATGAGCTGGCTGTGGTCGCCCCAGGACAGAGCCTCCCGTGCAAGCCTGACTCACGGCCCCCAGCTGCCCAAAAGCTCAGCTTCTTCACAGGGGAGGCAGTGAGCTTCCTTATCTGACAAGACAGTGTATGTTACAAAACACCAGAAAATAGATGGTCTATTTTTTTTTTTTTTTTTTTGCTACTCAAAGGTGGTCCACAGCCAACAGCCTCTGCGTCACCTGGGCACTGAGATTAGGCCAGAGTTCACAGCCTGACCGGACCCGCAGAACAGACTGTGCCTGTTAACAAGACCCTAGAGGCCCCGCCTGCCGCCCCAGGGAGTTACCTCACTGAGGTCCGCGATGGTGAGGCTCATCCCAGCCAGCTGCTTCCAGACAGGCTCGGCAAGGTTGAGGCTCAGGGGACTCCCGGTTCGGATGGCAATGCCCAGCAACACACCTGATCATTCAGGACACAAGTGACAGAGGACACTTCAAAAGGATGACAAAACTTCCCGCTCACTCACACACGCCACTGACAGCAGCTCCACACTCAGGACTCAGAGCCTTCTGAAGCAGCAACACCCACATCATAGGTCTAGGCCCTTCCTCAAGACCGCCTGTCCTGCTCTAAATCTATCCTTTTGTGCCTAAAAGCCTCTTAACTCTTCACATCCTTTCTGCACGCACACTAGTTTAAGCCACACAGTGGCCAATTCTTCTTCTTATGACAGCAAAGAGCTGGAACTTCCCCACGGGAGTGTCCTCCAGGGAGCTACAGCCCTGCCCAGGAGGTGCTGGCTGTGGTGGGACACACAGCCGAGGACACCCTGCACACCCTCAGTGGGACAGGAAGGAGGGACTGGCCAATGGCGAAGACCTCACCCCACTCTGATCCCAAGTCTCAGATAAACATTGAAGATGCAGAAACAGAATCTCCCATCTTCTGAGTACCCGAGGCAGTCTCCAGTCCTCAGCACGTGGCCGGGGCTGGCTCTGCCAGTGCCTGCAGCTGTGCACAGAGCTTCCGACGGTCCACCACCGTCAGGCCCTCAATGCTAGGCACGGAAGTCAACAGCACCTCGTTCGCTTCCACAATGTTGGTGAAAGGCACGATCAATATTAAAAGTCTTTTCTTTTTCTTTTTTTTTTTTTTTTGATACAGAGTGTTGCCCAGGCTGGAGTGCAATGGTACGATCTCAGCTCACTGCAACCTCCGCCTCCCGGGTTCAAGCAATTCTCCTGCCTCACCCTCCTGAGTAGCTGGGACTACAGGTGCATGCCACCACAGCCAGCTAATTTTTTTTGTATTTTTACTAGAGACGAGGTTTCACCACATTAGTCAGGCTGGTCTCGAACTCCTGACCTCAGGCAATCTGCCTGCCTCAGCCTCCCAAAGTGCTAGGGTTATAGGCGTGAGCCACCGCGCCTCACCCTAAAAGTCATTTTTATTGGTAACAGTCTCAAAAACTAAAAGCAGATATTCAAGATATCTACTGTCACTCCTCAAACAGATAGTACATTTTAACTCAAGAGTAGGCACAGGCCACAGCGACACAGTCTCAAGCGGCCGAGAAGCTCACCCAGGAAGCGGAACATGCTGCTGTGCACGGGTGCTCTGGCGGCCGGGCTGAGCAGGTAGCAGTCTCGGTTGGCCCCAGACTCATCCCTCCCGTTGGGTGTCACGATCAGCAGGGGCGTGAGTCCGTTCTGCAGCTCCTCACAGATCTCAGCTATGGACTCGCTGTAGCCGCCCCCACAGTCATCCACAGATTCACCTGCAGGGGAGAAGCAGCCACTCGAAGTCCCCTCACACAGTCCTGTGTAAAGAGAGCCCCAACGCTCCCACACCATGTGGCCTCTGTGCTCCCTGTGGGCTCAGGCGACCACTGCCGGGGACACAGGTGCTCCAGCACGTGGCAAGTTCTCACCCACAAACTTGACTTTCCAGACACGGTGAGGAAGGAGGAGGCTGTCGGGACCAAACGAGCTCATCTTAGCACACATCTGCCCAAAGACAGACTTGGTGCCGTCGGGGCCGGCCAGCCCGCCTTTGCTCCTTGATCGTTTGACCTGGAGAGGAGGAAGCAAGCAAGCGTGAGGCCGCTGCCGCAGCAGGAAGCACACAGTCGGGGATATGCGGCACTGGCGAATGCACGAGGAGGAGGCACCGTGCATGGGCCCCTCCCTGGTCACACACCTGCTTGTGTGGACGCCAGGCAGACCCTGCCATCTGGGGCGCTCGACTGTGGACACCCGAGACCGCTGCCTCACCCCATTGGGCATGTCGCCAGTGATGTGCCCAGCAGCCCCCAGGACTAGTGTGTCTGAACAAACACACCTTCCAACACGACACACACCACCACCACGTCCACAGCTGCGGCCCGGCAGCACCACCCTGGCACGGACCATCCTCACACCCTAAGCACTGCTGCTACTTCACCATCTTGCCACGACCTCATGAAATAAGACACCAGGAACTCCAAAAGCAGCTCCCCCAGCAGACCAGAACAGACTCCCGGCACTCAAAGATTCAACCCAATGCCCCTGAGACTGAAGCAGACACAGTGAGTGAGTGCCTCAGCCAGGACCAGCCCTTCCCCACATCTGCTTCCACCCATCCCATTTCCAAGCCTTGGGGCCACTCAGCCTCCCCAACACAGGCAGTCACTCCCTGCCCATCCTTCTCATCCTAAGCTACAATTGCTAAAGGCTCAGGGGCCTCCAATTCCCAAAGACACCAGGGCAGGAGCCCTAGGGCCCCGCCGCAGCAGGACCTCGGCACATCGGAGGGCAGGTGGCCGAGGCTGTGCATCAGAATCATCTGGGAAGCCCAGTCTGGAAGGATGTCAAAAAGAAAAATTGAAGAAAAAATGGTCCTGAGAATGTATTTTGATGACTCCTCCAGTGAAGCTCTCTTCACCTTTAGCTCACTTAAAGTTGAGTTTAAACAGCTTACAGCGCAGGCTGCCATAACCAAGACTAAAAATACAAGAAGAATGACAGGAGCCACAGTTGCCTGTAGAATGAACTTGTCTGCGTGCCACACACACGGCTAGTGTTCACAGACGTGAGTTCCTGGAAACTCGCGGCAGCTTGTTAAGGCTCCATCATGCCCAGAGGAGACTAGGCTACAAGAAAAGAACAGGACATGCCCTATGTCACGGCGGCTGTGTGAGAGGAGAGGTGCACCCAGCTCCCCGAAGCCCACGGGGCTGCCTCTCCTCCATGACGACACCCACTAGTAGAGGCTGTCTGCACTCAGAGGCTGCAGAAAACAGCAGCCATAAGGCTGGAGGCAGACAGGCTCCTGCGGGACAGCACTTTCTCTGCTCAATAGAAACACAGATGATTTTAACTGTCTTTAATCTGAATTCCCTAAATTTTCAGAAATGTGCATGCAATAACTCTGTAATAAATTTTTAAGTATAAAAAAGTTTTTATGTAGTGATGTTCAGATCCTGCTATAAAACTAAATAAAATTCCCAACAAACAAAACCTTCCAGTAAGATGACCTGTGTTCTGGAGTCTCTGAAACTATCCAGACAGCTGTGAGAGTCCCTCCCATGGCATCCTCTTGGGAGGCGTGTCCCTGAGCCCATCATCGCAGCCATGGGGTGGCGGGTTGGAGGCGCCTGTGCAGCCTTCCTGGCTCCGTGCTGGTGTCCTGTGCACACCCTGAATTCAAACAATGTTTTTCTCCATGTTCATTTTTAGGCAGAAAATCACTTCTATTTCTACATCTGTAGAAAATTTCCTCGCTTTGGGAGGGGCATGCTACCCTGAACGGGAAGGAGCCACCTCTGGCACCCGGGGCCGTGGCTGAGCCAGGGCAGCCCCCAGACGTCAATCCACATTGCACACTAGGCTGAAGGGTGTTTATCTGATTCTTAAGAAGGCCTGACACCACGCACGGTGGCTCACGCCTATAATACCAGCACTTTGGGAGGCTGAGGTGAGTGGATCACCTGAGGTCAGGAGTTCAGGACCAGCCTGGCCAACACAGTGAAACCCTGTCACCACTAAAAATACAAAAAAGGCTGGGTGCGGTGGCTCATGCCTACAGCACTTTGGGAGGCCGAGGTGAGTGGATCACCTGCAGTCAGGAGTTTGGGACCAGCCTGGCCAACATGGTGAAATTGTCTCTACTAAAAATACAAAAAACAAAATTAGCCTGGCATGGTGGCACACGTCTGTAATCTCAGCTACTCAGGAGGGTGAGGCAAGAGAATTGCTTGAGCCTGGGAGGTGGAGGTTGCAGTGAGCCAAGATTGCACCACTGTACTCCAGGCTGGGCGACAGAACAAGACTCCCTCTCAAAAAAAAAAAGGCCTAATATAAGTTGTCGTTTTTTGTTTGCTTTGAGACAGTGTCTGGCTCTGTCGCCCAGACTGGAGTACGCTGGTATGATCTCGGCTCACTACAACCTCTGCCTCCCGGGCTCAAGCAATCCTCCTGCCTCAGCCTCCCAAGTAGCTGGGACTACAGGCACCCACCACCACACAAGGCTAATTTTTGTATTTTTTGTAGAGATGGGGTTTCATCACGTTGCCCAGGATGGTCTCAGACTCCTAGGCTCAAGCAATCCATCCACGTCAGCCTCCCAAAGTGCTGGGATTACAGGCATGAGCCACCACCAACGACTAATATAAATTTGTTTGCCATTTACCCAGTTTGTTTTTTCAATTGCATACTGAACATTTTTGTAACACAAGCTGGGGATAGCAAGATGAGTAAGAAAGAGGTGCTCAGCATGTAATGACTTCTTAAAAATTTCAGATGATACAAAGACAGAAACAAGGGTGCCTAACCTGCATCCTAGTTTATCAAAACTTCACTGATTCCCAGAGTCCCCCAGGCTTGAATACCCACCCTGAGAGCCCCTGGCCCAAAAAGTCTGCGTGCGGTTTTGAGGGAGGTGCAAGTCAAGGTGCACTCAATCGCGGGGGTTAGACAACGCAGAAGCCATCAGCTGGCCTTGCCTACAAGCTATAATGTTTATGATGCACAGCAAACTGAAGCCATCGTCCAAGGTAGGGAAATAAAAGCTTTTTTATGAACCTAGTTAAACAACCTATTTATGTGAGGACGTGACTGACGTACAGCTTAGCATTAAACACTCTGACGTCAGTGAAGAGACCAGCTCCATCAATGTGGTCACATGAGCTGTCCAACAGAGGACAAGAGTTTCGTGTCTTAATTCAAAATGCCCCCAAGTATAACTCTGAAAACATTTCTAGTCTTGTAATCAACATCAGGGTAAAAATCATGTGTTAATACAAAGGTACAGGAACAAAGAATTTGTTCTTCATGGCTCTCTGTGTCTGATCCAAGAGGCGAGGCCAGTTTCATTTGAGCATTAAGTGTCAAGTTCTGCACGCTATCATCATCAGGGGCCGAGGCTTCTCTTTGTTTTTAATTAATTGTTTTTAACTGTGAGTTTATATACACTTGAAGCAGTATACATTTAGAAATGGTCTACTTGTCGTTTCTTTGATTACTACCCATGAGACAGTATTAGTAATTCTGGCCTATGAAATTGGCAAAGAAAACTACCAGTGGTGGGGAGGGTGTGAGGATGGTGGGAACATGAACTGTTATAACCTATAATCGGATGTATCATCAAATTGTCACTGGGCCTCTGACCCACTCCACTTCTCAGAACTTAACAAAAGGGGTGACCGAAGATACACCCAGATAGCCCTGCCTGTACCACAGAAAAGTGGGCACGGCCCCCCAGCACCATCAGAGAAATCTGACAGAGTAAACCAGGACACACCCCTGCAAGAGAGGAGCAGGCTGCAGGCAGCTGCCAAACACAAGCAGCCCCACAGGACCCTATTCCATGGCAGGGAGGAGAGCAGCAAATTTCAAAAGGCAGTGATCCTGCTTTGGCTGTAACAAATAGACACACACCTCCCAATGTAACAGCAGCAGTTATCATCATGCAGTGGGAAGAGGGCTGATTTTATTTTCCCCATTCTTGCTGACCTGTGTTTGTGCTTTTGGACTATCTGACATAAATCTTCATTACTTCTGTATAAAGAAACACACTGACATTCCTGGAAGCCCCAGCACATCACATACAGGAAGCCCACAAAAAGGAAGGTGGCACCTGCTCTTTAAAGTTGGGGTGCACAGGATGGCAGGCTACCAGCGCTCTCGTCCCAGCCCAGGTACCCACGAAAGCATCACTTCTAAGGCTGTCAGACTTGGAGAGTAATCTCCATGTGCTACCTGGATGCGGTTCAGCTCCACGACGGGGCCATGCTGACGATCGCGTACCATAGTTGCTTGTACTACTTTCCGGAAAGCCGCCTCCTAAAACACATCAAACAGACAAAATTTAGAATCTGATATGGAAAGCATCACTCCTGAAGAAATCATCACATAGTTTTGTTTAAAATCTGTGTTGAAGACCTTCTTAAGGACAGAAAACTGCCAGTTCCCTTTTCTCAAGTTGTGAGGGTGCAGGGGAACAGGCTGGCCCCGAAGCACACAGGGACAGACGGCCAGGCAGGTAGTGCCAATGGCCGGGCAAGAGGCAGGTCCCTCAGGAAACTACCTCCACCCAGCAGCGTTCCGGAGGCTGGAAGAGCCCAGCACACACAGGGCACAGAACAGGGAGGGCTGGGCCTGGCAAGCACCTGCTCTGACTCAGGTCTTGAAGTCAAGGTTTCCCTGCCAAGCAAGCCCACCCGTGGCAGGGATTGCTGTTAAACCACTGCCTGCCATACAGCAGCCACGGGCCAGGGAGCACCGCGGAGCCAGCCGGACCTTGGATCGCCACTGCCTGCCATACAGCAGCCACGGGCCAGGGAGCACCGCGGAGCCAGCCGGACCTTGGATCGCCACTGCCTGCCATACAGCAGCCACGGGCCAGGGAGCACCGCGGAGCCAGCCGGACCTTGGATCGCCACTGCCTGCCATACAGCAGCCACAGGGCCAGGGAGCACCGTGCAGCCAGCCAGACCTTGGATCGGGACAGAAAAGACAGACCGGGGAGGGGAACAAGGTCCTGGCTGGGATCACACTAAAAGAAATCGGGAGTGCCTGGGGTGAAGACAGCAGGGCGTGGCCAAACATCAGCACCACAGTGAGGACCCAGCCGTTCCCCAGGAGGGAGCAGGTCGGCCATGCCCGTGGGGAAAGGGCAGAGGATGCGGCACGCAGCCGTGCCAATGGAAAGGGATGAGACAGGTCAGCAGGGGTCTCAGCTCTCTTGGCCAAGGAGGCAATCGTGCCTTCTTTCGGTTAGGGGTGGGCTGTGGGAGCACAAGGGTCCCTCAGTGGAGGCTGAGCCCTTGCCCAGCTCAAAGCCTAAGAACTCCAAGCCCTGAAGGCAGGAGGTGAGGGCCCCAAGCGCCAGAGGAGACCCAGAAAGGGTATCCTGGCGGCACCCCAGCCCCATGCCTCTCGCACAGCCCAGACTCATCCTGCTCCCAGAGGCCCTGCCTGGACCTCAGGGCGGCTCCCCCTCCACAGGAGCACTCCCCTCTCCTCCCAGTCACCAGCCCGCCCACCTTCCTGGAGAGTCCATTTTGGTGCTCTGGACCGGGAGTAGTAACACCCACTCTCTGAGGCCGATCCTCACCATAACCAGGACCAGAACCGAGGCTGCCTACACATTCCCTGACCAGAGGTACCTTTCAGACGCCCTCAGCACTCCCCTGCTCTCCTGCAGCCCCAGCAGGTGCCAGATGCTGCTGCCCACCGCTCCCCTACCACACACCAGCTCCCACCCATGCCCCGCTCACAGCCTGCACAACGCTCACACAGGGCCAGGTGGGACGTGCCCTGCCTCTCACTTTTTTTCTCCCTACAAAGAAAGGTTTTTTTCCTCTGTGCTGCCTATTATCATCACCACTTTGAAGGATTAAAAAAAGAAGGTAAAATTAATCGTTTGCTACTTTTTATTATTGAACAGTAATTGAAATTATGTTTCCTATCCATTTTACCTGCCCAAGATTTCTTCTGCCTCTCTCATCAGAGAGATGGTCTTTCCATTAAACACAAGCCTGACCACTTCCACCCTCAGGCACACGTGAAAGTAAAATGAATGTACCAGTCCTGTTCAGCAGAAATCGTTCTAGCCAAGTGGAAACAAAGCCGGTCTTTAAAAAGTAACCTGCTGGGACAGGACTCCAAAACATTGCAATTTTATTAAATCACTAAGAATGGGCCATAATATTCGACAACAAAATACATTAGAGAATCACAATCAGGATTAGTGGTCCTCAATCCAATTCTATAACTTTTCCCTATACAGAGATGCCCCTACCGTATGGTAATTAGCCCCTTCAAGATCATCTTGTCAAGCTGCTTGCCAGAAACTAACCCAACTTCTAGAAAGCTCCAACTATTAGCAACATCTACAGGTCAAAACCTGCCTGGTGACTTTCAGATGCCCTCACTCATGACTGTATTATTCACCACCTGTTAATTCTCACTTGGCCAGCAATCTCTACACATTCAGGCACGGACCTTCGAGGTGATATATCTGTGACTCCTGGCCCCCTCTGCTGGACATCCTGAGAGAAACAGCCCAATCGCCGGCCTTCCTGTGTCAGTGGGGACTTGCCATAGCCACAAGGCCAGGCAGGCAGAGAAGGACCGCAGGAACAAAGGCTTAGTTTATGAAGGCCCCACCTCATCCTTCTGGAGCAGTGAGAGGCAGAGATTATGAAGGAGAGATGCAGCATCTTACTGTTTGTTTTTAATATAAACTCCAAAAGGGAATAGATTTTTGTCTGTTTTCTCATTGATATAAAGTACCCAGAACAGAGCCTGGCATGCAGGAGGCATTCCGTGAACATTTGCTGAATGAGCTGTATTCTATGTGTTCTATTCCCAGTATAGGAATTCTATTGGGTTACATGTACTGAAGACACCAGTTTCCCCTAGAGCAAAGATTGCCACTTGAATACCTTTCCCTGGGATATCAGAATTCCTCGGAGAGTGTCGAACCCAACAGAAGGCCCGAGTCCAGTTTCGTCGAGCGAGCCTTCCAGGTCGAACATGGGGATGCAGGGGCAGAAGAGCTCGGAGAGGTGGTGCAGCAGCAGCAGACGGTTCCTCAGCGCAATGATGGGGATCTCCTGCAGGTGATTGTACTCCATGGGGACCTAGAACACAGAAATGGCCTTCAGCCCCTCAGGCACCAAAGGCACACGGGGGCCAGTGTGGCATCCATTAAGGATTCTGAAAACAATTGTTTCAAATACAGAGAAGCACTATGGTGTCTGAGTTTGGTTTGCACAACCTCACTGTGCTGCTTTTAAAATAATATTCTGTCCAGTTTGACTGTAAAAAAAATTAGTCTATACAAATAAATTCACTAAGAAATGTGAGGCATGTACTAGCAGAACAGTTTGGTGTGGAAGAGTTTGGTGTGGGTTATAAGATATAGAAGGTGATACACACTGTACACACAGAATATTGGCTGGCATGAACATTAAGGTTCTTTTGAGACAGGGTCTCACTCTGTCACTCAAGTAAGAGGGCAGTGGTGCAATCACTGCAGCTTGGACCTTTCAGACTCAAGTGATCCTCCCACCTCAGCCCTCAGCCTCCCAGGTAGCTGGGACTACAGGTGCATGCCACTATGCCTGACTAATTTTGTAGAGACAGGGTTTTGCTATGTTGTCCAGGCTGGTCCTGAACTCCCGAGTTCAAGCAATCCGCCCACCTTGGCCTCCCAAAGTGTTGGGATTACAGGCGTGAGCCACCACAACCAGCCAAATATCAAGGTTCTTAAATGCACTGTGTGGTTAACATTTACTGAGCCTGAATTATTTTCACCAAGAAGCCTCTGTAAACACACAACGACAGGATGCAGCATGTGACAGGAGCACACTTTGCTTGCCCCCGACCCACCCAACCTGCCCGGACTCACCTGTGCAGGGAGTTTGCCAGCACTGGCGGGCTTGCTGGTCGACCAGGCGAGGGTATGTGCTGAGCCACAGGCCACACGGTTGACCTTCTTACCCTGAAGGGCAGCTACCAACCGAGGCCTCTGGATGGCATTGGTGGTTCCGTCTCCCAGTTGTCCCTCATCATTGTCGCCCCATGTATAAACCTCACCTGAATGAAGTGAATTTAGAATCAGAACCTGTATACTAGGGCCAACAAACGCATGGCTGCCAGTGTCTTCCCACCACACACAGCACCAACGCTCCCTGCCCTTCAGCTGGTGTTGACCTAGTTGTCAACTTTACATATGACCTAGACATGAATGTCTGCTTTAGGTATGACCTAAACATGAATACATGCTAATTACACATCCAAAGAGGCGAGTGTACTTCCCAGGACTCTCCACAGCCCCTGTTGGCCACCAGGCCTCTTCTAGTGAGAGACACACAACTCTGGTCTTAAGCCTCCAACAGTGTTAGTTCTCAGGACTAGGCATGAACAGCAGCAGTTCTCCATCAGAATAATATTAGAACAGATAGCAATATCCCGAACATCCCAAATCCATCTAATATTAAAACACATAGCAATATCCCTAACATTCCAAATTGCTCTTGCATGCGAAACAGAAAAGAAAAAGTCTGTTTTATTTATTTTATACTTTTTTTTTTGAGACAGGGTCTCACACTCTGTTGCCCAGGCTGGAGTAAACTGGCATGATCACGGTTCACTGCAGCCTCAAACTCCCCAGCTCAAGTGATCCTCCCACCTCATCTCCCAAAGTGTTGGGATTACATGCATGAACCACTGTGATGAAGTCTCACTTTGTCGCCCAGGCTGGAATGCAGTGGTGCGATCTCAAGCTCACCGCAACCTCCGCCTCCCGGGTTCGAGCGATTCTCTGGCCTCAGCCTCCTGAGTAGCTAGGCTCACAGGCACGCACCACCATGCCCAGCTAATTTTTGTATTTTTAGCAGAGACAGGGTTTCACCATGTGGGTCAGGCTGGTCTCGAACTCCTGACTTGGTGATCCACCTGAAAATCTATGTTTTTAAAATCAAAACCACAATGTGATACCACCTCACTCCTGCAAGAATGGCCATAATAAAATAAGAATAAAAAAAAATAGATGTTGGTATGGATGTGGTGAAAAGGGAACACTTATACTGCTGGTGGGAACAGAAACCAGTACAACACATTGAGATTTTCCCCCACTAGAGGGCGATAAAAACTAACAACAAGCTATCTGTGAAAACGCGTTGTGATGGAAAGCATTTTCCACGCTCCACTATGGAAAAGTATGGAGATTCCTCAAAGAACTAAAAGTAGATCTACCATTTGATCCAGCAATCCCACCACTAGGTACCTACCCAGAAGAAAAGACGTCATTATTTGAAAAAACACTTGCACACACATGTTTATAGCAGCACAATTTGCAATTACACAAATATGGAACCAGCTCCAAAGCCCATCCATCAATGAGTGGATAAAGAAAATGTGGTATATATACACCATGGAATACTACTAGCCATAAAAAGGAATGAAATGATTGCATTTGCCGCAACCTGGATGGGACTAGAGACCATTATTCTAAGTAAAGTAACTCAGGAACGGAAAACCAAACCATATGTTCTCATGCGATGAGGATGCAACGGCATAAGAATGACACAATGGACTTTGGAGACTCGGGGGAAAGGGTAGGAGAGGAGTGAGGGATAAAAGACTACACATTGGGTACTGTGTACACTACTTGGGTGATGGGAGCACCCACCTCTCAGACATCACCTCTAAAGAGCTTATTCATGTAACCAAACACCACCTGTTCGCCAAAAACTTGTTGAAATAAAAATAAATTTAAAAAATAACATAAAAAAAGAACATGCCGTTTCTGTTCATATCCTAAACATAAGATTCACCATTCGCAAGAATCATCACACTTTTCAGTGCACCGTGTGGGACCTCAACCAAGAAATACCACCGGAAAATATTCTCAGGCAAGGTCCCTGGTGACCAGGATGGAAACAAGGCTCATGTTCTCTGGAGACACCATCAGGATTGTCAAATCCAGAGAGACTCCTCGGGTGTCTGGAAAGTGTGACGCCTGCGTGGTCAAGGGCAGTGTACTTGTCTCCTGCCCCTGCCTGCTCTCCACACGTTGGTCCTAAAGCCACGAGGCGGGTGTCGCACACACAAGGTGAGGAGGGTGTCTCTGCAGACGCAGCTGGGCATAGGGAATGAGTCTGTGAGAGTGAGGAGGGCTTCCACCCAGGTGCTAGCTCTGAGGGGAGTCAGCCAAGACCCCCACATGCAAGGGGAGGAGCCACACAGGGGAGGATGAGATGCTGGTTATGCACGGGGGGAGTGGCCAAATCGCCAGAAAAGAAAGGATCTGCAAGGTTGCCATGAGAAAACTGGAATGAACCCTGTGGATCCAAACTGGACCTGGGGATACTGGTGTGAACTCACAGTTTTCAACAGACATCAAACATAAACCAGGGTATTGTTTACATTACTATTCCCTGGCTTTGTCCACTGAGGAGGTCTGGGGAGCGGTGACGCCTCAATAGCAATGAGCACACCCATCATCCAGACCTTGTCTTCTCAAGGCCATTCTCCTCCACAGATGCCAGGGCTCCTTGGAGAAATGGCCAGGTCGAGGCGTGGGGCATGGCGGGAACAAGTGGAGGCTAATCATCTTCTTCTGCCAGAGCAAGGAAGTACTCCCAGACAACGGGGACACACAAAAAGGGGGCAGAGCCAGCCAAATAGAGCACAACTAGAGCATCAAAATAAATAGACTATATACCCCAATGAATACATTAGGATCCATGATTCCCACTCAGATAAAACAAATACATGAATTGATTCAAAGCTGCATGAGAAAGGAATATTTAAATAGATTCAGGATGTCCCTACTAAATACTTGTTAATTATAAAGAATGTTCGCAGTGAAAAGCATGGCAGACAATGTAACCAAGCAACTGTAGTGAGCATCATCAGCAAGCAGACAAACTGCATGTCACCTGCAAGGATGAACTGTGACGATCAAAGACACACAACCCGAATCTACGCAGAAACATCGCAAAAAATCCAAACAGAAGAATGTGCTACAAAATAACTGGTGTCAAGTTGCAAGAAGCCCAGGAAGACGAGGAAGTGAAACGATGACGCCAGGCACTGAGAGAGTGTCACAGGACAGAGGGTACAGCTTGCCAGCTGACTGGCAGGCAATGTGCTGCAAATGGGCATGGGCGTCAGGCGGGGTGGGGGAGTGTGAACTGGCTGGCAGGACGAGCCTCCCTGTTTGTGGGAAACACACTGAAAAGCTCAGGACGCGGCAGCAGGACAGCAACTCACTCTCATGTGGACTGGGATAAGCAAGTTCTAGGTAATGTACTTCCAACTGGTTTGCTTCCAACTGTGATTTGTCTCAAAATTTAAAAGAATTAAATAAGTCAAATAAAAAGTTCTGGATCAAGAACTACAATGTCCTTCCACTACAGGCCACAGAAGTTGCTCATTCATCCATGAGCCTCTTCCCTCAATGAAATGATTAAAGGGTGCATGCTTATATAATTCACCAAAGGCTTTAACGAGGAGCACAGTTTGTGCGAAGGCCATGTTAATGAAAGATGGCGCCCACGTTTTTCACTGCTGCCATAACACATCCCCACAGCCCGGCTGGCTTAAACAACACACACTTAGGATCCTTTCGCTCTGCAGGTGAGAAGCCCCGCATGGGTCTGTCTCCCTTCCCAGAGGCCCCAGGGGAGAGTTTCCTTGCTCATTCAGACACAGCTCAGTTCTCTGTGGGACTGAGGTCCAGGTTCCTTGCTGGCTGAGCTACTCCCAGCTTCCAGGGGCCACCCCATTCCCCAGCCCTGTTCCTCCACGAAAGCCAGCAACAGAGGGTAGAGAGCTCTCAGACTTTGAAAATCTTTCTACTACCTCTTCAGTCACATCTCTGACTGACTCTTCTGCCTCCTTTTCTGATCAAAGGGTCTGTGTGATTACACTGGGCCCACTAAATAATCCAGAATAATCTCCATATCATCAAGTCAGCTGACTCACAAACTTCATTTGACCTGAAAAGTCCCTTTTGCCATTGTGTTGGGGTTCCCCGGACCGCCCCACGCTCCTGATTCTCCAGCATGACTTACAAGACTCAGCATACACTCCTCCTCACAGTTACAGTGTATTATGGCAAGAGGACACAGAGTAAGACCAGCACAGGGATGGGGACCTGTGGCAAAGCAGTGGGGGAACCAGGAGCAAGCTTCCAGAGTCCTCTCCCACAGGAGCCACACAGGACGAGCTTAACTGCCCCGGCACTGAGCTGTGTCAGGTGCTGTCTGCCGGGAAGCTGGGTAGAGACTCCAGGCCCAGGGTTTCCATCAGGGCTGATCACACAGGCACCCCCTGCCTGGCGCGTACCAAGTTCCAGACCAAGGAAAGCAGATTTCAGCACAGAACATGTCGCTTGTACAGACAGTTCAGGCACAGTGAACCACACCTACCACCTAGGGAACAGGGGATCCCTCCCGAAACCCAGGTTCCCAGACACCAGCAGAGGGCCAAGCCTGCAGCAGGTCTGTCTAAGGACACGTCTCAGGCTGGCTGCTAGCTCTGTTCTGCACAGCCCAGTAATAAGTAATAAATAGAACTCATTCACAGGTTTAACAGCAGGGGCTGAAGATGACAGGGCCAAAGCCCTGCTGACTGCAGATAGATTCTCAGGACACAGTATAAGCCTTTGCCTCCTTTTTTTTTTTTTTTTTTTGAGACAGTCTTGCTCTGTCACCAGGCTGGAGTGCAATGGCACGATCTTGGCTCACTGCAACCTCCACCTCCCGGGTTCAAGTGATTCTCCTGCCTCAGCCTCTTGAGTAGCTGAGATGCAGGCGCGCGCCACCATGCCCAGCTAATTTTTGTATTTTTAGTAGAGATGATGTTTACCGTGTAGGCCAGGCTGGTCTCGATCTCTTGACCTCGTGATCCGCCTGCCTCAGCCTCCCAAAGTGCTGGGGCAACAGGAGTGAGCCACCACACCTGGCCTGTGCCCCCTTTTAAGGCTGCGCATGTCCTTCATGCTCAACCCTCTTAGATTCACAGGCCTCAGTCCTGCGGCACTGAGCCCCTACCTACCATCCTCTGTGCAGCACACACAGTGCAGGGAGCCAGTGGCGATGGCGATGACTTTCTTCCCCTGCAACCCTTGGACCTGCCGAGGCCTTCGAACATGGTCATCTGATCCATGGCCCAACCTGTGATAATCGCCTTTGCCCCTGCACACAAAGGAAGCATGGAAATTATGGGGCAAGGTGATCTCACTGACCACCCTGACCAGCCTCCTGGGCAGCCTCTGCTGTTCAGGACACAACCATAGCCTGCTGCAGAAGCTACATTCCCATCCATGAAAAGGTGGTGCACATACCCCAATAAAAATCTGGTTTTAGTGGGTTTAAACAAACAGAATCTTGCGTACCAGGTATAAACAGCTCCAGATTTGGTAAGGGCAACAGAAAACTGGGATCCGCATTCCACTTTAACTACTCCAAGACCAGTAAGAGAATCAATCTAGAGGGGGAAAAGGTTCAATTAGACAGACAGCAACAAGGCTCCTGCTGACTGCTATAACCACACTGAGATTTAACTAAATCTAGTAAGAATTCTGAAAACTTGTACCCATGATGAATAATTAGTGCAACGTAAAATCATATTCCACTTAATCTCAGCACTCTCAGGAGGCAGGCGGGACCGTGACTGACAGCACACCCGTTGGCACACTGTGGCCCGGTGGGACCCAGCACAGGGCACCAGAAATGGGAGCTTTGCAGGTGAGGCCTGCAAGCCTCTCCCCAGAATGGCCTCCCGCAACCATGCTTCTCTGTGCAGGAGCACCAAACTCCAGCAATCCCTGTGTCTCTCCTCACCTGCCCCAGCCCTCTCAGAGCAGAGGCCCGCGGGGGAGGAGCAGCAGGCAAGGGGAGGGATGGCCAAAAGCACTGGGCCCCACCCACCCTCCACACTGCACACCTGCCAGCCAACTTTCCCTATCCCGCAAGCTGCTCCTC
Organism: Homo sapiens; assembly: GCF_000001405.40. Classification (NCBI taxonomy): domain Eukaryota; kingdom Metazoa; phylum Chordata; class Mammalia; order Primates; family Hominidae; genus Homo; species Homo sapiens. The sequence goes on from NW_011332701.1 coordinate 264,531, forward strand.
ATGACCTCTGTGATTGCTCTCATATGTAAGTTCTTATATTTAATTCTGAACTCAAATTAATTAAAACTGACTTCATTCTCTAAATGAGACAATGTGGTAGGGCTCTAGTGTCTGGCCCTACCACAATGGCATCGGGACGTCCTGCTCCAGCCCCTCTGATGCCCAGCATCCTCAGCCTTGGAAGTGCAAACCCCAGGCTCTTTCCCACAAGGAGGGGCCTCTGACACATGCCACTGATGAGGGTCTGCTCCAGAAGCACCTGTGCCACACCTGCAACCCCACAGCCCCACGAGAGAGGAGGCCAGGCAGAGACAGGTTCGCAGCAACAGGCTCCCAAGTACCCAGCAGAGCACCTGGGCTACACGGCAGTGTGGTGTGCATGCACTGAGGTCACTGAGAAGCATGTGCAGGACCTGAACCACGTACCAGCCACCCATTCACAAGAGCAAAAGACATTCTGGCAAAGATAAGAAATCGCCTGCAGCCACCGGGCTTGAGTGGAGCAGAGCCGCCGACCCCACCAGGACTGCAGGACTCAGGCGCTGTGCAGGCCTTGCTCTCGCTCCTCACAGGACACCCACCTGAGATGGCCCCGGCTAACCCAGATGCAGTCCCTTTAGCAAGCACTGGCACCCCCAAGCGCGTGCCGTGGCAACTCCACACCACTGTAAATTGAGAGAGTGTGAGCCATGTGATATCCTTCTCTGAGACAGGCCTACATGCTATAAACCAGGAGGCTCCACGGTGCCCGGATGATCCCATCCACTTCTCAAGAGAACGCACACAGCACATAGAACACCTTACTCCCTCTAGGCCCTCCACACACTTTCTAGCCAATTACCCATTATATTTACTGGAACGAAGGTAAAGAGGAGGTTAAAGTGCTCCTAAGGAGCACACACGGGGGACAGTAATGGTGGCTCTGAGGCTGTGTTTTCCCAGAGGGGCCCTGGGGGCCCCTGACTGCGGTGAGCTGGGAGAGCACTGGGCAGGGAAAGAATGGGAAATACCTTCATAGGCACTTTACAGCCATCGCTGCCTCCCCGGCCGAGCTTGCCGTAGTCCCCGTCCCCCCAGGACCAGACAGTGTCGTCATCTGTGAGGCAGAGGGTCTGGGCATCTCCACTGCCACAGGCGATGTCAACCACACGGTGGCCCTGCAGCGCCTCCACCTTCAGAGAAAAGGGACTTGGGTTGGCCAAGCACAACACAAGAAGGCTTGCCACAGGACTGGCTTCACAACACTGCCATTCTTTTTTTATGGGGGTACCTGTTTTAAGCCTTTACAAAGAGGTGATTTCTAAAATCCTATAAGACAAAAGAGAAAGCACCTTCATCTATTTGAACTACATGCATCTAAACCGCAGGAGGAGGTATCAGCGTCTTTGATGAGCCAACCCTACATCACCATGAAGGCTGTTTATTCACTTCTTGCACCCAAAAATACAGTGGGCCTTCTAGAAGCCAAAGCATTTTTCATAACAACGGTGGCAAACCGCCCCCATCTGACAGCAGCAGTGAGGAGCATGCAGCCTCTGGCCTCTGCACACGGCGCCTCCTCACCAGCTTCGGCTTCAGCTGGTCCTCACTGTCGCTGTGCCCCAGCCGGCCGTAGCGGCCTTTGCCCCATGTGTAGAGGTCCCCGGCTGCTGTGACACAGGCGCTGTGGGCTCCGCCAGCAGCAACATCGACCACTTCAATTCCTCTCAGAGACTCGATGACACGAGGGCGGTCACACGGACTGCAAAAAAGTCACCAAATATAATGGAAACACATTTTTATTCTTAAACATTTTTCAGTGTATTAAATACCTCTCAATCTACACCTTCCTAATCAGTTAATTGTTAAATCAATCAAGAAGAATCATTCAGACCTAAACTCAAAAGGTCACCACTTCCTATCTCCTTCCTGTACAAGGCCAGAGGACACGGCTTCCCCAGCTCTGACTCAGAGGCTGGAAAGTGACCACACATACTGGGTCAAGTTCGAAGCACAGACCATTTTTCAAAGGCCTATGAGCTGAGAACAGGTTTTACATTTTAACGGGTTTAAAAAAAAAAAAAAAGAATCATATGCAACTCCTAAAATAGTTACCATCTGGCCCTATAAGGAAAGTTTGCACCTCACCCCCACTATGAATTAACAATTCATTTAAGGAGTTTTAACATATGAATGTCACTAGTCTATAACATAGTGACTACTGATAACAAACTTTTTGTTTTCTTATTAAGTTCTGAAAGAAGTTCTTTATATATTTTGGCTATCAGACCTTAGTCAGATTATATGATTGTGAATATCCTTTCCCAGCTTGTGGTTTCAATCTCTTCATAGTGTCTTTTGAAGAACAGTTCATAATTTTTATGAAGTCCAAGTTATATTTTTCTTTCATGAATCATGCTTTTGGAGTTCAATCTAAAAATCTTTTCTGACCTAAAGTCACAAAAATTTTCTCATGTTTTCTTCCAGAACTTTTAAGTTTTACATTTTACATTCTACATTCATGACTATGGTTCATTTTGAATTAATGTTTGGATATGGTGTAAAGTATGAATTTAAGTTCATTTCTTGCCATAGGTTATCCAATTATTCAAAACCACTTGTTGAAAATAGTATATTTTCTCCAGTGAACTGGCTGTGCACTCGTATAAACTGTGCACTAGAAACTGTGAGAAGTCCAGTTTCATTTTTCCACACTCATCTTGTCAGCATTTGCCAGCCGGTTTCTGGATTCCCTATTCTGCTCCATTGATGTATCTGTCTCTCTCTTTTTGCCAGCACCAAGCCATGCTGTTTACTGCAGCTATAAATGAGGCTTAAGTCAGGTAGTGCAAGTCTTCCGACCTTTTCCTCATTTTCAAAGTTGATTTGACTATTCTAGGCCATCTGCATCTCCATATACATTTTATGCTCCGCTTATCAATTTCTATACAAATCTTGATTGGGAAGGTGTTGAATCTATAGATTTGAGGATAGCCAGCAAATTAACAATACTGACTCTTCTGCTCCATGAACACAGCATGCCCCTTCACGACTTTAGGTTTTTTAAAAATTATCTCAGCAATACTTTGTAGTCTTCTGTCTACAGGGTCATTCACATTTTTGGGTCAGATTTATCCCATAGTTTTTCAATTCTGGGAGAGGGTATTCTAAGTGGTATTTTAAAATTTCACTTTCTGGTTACGTATATGTATACGTATAGATGTACAAGTAACTTTTATTTATTGATCTTCTATCCCGCAACACTGCTAGCCTCACTTATCAGTTCTAGCAGCTTTTTGTAAATACCACCAGGTTCTCTGCATAAACAATGTTTTCTGCAAAAAAGACAGTTTTAATTCTCTTTACAATCTAGATGCCTTTTATTTCTTTGCACTGCTGTACCGCACTTACTAAACCTGTTGCACAATGTTGAAGAGAAGTGGTGATAGCAGACATCCTTGCCTTGATCCTCAACTCAGGGGGAAAGCTTTTGGTCTGTTGCCATTAACTACAACCTAAGCTCTAGGTTAACAGAGATGCCCTTGATCAGGTAAAGGAAGAGACCTCTTACTCCTAGACTACTCAGAGTTTTTATCAGAAATGGATGTTGGAGTTTGCCAAATTATTTTTTCCTCTTTTTTTTTTTTTTTTGAGATGGAGTCTCGCTCTGTTCCCCAGGCTGGAGTGCAGTGGCGCAATCTCGGCTCACTGCAACCTCCACCTCCCGAGAAGCTGGGACTACAGGTGTGTGTCACCACATCTGGCTAATTTTTTTCTATTTTTTGTAGAAATGGGGTTTCATCATGTTGCCCAGGCTAGTCTTGAACTCCTGAGTTCAAGCAATCTGCCCACCTCAGCTTCCCAAAGTGCTGGGATTACAGGCGTGAGCCACCACGCCGGACCTGTTTAATATATTTTATATGGTGGTTTAGTTATTCCTAGGATAAGAAGGCCCCTGTTACTCCAATCTGGCTGGTAGTTCTCATTAATTTTTTAATACTTGTGAGTTTGGTTCATTCTTTTACAAATGGTGTCAATTGTGCGTTCTTTCTTCCTCACCCCTGCTATTTCCTCTGTATTTGCAGTTCTAGTATCATGCACGTTACACAAAATGCCAAACGTGATTCAGTGGATGATTTAAGGGAGAAGGACAAAAAAACACTTACTTAGTACTTGTCATCAAAAACACAGAATTGACTTTTTTTTCCCTCTCAACAGAGGAATCATACGGGTAAGCCTTCGTATTGGAACATAAAACTATTTCTGCCAAATGAGTCATTAACATTATTTAGTTTGAGAGTAATGTAAATGTTGCCTTGAAAAACAAAGCGCCAATAGATTGTAGCAGCATTAAAACAAACAAAAACAAAGACAAATAGAATGTTGAAATAATTTTTTCACATCATACCTTCTGTTGCCATGCCCCAACTTCCCATCTTCTGCCTCACCCCAAGAGTAAACTTCTCCTTCTGAAGACAGGGCAAGGCAGTGCTTTCCTCCAGAGTTCACAGCTACTTTCTTAATAAACACATGCTGAATGGATTCAAGCAATGTTGGGGTGGACACCGACTCTGTCCCTCCAATGCCTAGTCTGCCACCTGCACCATACCCAGTGGCATACAGCTAAGAAAAGAAAAAGCAATAGTAACATCAGTTTTTAATCTCAATATCCCCTAAATTTACTAATTCATAAACCTAATCCATGCTTTAGACATTTTTACCACATAGAAATAAAATTTAAAGTTAAAAATCTCAGGAATATAAGTTTATGCCTTTATACATGCTCTATCAAAGTTCTAGAAATGAAATAAAAACATGACTATTAGAAATTCCAAATTCAGAAAACATATTGTGAAAATAAGGTCTTCTTGCTGGAAGCTCTTCCATTTTTGTGTAGAATACCAACTACAATTAACACCAAGAAAAATAAAAAACAATTTAATTATCTACTATATGCAAAACTCTGACAATAACAGCCACAAAACATACCCATAAAAGAACACAAATACATTTTAATATTTCAGCAGGGCAGCATATAAACCACACGGGAAAAAAACACCTTTTTTTTTTTTAATCTAAGTGGGAATGTTTTAGGACACAAAACATCTATGATTAATTTTAAAAAATGATTAATTTAAAAACATACACACACTAAATCAGACTGCCGTTTTCCAAATGAAGGCAAACATCCCTCCTGATAAAAACTTAAATGCTGTTCCATGCTGTTTTAGACATCTTTCAAACGTGCTGCTACGCTGACATAATAGTAAGGAAGCCACAAGGGCCAATGCAGGAAGTGAAACCCAAACTCAGGTGGATAAATGAGCCCCACACCCAAAGCCAGCTTCTGGCGGGGAGGGTGTGAGGCTCTCTGGTGCACAGGGTGCAGGGTAATGCAGCATGCCTCCCAGGACTTCCTATAGAAAGTGGGGCTCCAAAGGGTTGCCCCTCAGTGACTGTGAATAAGAAGAACACCACAGAAAGCTGCCCTTCCCAGCCTCAGCACTGAAAGGGAGACAGAGGCTTGCTCCTGAGAATTCATAACTACAACAGGAGTTGGCAAATTATGGCCCATGTGCCAAATCAGGCCCATCATTTCTTTCTGTAAATGAAGCTTTACGGGAACACGGCCACACCCACTCATTTATAATATGTCCAGGGCTGCTTTTGTAGTCGCAACAGAGACCATATGGCCCAAAGCTGAAAATACCATTGTGCCCTTTACAGAAAGTGTTTACCAACCCCTACCCTAGAAAAAGGACAAAATGAAGATATTTTGAAACAAACAATCAGAATTAACCAACGAAAGAATTTCACTAAAGTAAATTGAGAAAGATATGCTAAAGGAGAAGGAAATGATTTTATAAGATCTGAGACATAACAAATGATGGTAAGAAATGATAGTAAGCAAAGATGTGCAACATTTAGCTAACTCAAAAAAAAAAACCACAGTCCATATAAAACAACCAAAACAACAGCAATAATGTCTATGGCAGAGGGGAATAGGTTAGAACCCAAACACTGGGTAACAAGGGGTCACTGATTGGGAGGAGGGGAAAATACTAATTAACTTTAGGTTTTTAAGTACCTATGTTAAAATAACCAGAGAAACAATGAAAAGAAACAGAATTCTCCTGAGAATTGACACAGAGGGGCTATATTTCAAACCTTTTTATGAGGCTAGACCACTTCAACACCTGTGCTAGCAGTCTGCCTCTGATACGGTTCACAATGATCCCTGCTTCTAAATATGTGTGCTCCTGTATACAGGCACACCCCATTTGACTGTGCCTCGCTTTACTGTACCTCGCAGATACTGTTTTTTATAAACTGAAGGTCTGTGGCAACCCTACACTGATCAAGTCTATCGGCGCCATTTTCCCAAAAGCATGTGCTGACTTACCGTCGCTATGTCACGTTTTGATAATTCTTGAAATATTTTAAACTTTTTCATTATTTTATCTGTTATGATGATCTGTGATCAGTAATGTTTGATGTTACTGTTGTACTTGTTTTGAGGCACCACAAACCACACCCATAGAAGACGGTGAACTTAAATGATAAATGTGTATGTTCTGATTGCTCCGCCAACCAGCTGTTCTCCCATCTCTCTCCCTCTCCTCAGACCTCCCTATTATGTCCCTGAGACACAACTTATTGAAATAAGGCCACTTAATAACCCTACAGTGGCCTCTAAGAGTTCAAGTGAAAGGAAGAGTTGCATATTTCTCACTTTAAGTCAAAAGCTAGAAATGATTAAGATTAGTGAGTAAGGCACACTGAAAGCCAAGACAGGCTGAATGCTAGGCCTCTTGCACCAGTTACCCAAGAAAAAGTTCTTGAAGCACAATTAAGTGCAATTCTTGTAAACACACAAATGATGAGAATGCAAAACAGTCTTATTGCTGATATAGAGAATGTTTGGCATAGACAGAAGATCAAAACGGATACAATATTCCCTTAAGCCAAAGCTAATCCAGAGCTTGCTAACTGTCTTCAATTCCACGAAGGCTAACAGAGGTGAGAAGGCTGCTGAAGGAAAGTCTGAAGGTAACAGAGATTGGTTCCTGAGGTTTAAGGAAAGACGCCGTCTTCATAACATAAAAGTGCAAGGGAAAGTAGCAAGTGCTGATGTAGAAGCTGCAGCAAGTTACCCAGAAGATCTAGCCAAGATCAGTGATGAAGGTGGCTACGCTAAACAACAGGCTTTCAACGTAGATGGAACAACCGTCTATTGGAAGAAGATGCCAGCTAGGACTTTCATAGCTAGAGAGAAGTCAATGTTTGCCTTCAAAGCTTCAAATATTTTGTTAGGGGCTAATGCAGCTGATGACTATATTAGTTGAATTCACTGAAGTCAATGCTCATTGACCATTCTGAAAATCTTAGGGCCCTTAAGAATTATGCTAACTCCACTCTGACTGTGCTCCAGAAATAGAACAAAACCTGGAAGTCAGCACATTTGTTTACAGCATGGTTCACTGAATATTTTAAGCCCACTATTGAGGCCTACTGCTCAGAAAAAAAGATTTCTTTCAAAACATTACTGCTCATTGACAATGTACCTGGTCGCCCAAGAGCTCTGATGAACATGTACAAAGAGATTAAAGTTGTTTTCATGCCGGCTAACACATCATTTTTTCTGCAGCCACATGGATCAAGGAGTAATTTCGACTTTCAAATCTTGTTATTTAAGAAATACATTTCATAAGGCTATAGCTGCCATAGACAGTGATTCCTCTAACGGATGTGGACAAACTAAATTGAAAACCTTCTGGAAAGCCAGCACCATTATAAATGCCATTAAGAACATTTGTGATTCATGGGAGGAGGTGAAAATATCAACATTAACAGGGATTTGGAAGAAGTGGATTCCAACCCTCACAGATGACCTTGAGGGATTCAACACGAGTGGAAGAAGTGACCTCAGATGTGGTGGAAACAGCAAGAGAACTAGAATTAGAAGTGGAGTCTAAAGATGTGACTTAATAGACTATAGTACTTTTATATCCACTGGGAAACCAAGAAATTTGTGTGACATGCTTTGTGAAGACACTTGCTTTATTGTGTTGATTTAGAACCAAGCCTGCATATCTCCAAGCATGCCTACAGCTCCCTCTCCCTGAGTGTGGGCTGGACTTAATGACCTGCTTCTGATGAGCAGAATAGGGCAAGAACTGGAGTGTGGTCACTTCTGTGATTCAGTTACACAGGACCGGGGCTCTGTCTCCTCCACTCTCTCTTGCTGGTGCTCCCTCCTGCGCCTCCCTTGCTCTCGCTGACAGAGTCAGCTGCCACCCTGTGAGACGCTCTATGGACACGTGGCAAAGGGCTGAGTGAGGGGAGGCTCTGCCAACAGCTCATAAGGGACTGAGGCCTCAGCCCAAAGTTCCATGAGGGACTGAATCCTTGCTCGGACAGCCTCAAGATGACTGCAGCCTGCTGAGATTCTGAGCTGGAGGACGGAGCTATGCTGCATCCAGAGTCCTGACCCAGAGAAACTATGAAATAATAAATGTGTGTGAGACAGTACATTACATGAGAGTATCTCACTCATGAATAGGATCTCCCAAAAATCTAAAACAAAACTATCACAAACACAAGCCAGATACATATCCTGACCAAACTGGATCTATCCAAAGAATGTAAGTTTGTTTAATATGAGAAAACCAATTAATCCAACTGGCTATACTAATCCATTAGAAAACACTGGCCGGGCACGGTAGCTCATGCCTGTAATCCCAGCACTTTGGGAGGCCAAGGTGGTCGGATCACAAGGTCAGGAGTTCAAGACCAGCCTGGCCAATATGGCGAAACCCCATCTCTACTAAAAAAAAAAAAAAAAGAAAGATTAGCCAGGCGTGGTGGTGGGCGCCTGTTGTCCCAGCTACTCGGGAGGCTGAGGTAGGAGAATCGCTTGAACCCAGGAGGCAGAGGTTGTAGTGAGCCGAGACTGTGCCACTGCACTCCAGCCTGGGCGACAGAGTGAGACTCTGTCTCAAAAAAAAAAAAGAAGAAGAAGAAAACATCTATGAAAGAACATTTCAAAACACGTAGAAAGAGTGTTGAACAAAAATCAGTGTCCACTGTTGACTAGAAACAGAAGGAAACATGCCTAATCTGATCAAGGGCTTCTACTCAAACCCCACTGGAAGCCTGGGAACGCTCCATCTGCACCCGCTCCAGTCTTGATCAAGGCAGGAGCCTCCACCCACTCCTACCCAGAATCACACCGCAACCCCAGCCTGCACCATGAGCTCCCATTCTCCCACACAAACGGGAAAAATAAAAGAGAGGTAGGCTAGACAGAAAGGAACAGCATTCATTTAGAGACTACGGCACTCTATAAAGAAGATACAAGAAATCTTCACATATACTAGAATGGAGACAGTCAAGTAGGTCACCAAACATAAAGTCAATATATAAACATCCAATATTTCTATATATCAGTGGCAATCTTTTTTTGGGGGCGGAGACAGAATCTCACTCCGTCACCCAGGCTGGAGTGCAGTGGTGTGATCTCGGCTCACTGCAACCTCCATCTCCCGGGTTCCAGTGATTCTCCTGCCTCAGCCTCCCGAGTAGCTGGGATTACAGGCACATGTCACTGAGCCTGGCTTATTTTTGTATTTTTCGTAGAGACAGGGTTTTCCTATGTTGGCCAGGCTGGTCTCGAACTCCTGACATCAGGTGATCCACCCACCTTGGGCTCCCAAATTGCTGGGATTACAGGCATGAGCCACCGCACCGGGTCAGCAGCAATACATTTTTTAAAAGATAGTATTTACAATAGCAAACAAGAAATACATCTAACGAGTGATGTGCAAATAAAAATTGTAATACTTTTGCATACATGACGTATTTTCAAAATAAAAATAAAAATAAATTGGCCGGGCGTGGTGGCTCATGCCTGTAATCCCAGCACTTTGGAAGGCCGAGGTGGGTGGATCACCTGAGGTCAGGAGTTCGAGACCAGCCTGGCCGACATGGTGAAAACCTGTCTCTACTAAAAATACAAAAGTTAGCCAGGTGTGGTGGCGGGCGCCTATAATCCCAGCTACTTGGGAGGTTGAGGCAGGAGAATCACTTGAACTCAGGAGGTGGAGGTTGCAGTGAGCCGAGACCACGCCATTGCACTCCAGCCTGGGCAACAAGAGCAAAACTGTCTTAAACTTTTTTTTTTTTTAATTTAAAGATTATACAAAAATATCTTAGAACTCTAGCTGCTTCCTGCATACCACAGTATCATTAATCCTGAGAAACGTTTTAGTACAGATCCTTGCACGTGCTAAGAACCACACAGCACCTTTAGCCACAACTGCCTCAGGCTCAATGACCTTGTGACATAGAAAAAGAGCTCTTACCTTCCCATCAGCCGTCACAGCAAAGAGGGTCTGTTCCCCTCCGATTAACTGCACGGGTCTGAGAGTTGCAAGGGCTTCACAGGGAGTGGGAACTTTGACTTTTGCGCCTTCAATGCCCCCGAGCTGGCCCCTGTGATTATGTCCCCATCCATAAATTGTTCCACTGCCACCAGCAGAGAGAGTCCAGTCATCTGGTCGCCTACAATACACATCAAGTGAGCATTTGCCATGGGCAAGAACAATGCACACAGCCTCTCACACTCACGATCGACATTACTGCTTGTTTCTAATATAATAACCTGTTCATCCACTGCACAAGTTGTTCGTCTTGCTCTCTTTTAAAAATGTCATGGCTCTCATGCAGAACATCCATGTTTTCGCTGTCTGCCATTAATTCACGAATTTTCTTAGCCACCTAAACAAAATTATTATGATGTTACAAATCAAACACTTATCTCAAACAAAATAGATAAATACTAAGGAAAGACAGAAGGAATCCCTGCCTAAAAATATGAGGGAAGAGCAACATTGCAATGTTATGGTTCATGGGCAAAACCAATAATGACTGCATCAAGTCTAACATATTAGAAATGTCTAGACAGTATCATTCTACCTGTAGTTTACTAAAAATAAACTTTAACTGAAATTCACAGTGTCAGTTCACTCATTTTCACCTATGTGTTATTTTCTTTGATATTCCTTGGCAAGCGAAATTTTTCTGTGTCTCGTAATATTGGCATCTTGTTACACTATAGCTAAATAATGTTTTTGCATCCCAAAAGTGATTCCAAAATATCATGCAATACCTCATCAAGAAACAGACGGGGCAACGGTGTTCTTTTGTCAAGGGCCACAGCAACACGGGAGGCCATGCAGTACCTCCGGAACCAGGCCCACTTGTGCGTCTCGGCACAGCAAGGCAGAGTGTCCAGCTCCAGGTCACAAGCAAGAGCTACCAGTACCTGCAGGCACCAAAAATGACAAACTCAGGGAAACTCAGAAATGCAGTGAACAGGCCAAGGTTTCTGTGGCTCCTTCCGCAGGACCTCCTATTCCAGGATGACGGCCATGGGCACAGCAAGGATACGGCCACCATCAGTGATGTGGCGACCTCTGACAGTTCCTAGCCACGTGCCACACAACTGCTGCAACACTTGTTGCCTGCATCAAGTGACAAGAACACCTGTGCATCTCAAGGCATGCTAACGGTTACAGGCTTATGGTTTAAGGGTTTAGATTACACGATCATTTCTTGAGATTTTTTCATATTTGACTTCAGCAATACCTACAGCTGCCCTCAGAGGCCTAAAACACACACACTGCACATGACAACTCTCAGTGGCTCTTTCAGTCAAATAGCTCTATTGTCACTTTAAAAAAGAAGTGAAACATTACCTTAAAGAATGGGCTGTGGAGCAGCTGTTTGCCACCCCTCACAATAGGATCTTCATATTCAAACTGCCTTTGCAAAGCTTCTGGAAGACCTTTCACCAAAGCAGCAAGAGCACTACCTGTAAAACTCTAAGAAACAACAGAACAGTATTCTATCGCAGGAATCCAGGTGCCGGGGAGGCTGACCATTTGTTTCTACCGTCAAATGTTTTATTATGTTGGTACTAACTCTTCTAAAAAAACTAAAAAAAAAAAGCTTATCAAAATTCTCAAGTAGGAAAAAAGCTAAAAGAACATAAACACTGAAATAAAAAAGAGGAGTTTGAAGACTCATCTCAGAATGTTTGGTCTTGATTTCAGTACATCCGCTTCCAGAGAAATAGCCCCTCTCTGGCCCACAAACGCTGCCTGTCTCGTCCCATGGGTAGGATCAAAAGGGACTACTTTAGTCAGCAAAATAAAGGGGAGGCCAATCAGTTAGCCTCATTGTAAAGTCCAATCAACACAATCCTATGTTCACAGCTGTCGAGACAGATTTTCAGAATATCAAAGTCCAACTTGAACTCAGTATACACTGCAACATACGAGAAGTCTGGATGGGACAAAGGCCTCCTTATTTTTATTCATTTATTTATTTTTTTTGAGATGGAGTCTCGCTCTGTCACCAGGCTGGAGTGTAGTGGCGGGATCTCAGCTCACTCCAACCTCCACGTCCCAGGTTCAAGCGATTCTCCTGCCTCAGCCTCCCAAGTAGCTGGGACTACAGGTGCCCACCACCACGCCCATCTAATTTTTTGTATTTTTAGTAGAGTCAGGATTTCACCGTGTTAGCCAGGATGGTCTCGATCTCCTGACCTCGTGATCCGCCCACCTCAGCCTCCCAAAGTGGTGGCATTACACGCATGAGCCACCGCGCCCGGTCCAAGGCCTCCTTATTCTTATGTGAAACTCCCCAACTCCTCTCAACGATTTAGAGGTTTAGACTACTAAAGCAACATTTTATTCCCCAAGGGTCACAAATCTAGAAATTGTACTAGAATGCTCCATACCAAAGCTCTTGTTTCCCCATCATTTTCTCCAAGCAGCCTATTTATGTTAATTGACTGCCCAAATTCAGTTGTAAGCAGCTTCCTCAGTCTCTGAAGGGCCCACATTCTGTGACTGGCAGCTGAAATGAGCAGAGAGAAAGTATCAGAAGTCTGATGGTTTCTTCCAAGCAGGAAGACAGATGTAACTGTAATGGTGGCATTTACCTAGGGCACTCAGCTGTGCACAAGCTGCCAGCGAGGCCGCAAGGCGAGGGACGATGCTTCTGTTAGAGGCAAGGTTGAGTCGGAAGTCTAACAGACACGTCACCAAGTCCATGGATGGACAGGAGAGGACGCAGCGGTCAGAGAGGAGTTCTTTAGGGCCTGTGAATGAACACTGTAAACATCCCCGGGTTTCACAAGCTAGGTACCACCCCATAAGAAGCCGCCAACGAACAAGGGTGGCTCCACCCAGCCCCACCCACCAGAAGGCAACAGCTGGTGTGCCCATGCATGCCACTGCGAGTCGGTGAGACTCGCTCTTCACACTCACATTTCCACTGTAAACCAAAAGCCTAAGAACTGCACCAGCAACAACTCCTTCCACACCAGGTGAGGAGGAGTGTGAGCCTGACAGCTGGATGGCTGGGACAGATCTGTGTTCTGTTCCACGCCTCAGCAGGGCCTGTGAGAGCACTCACTCCAACACAGCAGAAGGCAGGCTGTCAGGCACTACGTGGACATGTGCACGTGTCCCTGTTGCTCCAGAAACAATCCACAGCCAGTCATCTAACCTTGATCGCCATAAGCCCCTTCCTTACCAGCAGCTGGCATGATGGGATAGACGGTGAAGCGCCAGCCCCAGCCATTCACAGACCCATCGCTGATGAACTTCCACTTTAACTCATCCCCTGGGATGCGCAGCTCGCTGGACCAGTCGGACCACTCTCGGCCTGCGGGAGGAAAGCGCACCCCGGGGTTAGCTTCACTCCATCATCCAATCAACACAAACCTTCTTAGACGCAAAGCAGAATGATTTCCGTCACGTGTGAAGAGCAAGTTCCTCCAATCCAAGCTCTCCCAAGCCGAAGTGCACAGTGACACAACACTCTTGGGATTCACATTTTAATACATACCATTCTTCAGCAAACACGCATTCAGCCCCTGTACCAGGTACCCAGGAAACTGCGGCAGGCGGGCAGACACTGCCCTGGCAGAAGCCACCACCCAGTGGGGAAATGACCCCACCAGCCAGGATACAGTGAGTGGCCTCCAGGTGTCCAGCACACACCAGGCCAGGGGCCATGGGGACATTTCCCGGGAAAGCTCTGATACAACCAGGTGACCAGGCAGCAGAAGGAAGAACCCTAGCTCTCCCAACAAAAGGCCTATGTGTGTGGTTCAGCACGGCCCAGAGTAGGCCGCCCTCGAGGGAGCAGAGGGCCTGGCTGCTGTGGACAGGAGCGGTGGTGTACTACACCTAAGATCTACAGGATCTTAGAAGGCCAAGAGAACCCTGCCAGATTTCTGCTTCAGAAGGACCATCTGCCAGCAGCTCAGGGATGGCCCATAAAGGCTTTCCACTGGATGCAGAAAAACTCACATCCAACAACACTACTGAAAACTACACTGGCAGACATCTGTCAAAGCACCAGAAAAACCCACGCGCACTGGGACCATACCATTTCATGCAAAGCTTTACTTAACTAAGTAACACTGTGTGAATAAAGTTTTCCTGGGACACAGCCACGCCCATTCTCTGGCATCCAGTCTGCATGTTGTTATGACAGAGGCTGCATTACCTGGCCCTTTACAGGAAACACTCGAGATGAAGGATAAAGAGGTCTTAAAAGGTGCATACACACACCCCTGCACTGCCAATTCTAAAATACTTGGTAAAAGAGCATTTCACAAGCACCCAAAGACGGACCTGACCTGTCCCAGCTGGCCTCATGGAGCCCAGCAGCAGAGATAAGCCGGACATGTGGCTGCCTCCACCTACATACAGAAGTCACTCCACACATGGCCATGCCCTCACTGCAGCCAGTAAGAAACAAACCTTTTGAAGAAGCTCTGCAGTATGCCAACCATGACCTTACACGAGCTCTGGCACCTCACACGTCTCCAGCACCTTCTGCAACTGTCTGATGAGGCAGGGCCCATCCGACAGGGATGTGGTACATACATCACAGATAATTACTGTATTTAAAAGTATGGGAAAGAGGCAAGCAAACCCACTGTGTTTCACAGCTGAATAGCATATTGTCCCTTCCTTAAGACTTCCATGAGAATACGAAGGCAGCATTCTGTCCTACAAATGTGAAGGGTTGTGTCTACGGAGACACAGGTGGGTAGATCATGCCCTGCTCAACCTCCTGTCCTTACCTGACCGCACGGAGACGATCCTGTTGACGCCGTCCATGACTGTGAGAGGGTCGTGGCGCCTCTCTGTGGAGCACTGCCGGTCAAATTCTACCCTGAGTCCTTCTGCACCTGAAGGACAGGCAAGCACAAAACATAGCAACCACTCCAGATCAGCACCCAAAGTAGAAACAGTGAAACTAAAACCACATTTAACAGCTAATGAATAGCAGAAAGTCAGAAAGAACTGGCCTCAAAGACAAGCATCTCAGACTGACCACTCTTTCCCCAGCTCATCCCCACTGAAGATCATGTCTGTGGACTGGAAGGCCAGAAAACACTTCCACTTGGCCAATTTGTTTTGTGCGGTCACTCCCGGGCAGACTTTCCTACTGCAACCACACTCCCCTGATCAAGCTTTACAGCGAACATCACACTGACCAGGGGCTGTGGGAATGCCCAGTGTGCAGCCAAGTCAGATGGCAGCTGTGGGTCACCTGGGGAGTGAGCGGCATTGGAGGTGAGGAGCACCTCAACTTCTGGCGTGTCCAGAGAACTGGAGAACCGCTTGGTGTGGAGAACCCGCACATCTGGTGTGAGAGGTGTGCGAGCAGAGGCACAAGAGTTTTCCTTCAGGCTGGAAGATCTAGCAGAGGATGGCACTGAGAGGCCGGGAAAGAGGCAGGGGAGGAAGGAGGGAAGAAGGAGGGACGTGGGGCAGGGGCTCAGGTCCTCTCTTACGGTTACAGGGTTGACAGGCTTGGACTGGTTTTAAGATACTATCTCTGCATGCTCTGTTGGGAGCTGATTCTGGGGGGGCCGCAGGAGGTGGGGAGTGGAAGCAGGAACACAGGGAGGCAGCTAGTATGTGGTTGCTAGGATGATAAACTGGGTGAGACCCCACGGTGCTCTAGCCCAGAATGTCTAGAGTGAGGGAAAAATGGTTGAATTTGGAATATATTTTAAAAGCAGAGAAAACAGGATTTGCTGGTGGACTAGATATAAAGCGAGAGAGAAACAGAAGAGAAAAAGGGTCACAAGATTTTCGTCTAGGAAAAGGCTGACTAGAAATACCCTTTGTTCTTTAAATTTCTATCATGAAGTAATAGCTTCAAGTTTAAAAATGCTTTTCTGGGCCAGATGTAGTGGTACACTCCTGTAATCTTAGCACTTCGGGAGGCCGAGGCAGGCAGCTTGTTTGAGCTCAGGAGTTAAAGACAGGCCTGGACAACAGGCTATATATTTTATTATATATTATATATTTTAAAATATAAAATTTTAAAAATTAGCTGGGCACGGCCTATAGTCCCAGTTACTCAGGAGGCTAAGGAAGGGGGATCGCTTGAGCCCAGAGTTTGGGGCTGTAGTGAGCCACGATCGTGCTACCATACTCCAACCTGGGCGACAAAGTGACAAAGCTTTTCTGAATCTCACACCTCATTCTAAAAGTTGAAGAAAAATGATTTCACAAAAAAAGTGAGTGAGATAAAAGTATAAGACCAAATACAATAAAAAGTTATTGTTAGAAAAAGGGAATAGGCTGGGTACAGTGGCTCACACCTGTAACGATCTCAACACTTTGGGAGGCCCAGCTGGGAGGACTGCTTGAGCCCAGGAGTTTGAGACAAGATTGGGCAACACAGAGAGACTCATCTCCACAAAAAATAAAAATAAGTTAGCCAAGTGTGGCAGCACAAGCCTGTAGTCCTAGCTTCTCGGGAGGCTGATGGGGAAGGACGGCTTGAGCCTGGGAGGTCGAGGCTGCAGTGAGTCAGAATCACACCACTGCACTTCAGCCTGGGTGACAGAGCAAGACTGTGTCTCCAAAAAAAAAAAAAAGAAAAGTGAGAATAAGGAACAAAATAACATCCCCACAGGCAATAAAAGCAGGCCAGAAAGATACACCCACAAAACACATCAACCCTGAACATTTCAAAACAAATTGAGTGAAATTAGAAAAATGATACAAGACATGAAAGAACCACATAAATCAGACTTACAAAAACCAAAACATTTTATAAAGCTGAAGACAGAATTACAATAAAACTACATTCCAATGGAGACTAAAACAGAGTGTAAAATCAAATAAACACAGCAGATGCTACCTTAAGACAAATAGGAAAAAAGGAGGAAATTTTAAAAAAAGAAACAGAGGTAGAAAGTACTTGAAAGAGAAAGTAACCAACATTAACTCTAAAAGGCATGAACTATGCAATGCATGGAGAGTTACCAAGTGTCCCCAGAAAAGACTGCTAAGCAAGGCTACAGAACAAACACTGCAGACTGTAATTCAAGAGAACGTCCTGCAAAACAGACTTGGGACGACAGACTAAAGGAGCACCCCTTACCCGAGAACATCACCGAGAACGGCCGCATGAACGTACATTCTGGTGAAATCACCAAAAAAACACATGCGGCTGCTAACCGAGAACGGCCACACGAACGCACATTCTAGTAACACTACCGAAGAAACACATGCGGCTTCTAACCGAGAACATCACCGAGAACGGCTGCATGAACGCGCATTCTAGTAAAACTACCGAAGAAACACATGCGGCTTCTAACCGAGAGCATCACCGAGAACGGCCACACGAACGTACATTCTAGTAAAACTACTGATAAAACACACGCAACTTCTAACTGAGAACATCACTGAGAACGGCCACACAAACGTATATTCTAGTAAAATTACTGAAAAAACACACAACTCCTAACTGAAACATCACCGAGAACGGCCACACCAACATACATTCTAGTAAAATTACCAAAAAAACACACACGGCTCCTAACCGAGAACATCACCGAGAACGGCCGCACAAACGTACATTCTAGTAAAATTACCGAAAAAACAAACGAGACTCCTAACCGAGAACATCACCAAGAACAGCCACACGAACGTATAATCTAGTAATATTACCAAAAAAACACACGCGACTTCTAACCGAGAACATCACCAAGAATGGCCACACGAACGCACATTCTAGAAAAATTACCGAAAAATACACGCAGCTCCTAACTGAAAACATCACCGAAAATGGCCACACGAACACGTGTTCTAGTAAAATTACCGAAAAAACACACGCAGCTCCTGAGAACATCACCGAAAATGGCCACACCAACATACATTCTAGTAAAATTACCAAAAAAACACACGCGGCTCCTAACCGAGAACGTCACCGAGAACGGCCACACCAACATACATTCTAGTAAAATTACCAAAAAAACACATGCGGCTCCTAACCGAGAACGTCACCGAGAACGGCCACACCAACATACATTCCAGTAACATTACCAAAAAAACACACGCGGCTCCTAACCGAGAACGTCACCGAGAATGGCCACACCAACATACGTTCTAGTAAAATTACCAAAAAAACACACGCGGCTCCTAACCGAGAACATCACCGAGAACGGCTGCACGAACGTACATTCTAGTAAAATTACCGAAAAAATACATGCAACTTCTAACCGAGAACATCACTTAGAATGGCCACATGAACGCACGTTCTAGTAAAATTACCGAAAAAACACACGCGACTTCCAACCAAGAACGGTCACACCAATGTATATTCTAGTAAAATCACCGAAAAAACACACGTGACTTCTAACCAAGAACATCGCCGAGAACAGCCACACGAACGCACATTCTAGTAAAATTACCAAAAAAACACATGCGACTTCTAACCAAGAGCATCACCAAGAACAGCCACACGAACGCACATTCTAGTAAAATTACCAAAAAACACACACGGCTCCTAACCGAGAACATCACCGAGAACGGCCACACGAACACACATTCTAGTAAAATTACCAAAAAAACACACGTGACTTCTAACCAAGAACATCACCTAGAACGGCCACACAAACGCACATTCTAGTAAAATTACCGAAAAACACACACGGCTCCTAACCGAGAACATCACTGAGAATAGCCGCACAAATGCACATTCTAGTGAAATCACGAAAAAAACGCACGCGGCTGCTAACCGAGAACATCACCGAGAATGGCCACATGAACGTACGTTCTAGTAAAATTACCGAAGAAACACACGCGGCTTCTAACCGAGAACATCACTGAGGACGGCCACACGAATGTATATTCTAGTAAAATTACTGAAAAAACACGCGGCTTCTAACAGAGAACATCACCGAGAACAGCCGAATGAACCCACATTCTAGTAAAATTACCGAAAAACACACACTGGCTTAACCGAGAACATCACCGACAACGGCCACACGAACGTACATTCTAGTGAAATTACCAAAAAAACACACGCAGCTTCTAACCGAGAATATCACCGAGAACAGCCACATGAACGTATACTCTAGTGAAATCACCGAAAAAAACACACGCGGCTTCTAACCAAGAACATCACCGAGAATGGCCACACGAACGTACATTCTAGTGAAATTACCAAAAAAACACACACGGCTCCTAACCAAGAACATCACCAACAACGGCCACACAGACATTCTAGTGAAATTACAGAAAAAACACACGCGGCTTCTAACTAACCGAGAACATCACCGAGAATGGCCACACGAACGTATATTCTAGTAAAATTACTGAAAAAACACACGTGACTTCTAAGGGGAAAAGATGTTATCATTATCATACTTTCACAGAGGAAAAAGACATGATCCAAGGCTTTAATATCCAGAAAAACTACCTTTCAAATTTGAAGGACAAAAACTCTCATGGACAAGTCTGATCTCAGGGACTAATGAGGAATTCACTAGAGTCCACTTCAGACCCCACGAGGACCAGTCAGTAAAACTAAGACTTGAAGACTGAAAGAAAGTATAGTATGTAACAGCTATTATGCTCTTGTAGATGCAGTATAATTATTTTAATAAATTCGAGAAAATTAGGGCATATTCTAAGATTTTTAAGAATTTCAGTAATTATACTGATGTTGGCAGTATTGAAATTATATCCTAAGTCTGTCGTGTATGAAATGTGGTTATGTAAAGCAAATGAAAAATCATGAGATATTTTATCAAACACTCTTGGAACCAGGATTTGATATGGAAGAAAGGAGAGACAGATGTAACAGAAGAAGTACAGACCCCATACTTTTGAATTTGAGTAGAAGGAATCAGCATATTAGCCAGGCAAGGTGGCATGTGTCTGTACTCCTAGCTACTCAGGAGGCTGAGGCAGGAGGATCACTTGAGCCCAGGAATTCGAGGCTACAGTGAGCTATAATTGCACTACTGCACTCCAGCCTGGATGACAGAGCAAGATCCTATCTCTAAACAAATAAATACATAAATAAAATATAAAAAATAAATAAAAGGAAAAAATTTTTAAGTATCAGTATGAACTCAAAAGAATCCAGGGCAGACCCCAGGTGAAGAGTGGCAACCTACAAAAAACCGAGGACACCTTGTGTAGACTGCCTGGACGCTACTGAAGACTACCAGAATCACTTCGGGAGCTACACTGAAGAGGCTGCCACTGTCTAGAAACAGGATAATCTCAGCTTCAACAAAGATAATAACAATAGAGTAAAACAATCACATATGTTCCAATCCATGAGTTCATAATAACATTAAAAAAAAAAACAGGTCACCTTCAAGAAATAATAGGAAACCAATTCATTCTCTGGTAAATGGAAGAAAGAATCAAGCTTTTATCTTGTCTTTCTCAGGCAAACAGCACCTTGAACAACTAACTACAGGATGAAGGGAAATGCCTCTTTACAGGAAAGTATTCCAGCTAACAAATAAGCAAGAAATGATTCCACTAGAATAGCACCATTTGTAGCCCCTCATGGGCCAATAGCCTCGGGTGCTAATAAGCCTCAGGGACTGCTGATGTCACAAAGCAAAGACAGGCAGGCAGGAGGTGCCTGCTGAGGCTGAGTCACAACCACTAAGGAGCTGGCAAAAGGGGCGGAACTTATGGGCCTCCGAATCGGGCAGCACCTTGCAGAAGGACGGGCCTGAGGAACACACTGAACAGCAGCACACGTGTCCAGTCAGCAGATCCAGGCTGCAGTGAAGCCCGCCAGATCAAAGGCCGGGGCCTCAACAATTTTCTTCTTAATAATTTTTGTTGAGTTGTTAAAAACAAAAGATATACACATGGGTAACAGAAGCTGTCCAGAAATGCAAGTCAGTGATGGATCAATATCAGGACAGCATCACTCAGAGGAACATCAGGGGATACACTGAGGGCTTCCAGAATTTGCCACAGGTTAGGTCTAGACTTGGGTCATGATGACTAGGGCATCTGCCTGATTATCATGAAGCTAAACATTTACTTTGTGTGACTTTCTATATCATGATTTATTGTGCAAAAGTAGTTTGTTAGAAAAGGGGAGAAAAGTGATTCTAAAGCAATTCTGTAACTTCTTTTTATAAAATGGAGATGGTTGTTTCTACTGAAGCAATTACAGAATCACATCATTCTGAAGGTGGGAAAGGCTGCAGCTCCCCGCTGGGGCCAGCCCCTGTACCTGGTATCTTCACTGTGCCACTGGTGGAGGTGTCGTCGGTGTAAGGGTGGCTACTCTCCACCACCACAGGCTGAGAAGAGAGGCGGCCGCTCTGCGAGTCTGTGGCCACATCCTCCAACTCGGTGACACAGAGCTCCAACAGCATATCTGCCACCTGGAGAGGAAGCAAGGACATGAATGAGGGGGCCAACAGCCCCACACCTGGTCACCTGCATGCCACCTCTGCCCGTCCTGCTCAGGAGCTCCACAAGGACAGCGTGGCAGAGTGGAGGGCTTGGAGTTTGAGAAATTGAGTTCAAATCAGGGCTTGGCTTCCTTGCACATAAAACAGAGACAGCACAGAGCCTGTAAGATGCTGTGAAGCTTAGGGATGATCTATGTTAAAAAGTCGTTGGGGCCAGGCACGGTGGCTCACGCCTGGAATCCCAGCACTTTGGAAGGCCGAGGCAAGCGGATCACCTGAGGTCAGGAGTTCGAGATCAGCCTGACCAACATGGAGAAACCCCATCTCTACTAAAAATAAAAACTTAGTTGGGCGTGGTGGTGCATGCCTGTAATCCTAGCTACTCAGGAGGCTGAGGCAGGAGAATCACTTGAACCTGGGAGGCAGAGGTTGCGGTGAGCCGAGATCACACCGTTGCACTCCAGCCTGGGTGACCCGAGCGAGACTGCGTCTCAAACAAAAAAAGTCATTGGGTGGAGCGCAGTGGCTCACACTTGTAATACAAGCACTTTGGGAGGTCGAGGCAGGCAGATCACTGGAGGTCAGGAGTTCAAGACCAGCCTGGCCAGTACGGTGAAACCCCGTCTCTACTAAAAATACAATTAGCTGGGTATGGTGGCCCGTGCCTGTAGTCCCACCTACCCAGGAGGCTGAGGCAGGAGAATCGCTTAAACTCAGGAGGTGAAGGTTGCAGTGAGCTGAGACTGCACCACTGCACTCCAGCCTGAGCGACAGAGAGAGACTCTGTCTCGAAAAAAGAAAAAGAAAAAAAAGTAGTTGGAAGGCTCCCAACACACACAACACTTAATATGTGCCAGCTGATAAAATGAAACACCGTGGTGACAATAGCTTCATTTTACACCAAGACAAGATTACTTCCTAGTGAGGAAAGTTGGCCTCGGAAACAAAAACATCAAGGGAAGGAGCACCCAGTAGGTGAAAATGACCACAATCCTAGAAGGCAACGGAGCCCGGTGGGAGGGGCGGGAATCAGGAACCATCAAGCCGCTCAGGCCAGACAGAGACAGGGAGAGTCTGTGACAGGAGGGACCGCCGACCCCAACACAGCTGCCCCTGCTGACCCAGTACACTAGGGGTCAGACCCATACCACATTCTCAACAATCCACAGTGTTCTTATTTTATTTTAAAACTTATTGATGATTCACATCTTTTACGATTAAGGTTAAGAGTGGTGATTATAAACTCTGTTATTTTTAAAAATAAATGAGAGAATACATCATAACAGCAATAATCTATTAACCCCAACATTTTTAATCCAGAAAAAATAAAACTCTTCTAATGCCCATTCTATACTTTTTAGAAATAGATTATTCTTTTTTCTATTATTCCTCATATTTAGGTAAGAAATAGCTTTGCTTAGTAAATATTATATATTAACAAACTAATATCATTGTCACATAGGCATGATTTTAAATCTAAATTTGTCTCTCTTTTTGAGTCCCAAATATCAGGTCAGGGCAGGACACAGAAATAGCCATCTTGCCAACCTGGCAAGGGCAGTTTGAAAACGGCCGTATCCTTATTCTTGTCTCTCCTGGAACCTGGCTGAGTAACTGAAAGCAGATGTTGGCATCATCAAGCGCCCATGTGCAGAGTCGATCAGGGGCTCTGGCCTTCAGAAGGTTGCTCTGCCAAGCACATCATCTGCAGAGGGGTCATGATGGAGCTGGGGCTCAGACACTCAGGGTTCCAACCCATCTCTTCCACCTACCAGCAAAGTGAGTGTCCTCAAGCCAGCAGTAACCTCTCAGCCTCAGTTTCCTCATCCATATATAAAGGTAACCCCTACCCTCTCTACTGAGAATGTGGGGATGTGCATGGCAAATGCTCAGCATTATTTTATATATATATTTTTTTATTATACTTTAAGTTCTAGGGTACATGTGCACAACGTGCAGGTTTGTTACATATGTACACATGTGCCATGTTGTTGTGCTGCACCCATTAACTCATCATTTACATTAGGTATATCTCCTAATGCTATCCCTCCCCCCTCCCCCCACCCCAAAACAGGCCCTGGTGTGTGATGTTCCCCTTCCTGTGTCCAAGTGTTCTCATTGTTCAATTCCCACCTATAAGTGAGAACATGCAGTGTTTGGTTTTTTTGTCCTTGTGATAGTTTGCTGAGAATGATGGTTTCCAGCTCATCCATATCCCTACAAAGCACATGAACTCATCCTTTTTTATGGCTGCATAGTATTCCATGGTGTATATATGCCACATTTTCTTAATCCAGTCTATCATTGTTGGACATTTGGGTTAGTTCCAAGTCTTTGCTATTGTGAATAGTGCCACAATAAACATATGTGTGCATGTGTCTTTATAGCAGCATGATTTATAATCCTTTGGGTATATACCCAGTAATGGGATGGCTGGGTCAAATGGTATTTCTAGTTCTAGATCCCTGAGGAATCGCCACACTGTGTTCCGCAGTGGTTGAACTAGTTTACACTCCCACCAACAGTGTAAAAGTGCTCCTATTTCTCCACATCCTCTCCAGCACCTGTTGTTTCCTGACTTTTTAACGATCGCCATTCTAACTGGTGTGAGATGGTATCTTATTGTGGTTTTGATTTGCATTTCTCTGATGGCCAGTGATGATGAGCATTTTTTCATGTGTCTGGTGGCTGCATAAATGTCTTCTTTTGAGAAGTGTCTGTTCATATCCTTCGCCCACTTGTTGATGGGGTTGTTTTTTTCTTGTAAATTTCTTTGAGTTCTTTGTAGATTCTGGATATTAGACCTTTGTCAGATGAGTAGATTGCAAAAATTTTCTCCCATTCTGTAGGTTGCCTGTTCACTCTGATGGTAGTTTCTTTTGCTGTGCAGAAGCTCTTTAGTTTAATTGGATCCCATTTGTCAATTTTGGCTTTTGTTGCCATTGCTTTTGGTGTTTGAGACATGAAGTCCTTGCCCATACCTATGTCCTGAATGGTATTCCCTAGGTCTTCTTCTAGGGTTTTTATGGTTTTAGGTCTAACATTTAAGTCTTTAACCCATCTTGAATTAATTTTTGTGTAAGGTGTAAGGAAGGGATCCAGTTTCAGCTTTCTACACATGGTTAGCCAGTTTTCCCAGCACCATTTGTTGAATAGGGAATCCTTTCCCCATTTCTCGTTTTTGTCAGGTTTGTCAAAGATCAGATAGTTGTAGATGTGTGGTATTATTTCTGAGGGCTCTGTTCTGTTCCATTGGTCTATATCTCTGTTTTGGTACCAGTACCATGCTGTTTTGGTTACTGTAGCTTTGTAGTATAGTTTGAGGTCAGGTAGTGTGATGCCTCCAGCTTTGTTCTTTTGGCTTAGGATTGACTTGGCAATGCGGGCTCTTTTTTGGTTCCAAATGAACTTTAAAGTAGTTTTTTCCAATTCTGTGAAGAAAGTCATTGGTAGCTTGATGGGGATGGCATTGAATCTATAAATCACCTTGGGCAGTATGGCCATTTTCACGATTTCCTATCCATGAGCATGGAATGTTATTCCATTTGTTTGTATCCTCTTTTATTTTATTGAGCAGTGGTTTGTAGTTCTCCTTGAAGAGGTCCTTCACATCCCTTGTAAGTTGGATTCCTAGGTATTTTATTTTCTTTGAAGCAATTGTGAATGGGATTTCACTCATTATTTTGCTGTTTGTCTGTTATTGATGTATAAGAATGCTTGTGATTTTTGCACATTGATTTTGTATCCTGAGACTTTGCTGAAGTTGCTGATCAGCTTAAGGAGATTTTAGGCTGAGACGATGGGGTTTTCTAGATATACAATCATGTCATCTGCAAACAGGGACAATTTGACTTCCTCTTGTTCTAATTGAATACCCTTTATTTCTTTCTCCTGCCTGATTGCCCTGGCCAGAACTTCCAACACTATGTTGAACAGGAGTGGTGAGAGAGGGCATCCCTGTCTTGTGCCAGTTTTCAAAGGGAATGCTTCCAGTGTTTGCCCATTCAGTATGATATTGGCTGTGGGTTTGTCATAAATAGCTCATTATTTTGAGATACATCCCAACAATACTGAATTTGTTGAGTTTTTAGCATGAAGGGCTGTTGAATTTTGTCAAAGGCCTTTTCTGCATCTATTGAGATAATCATGTGGTTTTTGACTTTGGTTCTGTTTATATGCTAGATTACGTTTATTGATTTGCATATGTTGAATCAGCCTTGCATCACAGGGATGAAGCCCACTTGATCATGGTGGATAAGCTTTTTGATGTGCTGCTGGATTCGGTTTGCCAGTATTTTATTGAGGATTTTTGCATCAATGTTCATCAGGGATATTGGTGTAAAATTCTTTTTGTTGTGTCTCTGCCAGGCTTTGGTATCAGGATGGTGCTGGCCTCATAAAATGAGTTAGGGAGGATTCCCTCTTTTTCTATTGATTGGAATAGTTTCAGAAGGAATGGTACCAGCTCCTCTTTGTACCTCTGACAGAATTCAGCTGTGATTCCATCTGGTCCTGGACTTTTTTTGGTTGGTAAGCTATTAATTATTGCCTCCATTTCAGAGCCTGTTACTGGTCTATTCAGAGATTCAACTTCTTCCTGGTTTAGTCTTGGGTGGGTGTATGTGTCCAGGAATTTATCCATTTCTTCTAGATTTTCTAGTTTATTTGTGTAGAGGTGTTTGTAGTATTCTCTGATGGTAGTTTGTACTTCTATGGAATCAGTGGTGATATCCCCTTTATCATTTTTTATTGCATCCACTTGATTCTTCTCTCTTTTCTTATTAGTCTTGCTAGAGATCTATCAATTTTGTTGATCTTTTCAAAAAACCAGCTCCTGGCTTCATTGATTTTTTGAAGGGTTTTTTGTGTCTCTATCTCCTTTAGTTCTGCTCTGATCTTAGTTATTTTTTGCCTTCTGCTAGCTTCTGAATGTGTTTGCTCTTGCTTCTCTAGTTCTTTTAATTGTGATGTTAGGGTGTCAATTTTAGATCTTTCCTGCTTTCTCTTGTGGGCATTTAGTGCTATAAATTTCCCTCTACACACTGCTTTAAATGTGTCCCAGAGATTCTGGTATGTTGTGTCTTTGTTCTCGTTGGTTTCAAAGAACAACTTTATTTCTGCCTTCGTTATGTACCCACTAGTCATTCAGGAGCAGGTTGTTCGGTTTCCATGTAGTTGAGCAGTTTTGAGTGAGTTTCTTAATCCTGAGTTCTAGTTTGATGGCACTATGGTCTGAGAGACAGTTTGTTATAATTTCTGTTATTTTACATTTGCTGAGGAGTGCTTTACTTCCAACTATGTGGTCAATTTTGGAGTAAGTGCGGTGTGGTGCTGAGAAGAATGTATATTCTATTGATTTGGGGTGGAGAGTTCTGTAGATGTCTATTAGGTTGGCTTGATGCAGAGCTGAGTTCAGTTCCTGGATATCCTTGTTAACTTTCTGTCTCATGGATCTGTCTAATGTTGACAGTGGGGTGTTAAAGTCTCCCATTATTATTGTGTGGGAGTCGAAGTCTCTTTGTGGGTCTCTAAGGACTTGCTTTATGAATCTGGGTGCTCCTTTATTGGGTGCATAGATATTTAGGATAGTTAGTTCTTCTTATTGAATTGATCCCTTTACCATTATGTAATGGCCTTCTTTGTCTCTTTTGATCTTTGGTGGTTTAAAGTCCGTTTTATCAGAGACTAGGATTGCAACTCCTGCCTTTTTTTGTTTTCCATTTGCTTGGTAGATCTTTCTCCATCCCTTTATTTTGAGCCTATGTGTGTCTCTGCACATGAGATGGGTTTCCTGAATACAGCACACTGATGGGTCTTGACTCTTTATCCAATTTGCCAGTCTGTGTCTTTTAATTGGAGCATTTAGCCCACTTACATTTAAGGTTAATATTATTATGTGTGAATTTGATCCTGTCATTATGATGTTAGCTGGTTATTTTGCTCGTTAGTTGATGCAGTTTCTTCCTAGCATTGATGGTCTTTACAATTTGGCATGTTTTTGCAGTGGTTGGTACCGGTTGTTCCTTTCCATGTTTAGTGCTTCCTTCAGGAGTTCTTTTAGGGCAGGCCTGGTGGTGACAAAATCTCTCAGCATTTGCTTGTCTGTAAAGGATTTTATTTCTCCTTCACTTATGAAGCTTAGTTTGGCTGGATATGAAATTCTGGGTTGAAAATTCTTCTCTTTAAGAATGTTGAATATTGGCCCCCACTCTCTTCTGGCTTGTAGAGTTTCTGCCCAGAGATCCGCTGTTAGTCTGATGGGCTTCCCTTTGTGGGTAACCCGACCTTTCTCTCTGGCTGCCCTTAACATTTTTTCCTTCATTTCAACTTTGGTGAATCTGACAATTATGTGTCTTGGAGTTGCTCTTCTCGAGGAGTATCTTTGTGGCATTCTCTGTACTTCCTGAATTTTAATGTTGGCCTGCCTTGCTAGATTGGGGAAGTTCTCCTGGATAATATCCTGCAGAGTGTTTTCCAACTTGGTTCCATTCTCCCCATCACTTTCAGGTGCACCAATCAGTCATAGATTTGGTCTTTTCACATAGTCCCATATTTCTTGGAGGTTTTGTTCATTTCTTTTTATTCTTTTTTCTCTAAACTTCTCGCTTCATTTCATTCATTTGATCTTCAATCACTGATACCCCTTCCTCCAGGTGATCGAATTGGCTACTGAAGTGTGTGCATTTGTCACGTAGTTCTCATGCCATGGTTTTCAGCTCCATCAGCTCCTTTAAGGACTTCTCTGCATTGGTTATTCTAGTTAGCCATTCGTCTAATCTTTTTTCAAGGTTTTTAACTTCTTTGCAATGGGTTCGAACTTCCTCCTTTAGCTCGGAGAAGTTTGATCGTCTGAAGCCTTCCTCTCTCAGCTCATCAAAGTCATTCTCCTTCCAGCTTTGTTCCATTGCTGGTGAGGAGCTGCGTTCCTTTGGAGGAGGAGAGATGCTCTGATTTTTAGAATTTTCAGTTTTTCTGCTCTGTTTTTTCTCCATCTTTGTGGTTTTATCTACCTTTGGTCTTTGATGATGGTGATGTACAGATGGGGTTTTGGTGTAGATGTCCTTTCTGTTTGTTAGTTTTCCTTCTAACAGTCAGGACCCTCAGCTGCAGGTCTGTTGGAGTTTGCTGGAGGTCCACTCCCAGACTCTGTTTGCCTGGGTATCAGCAGCGGAGGCTGCAGAACAGCGAATATTGCTGAACAGCAAATGTTGCTGTCTGATCGTTCCTCTGGAAGTTTTGTCTCAGAGGGGTACCCGGCCGTGTGAGGTGTCAGTCTGCTC
Source organism: Homo sapiens (assembly GCF_000001405.40). Classification (NCBI taxonomy): domain Eukaryota; kingdom Metazoa; phylum Chordata; class Mammalia; order Primates; family Hominidae; genus Homo; species Homo sapiens. Next base: position 293,583 of record NW_011332701.1, read on the forward strand.
CTACTGGGGGGTGCCTCCCAGTTAGGCTACTCGGGGGTCAGGGACCCACTTGAGGAGGCAGTCTGTCCATTCTCAGGTCTCAAACTCCGTTCTGGGAGAACCACTACTCTCTTCAAAGCTGTCAGACAGGGACATTTAAGTCTGCAGAGGTTTCTGCTGCCTTTTGTTCGGCTATGGCCTGCCCCCAGAGGTGGAGTCTATAGAGGCAGGCAGGCCTCCTTGAGCTGCGGTGGGCTCCACCCAGTTTCAGCTTCCGGGCCGCTTTGTTTACCTACTCAAGCCTCAGCAACGGTGGACGCCCCTCCCCCAGCCTGGCTGCTGCCTTGTAGTTCGATCTCAGGCTGCTGTGCTAGCAATGAGCGAGGCTCCGTGGGCGTGGGACCCTCCGAGCCAGGCGCGAGATATAATCTCCTGGTGTGCCATTTGCTAAGACCGTTGGAAAAGCACAGTATTAGGGTGGGAGTGACCCAATTTTCCAGGTGCCTTCTGTCACAGCTTTGCTTGGCTAGGAAAGGGAATTCCCTGACCCCTTGTGCTTCCCAGGTGAGGCGATGCCTCGCCCTGCTTCAGCTCATGCTCGGTGCACTGCACCCACTGTCCTGCACCCGCTGTCCGACAAGCCCCAGTGAGATGAACCTGGTATCTCAGTTGGAAATGCAGAAATCACCCATCTTCTGCGTTGCTCACACTGGGAGCTGTAGACTGGAGCTGTTCCTATTCAGCCATCTTGGCACCGCCCCCCGCTCAGCATTATTTTAAATCAAAGTTCTCATTCATACCCTTCCCTCTCACAAATGCAATAAACTTATGAAAAATAATAATAGTGCTTATGGTAATTCACCTTGATTTCATCTCTTAGAATTATGCCAAGTAACTTGTCTCAAAAAACTAGAAAAAAGGATACCTACAGCTTTTTAGTTCTTCATGAATAGCAGATGAAGAAATAACAAGCCCCTAAAATATCTACCAAACTCTGCTGCGCTTTCAAGACTGCTCAACTCTACTTAAGTACTTTATCGTTTTGGTGATCATGTAAGTTACTAAAATTTCTGACCATCAGAGCTTTAACGTTTCAGAATTTCAGATAAAGGAGTATGAACTTACATTTAATGATTTTTTTTTTAAATATAATTCTACTTAAAAACTTCAGAAGTTCCTTTAAAGAGAATATTCTTCTAACTAAAGCCAAAAATCCTAATAGGCACAGAAACTGCCTAAACTAAGTGACAGAGTAAGACTTTCCTCCACACAAAGTAGGCACCCAGAGAAACGGATGAAGTGTCTGCAGCCAGGAAGGACATCTCAGGCTCCCTGGCAGGGCAGAGCATGGCTGCTGATAAAGAAGAGTTCTTAAGGAAGCCCACGGCCTTTACGACTGATCAGTCCTATTTCTAAGACATACTAGTAAGACGCTCACTTTATACTGCAGACCTACAGACCAATTCAGCAGCTACTAGCCACATGTGCCTCAAGTTGAGTGTTTTAAAACCTTCAGTTCCTCAGGTGCACTAGCCATATTTCAGTGTGCAGTGGCCATATGTGGCTGGTGCCAATGGTCCCAGATGGCTCCGGTCCAGAACATTTCCACAATGACAAAGTCCTACAGACCCAGTGCTACCAAATATTAAAAGACATTTTAAAGCTGTAATAGTTAAAATACCATAGTATCAGAACCTAAGAAGTTTTGTAAATAGACCCAAATGCATACAGGAATTTAGAATATGATAAAACTGGTTTTTAAATCACCAGGGAAAAGATGAGTTATTCAATAAATGATGTTAGGGCAACCGGTTTACCATCTAGGAAAAAAAGTAAAGTTGGATACCTACTTTATTCTTACATCAAAATAAATCCCAGGTGGCTAAAAAATGTAAACAATACATGAAATCATAAAAAATTAGAAGAAGGCCGGGCATGGTGGCTCATGCCTGTAATCCCAAGCACTTTGGGAGGCCAAGGTGGGTAGATCACTTGAGGTCAGCAGTTCCAGACCAGCCGGGCCAACATGGTGAAACCCCATCTCAACTAAAAATACAAAAATTAGCCAGGCATCGTGGCGCATGCCTGTAATCCCAGCTACTCAGGAAGCTGAGGCACAAGAATCACCTGATCCCGGGAGGTAGAGGTGATCCTGGGAGGCTGAGATTGCGCCACCGCACTCCAGCCCGGGTGAAGGAGACTGTCTCAAAAACCTTAGACGAAAACTTGGAAGAATTTATTTAAAACAATGTCACATAAGCAAGCATTTTTTTTTCAGCATAATACAAAACTCAGAAGGCATAAATGAAAAAAACTGACAGATTTGACCACATAATAATTAAAAATTTCTACATGGCAAAAAATATCAAACTAATATCAAAAAATAAACTGGGGTGGAAACTGTAAGACATATGATAGAAAAGGGACTTAAAGAACTTTGACAAATCATTTTAAAAAGATGCACAAATCAGTTATAAAACAGGTAAAGGGGCCAGGTTTGGTGCTCACTCCTGTAATCCCAGCACTTTGGGAGGCTGAGGCAGGTGGATCACGAGGTCAGGAGATCAAGACCATCCTGGCTAACATGGTAAAACCCCGACTCTACTAAAAATACAAAAAAAATTAGCCGGGCATGGTGGTGGGCACCTGTAGTCCCAGCTACTTGGAAGGCTGAGGCAGGAGAATGGTGTGAACCCAGGAGGCAGAGCTTGCAGTGAGTCGAGATGGCGCCACTGCACTCTAGCCTGGGCGACAGAGCGAGACTCCGTCTCAAAAAAACAAAAAACAGGTAAAGGATGTCACTGGGTTAAATGCTAAAACGTTTTGCTCTAAAGGAGTGCTCCTAACCTGCAGTCTACTAGGATGAAACCCAGCACAAGATCACCGGTGATCCATAGCAGCTCTCCTTTGGAGAGGAGGGTGGCCCAACATGGAGGAGGTGGAATCAGACGGCCCCGCCCTCCCTGAGACTCACCTGTGGGTAGGCGGTCCCCATGCCGGAAAGCACCGCGGAGAGCACATCCCTGCCCCTGTCCCCGGCCCGGCTGCACACTGACAGCTTGAGCAGGTCTACCACCACACGAGTGTCATCCGCAATCAGCAGACTGGTGAACTCATCCAAGGCCTGAGGCTCCGGACCTGCTGCTTTATTTTGGCTTTCAACATCCTAAGTCAAATGACATCCAACAATTAACATGAGGAATGATATGCTAAGAGATAAAGAGTCACCAGTTTACCCATAAACTCAGAGAACACATGAATACCAACGAGTAAGAAACCTGAAGGTGTTTAAGACCTTAAGAAACAGATTAAGAAACGACGGCCCCTAAAATCTCCACCAAGCCATGTACTATGTTTTCAAGACCAATTAACTGTTGTATTACCAATGGCATTTATCAAAAAGGGATGACTTAAGCTATAAAGAAATGACAATTTATTACTGGGACCAAGTTTGGATCATAAGCAGATACTACAGGGGGAGTTTTGGAATGAAGCTGCATCCTGTATAATCTACCCATAAGATACGCTAGGGAATCGTTTACAAACTAAATTTGTATTCTCTAATTGTATACATTTTGTCTAGATCCTCTCCATAATTCTTTCCTGGAATCTTATTTCAAGCAACTCACTGGCATTAACACACTATCCAGTCTCTCTCTCTCCTTGGGTTCATTGAAAACATCATACATAAAAGTCTTCTCATTACCACTCGTGTACTTCCCATTCCTGCCATGTCAGCCTAAACATACCACATCTTGATCCTTCAACTCCTCTCCTTGTTTGCTATGAGCCAATTCCCAGCATCACTGCACCCCCAGCTCCCACCCTATGGAGGTGCCTTGCCCAGGATGGCCGCCCCCACCCTGCTTGTTGGCACACAGAAGCCTCCTGGAGGGCAGCACTGGGGCTGAGCTTGTGGAAACGGGAAAGGCCCTTGTCAGTGCCAGGGACTCCCACCGCTTCCGACCCAGCATGGGAACCGCTGTGACCCTGTGCAGAGCAGGAGTGTGTCAAGCCCTTCTCATTCCCCAGGCAGAGTCTGGCTCCCCAGAGGAAGATCGAGAGCCAGGGAAGTGCCGCTTTTCTCTCCTGCTTTCTGGACCTCAGCAAATCCAGTGCAACTCTTTCCACAAACATAAACAGGCTGGGGGAAGGACAGCCCCACATGTTCCCCTTAAGGGGAAAATGACCCAACCAGTGGACCCTGGAAACCACACCACTCTGATTTAGGAACAAGGTTCCTCTCCCTTTTGGGAAACAGACCTTGCTCCTGCCTCTGCATGGAGACACAAGGAGTAAGGGAAATTCATTATAAATGATGACATTCCAGAACATAACTCACTGAAGGACAGCAAAAGCATTCAGTGAAACATATTAACAAGAATATCTTTAGTCTTGAGATTGAAATGTACCTACCATTTTTTTTTATGAGGGTGTCTTAAAACATGCACACACACAAACACAGAAAATATGTCTAGAAGAATTGCTAAGGAAGAAAATCACTAGCGGCATATCCTTAAATATGAATTATAGCTTAATACTAACATTAAAATTGCTTTGCCTTAAATTCATGAGTCAAGCCAAAACTGAAATAATAGAAATACAGGGTTGCAACCTGGATAATGCCTATGTCTCATAAATAAATTGGGGGGAAATAAATCATATTATCCTTTTACCTAAAACAAAAATGTTGCCTTCCTCAGAATAAGTTCTGCATTAAACCCTCAAACCAGGAGACTGCCAAAAATTAGAAGTTGATTCCAGGCACCTAATTCATAAATAGAGGCTTTCTTACTACCATGGATGGTTATAAATAATTTCTGTAGGACATATTTTCTGCCAGCAGTAACAGCATAATAAATCAAGGGTTCCAAATGTAATTAAAAATAAAGTGTTTGCCCTCAAGGTGGAAAGGCTGGCAAGGGAGTACACATGAGCAGGGGCTGGCCTGGTGTGGGGAGCGCCTCAGCGGGCTGGGGAAGGCATCCACACATGGGGGGTTGGAGAGACACAGCCAGGCCAAGTGAGGAAGGTGCCACACTCTGGGTCAACATGGAGGTGAGGGGAGGGCCAGAGGTCACGTAGGGTGACCATGGAGGACCATGGAGGCAGACTGGTTCTGAGTGCCAGAGGATGTACAGAGGAAGAAAGGTGCCCACCACGGAGTGGGGGACAGCCAAGATCGGAGGTTGGTTATCTAAGGGGACTGAACTGTAAGTAAATAGTCTGCTGATGACAGGAGCCAGGTTTCCCACTTTCAGAGAAGGAAGTTATAAATACAGAAAGGGTGAAAACTAGAATGAATCTTAGTTGGGTTACAATCAATCATATTGGTGTGAACCGGTGGTTTTCCATGTACGTAAATATATAACAACACAAATACTGATGTAGGCCAAACACGGTGGCTCATGCCTGTAATCCCAGCACTTTGAGAGGATGAGGCAGGCAGATCACTTGAGCCCAGGAGTTCAAGACCAGCCTGGGCAACATGGCAAAACCTATCTCTGAAAAAAAAAGAGAAAAAAAAAAATACAAAAATTAGCCAGGTATGGTGGTGCATGCTTGTAGTTCCAGCTACTTGGGAGGCTGAGGATGGCTTGAGACCAGGAGGTTGAGGCTGCAGTGAGCCAAGATCGTGCCACTCTACTGCAGCCTGGGCAACAGAACAAGACCCTGTCTAAAAACAAAACAAAAACAAAAACTGATGTATGTACCTATTATGTTACACACACACATATTCATTCTCTAGCCCTGTCACCCAAACAGCAACAAGCACACAAAGGGCCCAGATCTTGACCTCTAAATGCCCTTCTCCACCAGAAAGAACTAGGACTTCTCAGAAACACAACTGATTCCTATGTTGGAGCATAAAACATCTTATTGAGCCTGGAATTTTGTGTTGTGCCAAAAAGTAAGGAAATACTCAAAGAATGATGGGAATATGCCAGAAGAACACATAAAATTCTACCAACTACTTAAAGAAGAATTAACCCGAATGCTTCACCAACTCTTCTAAAAAACAGAAGAGAAAGGCACACCCTCCAACTCAATCTATGAAGCCAATATTGCTATAATATCCAAACCAAAGACATCACAAGAAAACTACAGAGCCGTATCCCTTATGAATACAGATGTAAAAATCTTCAACAAAATAGCAGCAAACCAAATCTAGCAACATATAAAAGCATTATACACCAAAAAAATATGGAAAAAGGGAGAGTAGGAATAAGCCCTGTGGTACTGGATTGGAATTAAAAGTACTGATTTGGGCTGTTAATGGTTTTTATTATATAGATAAATGCAGAAGGATAAATAAATGTTCATGTGTATAGGTCTATTTGCTGAGAGGGCCTAACCAAAGACACTCAGTAACAATTAGCTTACCAAGCACCCAGATCTCGGTTTCCAAATCCTACAAGCCACTAGCAGGAACCATGGCTTCTTGAAGAAATGGCTGATTCCAGGCAGGGGGAGGGTAGGTGAAAGATAAGTCTAGAGCACAGTTGTGCCAGAAATGAAGGAAGAGCCCTAAAAATTATGGGGACACATCAGACAATGGAACCAGTCCACAGGGATCCCAATGACCAGTCCACGGGAGTCCCAATGACCGGGTCCCAGTGACCAGTCCACGGGAGTCCCAGTGACCGAGTCCCAGTGACCAGTCCACGGGAGTCCCAGTGACCGAGTCCCAGTGACCAGTCCATGGGAGTCCCAATAACCAAGTCCAGGACCATTTGGGTGTCAAATAATGATAGCAACAAACGTCACTATTTGACTAAAACAGGAACTCCTGATTCTATACAATATAAAAAGACAGGTAGGTAGGTAGGTAGAAGACAGACGGATGAGAAGGGAAAGCTGTCTCTTGCAAAAGAATGGCAACAATTACATTCCAGAAGTAACAATAAATGTGAACAATGAAAATGTGACAACCACCACAGTAATAATGGATTCAGCTAGAATCTTTAAGATGCTAAAAACTGGGAGGTAAAAGTATGATGAGGAACAAGACATTGACATAATCTCAAAAGTATCTCCCCATGAGTACTTAACACACTTACTGACTTCCAGTGGAGAAACTTGGCAGAGACCCTTAACCAAGTGATAAGCTATCTCACCAATGATGCAGCAAATCAGCAATGCGTGAGTCCTAATGGAGGCACTGAAAAGAATTCTGCACCGTTCCTGTGGTGTCTGTCAAAACGAAGAACTGAAGGACTGTTCCACACTGAAGACTAAAGAGGCAACATGCAATCCTAGGTTGAGTGCTAGACCTTTAAGGATACTATTGGGATGATGAGCAAAATCTGAATATGTCTGTGGGTTTGAAAGTAATCCTGGATCAAGCTGCAGTCCTGATACTCAAGGAATACACGTGGAAGCAGTAAGCAGTGACAGGGACCGTGTCCTGCGGCATTCCCACAAACGCTTCGAAGATGCTAACAAGTGGACAGCCGAGGTGAATGGGATAGGAATAGACTGTGTTCCACTCCTAAGTTCTATTTCTACTTCTGTGTACATTTAAGATTATTTCACAATACAAAGTTAAAGAAGAACGCCTCTTCACCTCTTTGGTTTTGGTCATGGTTTCTGCAATGATGCTTGCGGCTCCCAGGTCATCCGTCACTGGGATAAAAGGCCGAGCGGAGGCTGAGGGGGCCGACGGAGTCACTGCAGAGGGGGTCACTGCGTCCTCAGAGGAAACAATCTAGTCCAAGAGTGCACAGTAGGGGAAGTTTAAGTGGAAAAACTCAGCAACATAACACATTTCCTATGCAAGTCCCAAATGCTTTACCTAAAACTACTTGGGCTGTTTAGAATGTTCCAGATTTTACAGAGGTAACATGGTGCCCACCAGACATAGCCACTACCACCCCCAGTCAGGCCTAGGACAGTTTTGCAAAGTCAAGCACATTCATATTTTCAAGAATAACTATTAATATTCACAGCAGGTCACATGAACCAGACTAAAATGAGTTCACATATCTTCGAGTTGGTTCTTTCCCCCAAAATGTTACTAAAATTCTTGACTGTCAGAACTTTAAGGTTTCAGAATTGCAGATAAAGGACTGTGAACTTGATTTAATGGTTTTTTTAATAAAAGAAAGCCAATTCCACTTAAGCACTTTAAAAGCTCCTTTACAGAGAATATTCTTCTAAGTAAAGCCAAAAATCTAAGCGGGAGGCACAGAAACAGCCTAAACTAAATGACACAATGAGACTTTCCTAGACACAAAGTAGCCACCTTTTCCTTTCTGATCTAACATTGCTTTAGATTCGCTTTTACCTCTCTCTTTTCTTGCCATGGATTTGGACTCAGTCTGTCTTCGATATCAACAGCCAGCATGCATTCTTCTCCATTCATGGGACTAGCCATCGCAGATGCGTCGGAAGGGGCCGCCGAGGAGAACGAGGGGCACTCCACCGGGGCGATCATGGCGGCCGGCATCAGGGCCCCGACAACAGCATCTCTGTCAGGACACAAAGCCAGGCCTGTGGTGAGCTGCCCCTTCTCCACTGCAGCACAGGAAGTGGAGAGGCAGGGCTAGCACGCACTGAGGCGTTTCCTCATTTTTACTGAATACATGTAGAAGAGTTTTGGAAAACTACCAAACATTATTACCATGTATCCTTTGGCTAATAGCTAAAATGTTTACTCTGGATCCTATTTATTTGAAAAACCAGAGTAATGGCAGGTGAAAAACTGCCAAACATAAAAACCAGACCAGAATGAGACTCTGGCTCTCCCTGAGAAAGAAATCCTCTTGGGCTGCTGTGAGAGCCTGAGGGCTGGATAATTGACCAGCAGGCAATTTTGTGTTTACTGAAAGCCACATACTGAGCAGCAACGACTCAATGGCCTCTACTGAATGACTGTTTTTGTTCTGAAACTAATTTTCCTATGTAAGGACACCTGTCAGGTCCACATGTGTGATACATTAGTAGATGGGAAACTTATCTAGGCTGTGGGAAAGCAGCAGAAAAATACTGCAAAATGCCGCACTGGCAAAACTCAGCCTTCTCAAGTGAGCGAAGGGGATGCTAAGTCGTCTTAGACATCACTATAAATTAGTATCACCTAATTCTTCTTTTCTTCCCCCAAATATTGATGGTTCGAGTCTACTGGTCAAAAAGAATAGTGAAAATGTTCAAGTTAGTTTTCTAATTCATATTTCAATGCCCATTAAGACACACACTAAGATATCACCAATCACCATCAAAGAACTTGTGACTTACAACATACAGCATTTAAAGACAATAATACAACATTCTTGGAGACATCTGATCAACGAAAAGAAAAAAAATCACAAAAATGTGAAGCTCACATAATTGCAGAATTTCAAAAATTAGCACAGAAGCCTACCTGGCATACATGATTTGCAATGCTGTAAGAATATGCGATAAGGCCTGCTGTTTGGCCAGATTTCCATCCAATGACAAGAGAATCTTGGCAAGAGAAGGGCGATTTGGCTTAGAATTACTTGCACCACTTATTTTATTACTGGCAGCAGAAGAATCAGCATCTGAAGGCACGCCTATAAGAGGAAAATAAAATTTGCATTGTTTTTAAAATCACAGTTTGATCTATTTCTATAAAATCTGACCTTACAGGTTAGTTCCAAAACACACTGCAATCTGCATTTTGCTATTTCACAAAGCACCTATCAGGCTCATTAATAGGCCTTCAAAATAAGAAAACCACTTATCCATACTTCGATAAAGAAGCTATTTTCAGCATAGTTCCACTGTAACTGCAAAAAGATGTAGGTGCTTTTATAAAATGCACTTACAACAGTTTATGTTATATACATATAAACTATGAAAATGCTACAATAACTACCTGTATTTTCTTACCCCGGTAAGACAAGACAAAAAAGAATACAAAACAACAAAGAGAAAAGATGTTCACCAATAAAGTCTCATCAGGCTCACTTCGTTGTGAACTCCCAGGTCTCAGCAGAAGGAGGGAGCCAAGTAGAGCTGGGACATGTGTCTATGTCAACTCATCCAAATTGATACACAGATTTAATGCAATTCCCACCAGAATTCCAGCAAGAGTTTTTGTCAACAGACAAGATTATTCTGAAATGTACATGGAAAGGCAAAGGAGCAAGAATAGAAATAGAAAAATAAGGAGGAGGAATGAGTCTACCCAATTTCAAAAGTTGTAATACCATAACCAAAACTGTGTGGTACTGGCATAAGAATCAATGGAATAAACAGAGAACCCAGAAACAGAACCACACAAATATGCCTCACTGACTGTTGACAAACGTGCAAAAGCAACTCGGAGGCAGGACAGCCTTTCGGCATATGGTGGTGGAGCAACTGGACGTCTGTGGGCAAAAAACCCAAACTTCAGCCTAAGTCTACACCTTATGCAAAATTAAATCCAAATGGATCATGACTTCAGTAGAAAATACAAAACTATAAATCTTTTAGAGAAAAATAGGAGACAGTCTTTAGGAACTAGCACTAGGCAAAAATATACTTAGACTTGACACCAAAAGTATGATCTATAAAAGAAAAACCTGATGAATTAGACTTCATCAAAATTAAACACTTTCGTTCTATGAAAGGAAACGAAAAGACAAGCTAGAGACCAGGAGAAAATATCTGCATAACACACATCTGCCAAAGGACTAGAAACATCTAGAATATATAATGAACTCTCTAAACTCAACAGAAAAAAAAAAAGCCAATTAGAAAAGGGCATGAAGACATATTTTACCAAAGAGGAGATATGGACAGTAAATAAGCACATGAAAAGATGGTTAACATAATTAGCCATAAGGAAAATATTAAAACCACAATGAGATACAATGACCTATCTATCAGTATGGCTACATTTTAAAAAGATGGTGAGGATATGGGAAAAACTGGATCATCCTCCACTGCTAATGAGAATATAAAATGGCACAGCCATTCTGGAAAACGGCTTGGCAGTTTCTTATCAAACTAAACATAATTACCATATGACCAACCATCACACTCTTGGACATTTATGCCAAAGAAATAAGAACTTATTTTCACGTAAAGTAAATTTTCACATTCACCTGTATATGAATGACATGGCAGTTTTATTTGTAATAGTCAAAACCTAGAAATAATCCAAATGTCCTTCGATGGTTGAGTATTCGATGGAATACTGAACATACTATGTAATATGTAACAACTTGGATGAATAGCCAGAGGATTAGGCTGAGCAGAAAAAGCCAGACTCAAAAGTTATACATATAATGTGACATGAAAAGAGCTATACGTTAAGAAGATACTGAGTAATTTGAACCAGAAAGGAGAAGATGAGAGTCAAGCATTATCTTCATCTACCCCAGAAAAGAAGACAGCACAGGAAGGTGAAGCCACTCGCCCCAGTTCATACAGCCAGTAACTAACACAGCCAGAAGATCACATTCCAGTTATTCATAAAAGCAGATGCTGCTGGAGCCTAAATGTCCCCTCCTGAGACAGAAGGGGAAAAAACAAAATATTTGTATGACAAGATGAAGCTCACTTTTTTTAAAAAAAAAAGCAATTGTACTTATTTCTACATGCTAGCAAAGAGCAATCTGAATATTCCCATACAGAAGAAATGATATTTTTAAAAGACCATTTAATAATCTGAAATTCTTAGAAATAATCTAACAAAAGACAAGCAAAACCTATACAATAGACCGGGTGCGGTGACTCACGCCTGTAATCCCAGCACTTTGGGAGGCCGAGGTGGGCGGATCACGAGGTCAGGAGATCGATTCTGTCCTGGCTAACACGGTGAAACCCCGTCTCTACTAAAAATACAAAAAAATTAGCCGGGCGTGGTGGCAGGTGCCTGTGGTCCCAGCAACTTGGGAGGCTGAGGCAGGAGAATGGCGTGAACCCGGGAAGCAGAGCTTGCAGTGAGCCGAGATTGCGCCACTGCACTCCAGCCTGGCGACAGAGCGAGACTCCGTCTCAAAAAAAAAAAAAAAAACCTACACAATACTGGGACTAGAAAACATTGCTGAGAGAAACTAAACACCTAAAAAATAAAGAGAAACACTATGTTCATGGGTTAGAAGACTGAATACTGTGAATCCATCCTTTCCACATTGACTTACAGAATTAATGCAATCCACATCAAAATCCCAAGCAAACGATTTTATAAAAACTGACAAGCTCATTTTAAGTTATATGGAAATGCAAAGGGCCTACAACAGCCAACATATATTTGAAAAAGAACAAAGCTAAAGAACTCTTGCAACCTGAGTTCAGGTCTTTTATAAAGCTGTGGTAATCAAGACAATATGTCATTGCCACCAAAATCCACAAATAAATCAATGAAACAGTACTGAGAGTCCAGAAATAGATCCATACATCCATAGACAACTGAATTCTCACAAAGGCAAAAGGCAATTCAGTAGGAAAAGCGTAGTTTTTCAACAAATACAACTGAAACAACTGGACAATCATGCCAAAAAAAGCCTTTCAATCTGAACCTCCCACCATATATAAAATTTAATCAACTGGTCATAGATACACATATCTAAAACTACAAAACTTCTATAACAGAACATAGAAGGAGAATCTTTATAATCTTGAGGCAAAGGTTTTGTAGACACAACATCAAAAGTACACTCTACAAAAGAATAAAATGAATAAACTAGGCTTCATCAAAATTAAAAACTTCTAATCTTTAAGATTCACCTGTGAAGAGAATAAAATGACAAGCCACACTGACAGAAAATACTAGCAAATTCTATATTAGGCAAAGGACTTGTAACCCAGAATATATAAGAAACTCTCAAACTCAGTAAGAAAACAATCAACCTATTTAAATATAGGAAAAGACTTGAACAGACATTCACCAAAAAAGGTATCTGATTCGTAAATAAGCAAGATGCTTGAGATCATTAGTTACTAGGGAAATGCAAATTGAAACCACAATGAGATACCACCATACGTCTATCAGTATAACTAAAATTAAAGACTGAACGTATCAAGGGTTGACAAAAATGTGGAGGATGTGGACCTCTGGAACATCCACTTTGCAAAACAGTATGTAGCGATCTTAAGAAGCTAGACGTACACCTGCCATATGATCCATCCACTCCTCTCCTAGGAGTTTACCCAAGAGAATTTCAAGTGGATGTCCATACACAAACTTGTATGGAAATGTCCATTAGCAATTTCACTTGTATAGTCAACTGGAAACAGCCCAAACATTCATCAACAGATAAATGGATAAACAAATTGCATTTGTTTATCTTAAGATACTATTCAACAATTTAAAAAGAATAAACTATCGATACATGCAACATAAGTGAATCTCAAAATTATTATGCTGAGTGGAAAAAGATTTTTAAAAAGAGTATATGCTGTATGATTCTATTTATAGTAAGCTGTACAACATGCAAACTGGTCTGCCACGGTGGCTCCTGCCCATAATCCCAGCACTTTGGGAGGCCAAGATGGGAGGATCACTTGAGCTCAGGAGTTCAAGACCAACCTGAGCAACATGGCAAAACCCTCTCTCCACCAAACAAACAAACAAAAATTAGCCAGGCATGGTGACATGTGCCTGTAGTCCCAGCTATTTGGGAGGCTGAGGTGGAAGGATCACTTGAGCCCAGGAGGTGGAAGCTGCAGTGAGCCAAAATCGTGCCACTGCACTCCAGAGTGAGACCCTGTCTACAAAAAAAAAAAAAAAAACCCAACCAAACAACAACAATAACAAAAAGAAAACATGCAAACTGATCTCTAGTGACAGAAATTAAATTGGTGCATACGGCAGGAAGGAGGGAGTTAAAAGCAAAAGGGAGGGGTACAGAGGGCCAGAGAGGAACGCTGGGGTAGTGTATGAGTTCATTATCTTTGATTGTGCTGATGCTTTCATGGATCATACATATTCCAAAGTCAATCAAAATGCATACTTTAAATAGGTGCAGTTTATTATATGTCAATTATAACTGAATAAAGCTGTTAAAAAATACAAAAGAGCCCAGTACAGTGCCTGTATCTCTCAGGCAGTTATTAGGAGTCCTGTTCACACAGAAGGACAGCGCTGTGAGTTTACCTGATCATAAATACAAGAATCAGCAACATACTTTCTTCTAAAATTTTCATTCCAGCATGTATAAATCGCATGAGAGCACACCATAATTCTTCTGTGTCTTTAGAGTCATAATGCAGTTAACATGGCACTACAACCTCTAATTGTGTTGGCACAATTAAATAAATCTATAAGGTTGCTGTAACCTACAGAAAAATCTCAGAGAAGATACAAATCTGTGTTACCTAAATAGGAAGCACCTAAAGGGTCTCTTGCAGTCTGGAAGAGGACGGGCTCGTGGACAGAGGGCGTGGCCACATCCACAGTTGTCCACGCCACACTGTGGGACGACCCACAAGCCACGCGTGTGATCTTCTGGCCTTCTAAGCCTTGCACGAGTGTGGGCTTCCTGTTAACCGTGGTCGTGCCATTGCCCTGCTGGCCGTGGTCGTTGTCACCCCAAGCATACACCTGTTTACGAGGAGAAAAAAGCTTATAATTTTTCAACATTTCAGGACATTTTCTTTAATGTAATTTTTACTTCAAAATGCTTAACGCGTATGCCACGGTAGTTGAAAGAATTGAGTTCTTAAAGGTAAAAACAAACCATTTCACAATCTTTCAAAATGGCATCAGCGTACTACAATTCTGAAGAAAATCTAACCATGAAAATGCTTGCTAATACCTATAAAAGGAGTATTTTCTTAATATTAATCCAATTCTGCTTTGTTGCAAGACACACAGAAGGTCCTCTCTCTAACTAAGTGTAATAATTTTTTCCCTTTTATTTTGCAAAGAAAAATGACCAAAAACAGTATGCTCATTTTTCAAGTAAGTTGCTTCTTGGCCTTATAGAATTATAAAGTAAAATTCATTCTGACTAAAATACAGTAATGGTAATTTTGTTTCCATAAATAAAATTTAAAATTGAATATCCATAAGCCAGTCATAGCGTATGCTTCTCCAAGCAGAAGAGAGTGTAACACTTGTCAGGCACTAGCTCTGTCTCTAAAATGAGGCATGGATCCCTCCTCGCCAGTTACCAATTCTCTAAAGGAAAGTCTTGCTAATATCTTGCACTAGGAGCATCTTCAAGAATAACAGTCTTTCCACACACTTTTCACGTGGACTTCAGAGTGGGAACGCCTCTTTTCTGAGGACCCCGCCCCCAACCCCTGCTGCAAAGCAGGCAGATACACCAGTGGGCAAAAGGAACAGGACCCGCCCTCATGGTTCTCCAAGCAGTAAGACTCAGCTGATTTCATCAACAGCTGTGATTTCAACAGGACGAAGGCCGTGTCATGACCCCCACGTCCCCCAAGTCAGGATGGCACGCCACCCCCAGGCCACCTGCAGCCTTACCTGCCCCGAGTCCGTGACCGCCAGGCAGTGCAGGGCCCCGACAGCCACATGCACGATCTTCTTCCCTCTCAGCCCTTCCACCACCTGTGGTTTCCGCACGTGCACGTCAGAGCCGTGGCCCAATCTGAAGTAATCCCCCTTTCCCCTGAGAGAAGGCCCATGGTGGAGAGTTACAATACGGTTATGGTCTGACAATGCTATACAAGAAGACACTCATTGTCTCACATCTTTCACAGCCAGCTCAATGACATCACACACAGCACCCAAGGTCTTCAAACTTGTATTCAAAATCATACACCATTAATTCAAATTAACTTATTAAGCCAGCTGGGAAAAACCTTAATACCTTAATACATATTTTATGATATTTAAGTTACTGTTGTAGGTTTTCATATAAAGAGACTGAAAATAAGACACACTACTGCAAACACCTATCCAAAGTCCTATCTGGTATACATCTTTCTCAAGCTGCCTCGGGTCATGACATTGGCACTAAGGCCTGACACACCATCCACAGCCAGTCCAGGCACCTGCTCTTTTGCATATTAATAAAATAAGCTTTTACAAGAAACACATGTTAACTTTTTCAGGATCAAAGGATTCAGAAGGCTATTTTGCTCCATTTTATCCTTAGGCTTCAGCAGAAGAAACCGTTCCCATAAATCTCACCCAAACAGGAAAGGTAAGTGGCCTAAAATTTTTCTAGTATTTTCAAAATGACCCAGTTACAATGGGAAATTTCTTCTTGTACTATTGTCACTAATCCCAACTCAATATCCTTTAAAGGACAAAGATGCATGCATAAGTAAAAAGAGGACACGTCACAATCACGCCGGGTGAGCCTGGGGCGAGGCCCAGGTTCCCTGCACACACCTGCACAAGCACACACAGTGTGACAGGGAGGACGTTTACGTACCATGTCCACACCACTCCAGACTTGGTGAGCGCCAGGGAGAACTGAGCTCCACACTCAATCTGGCACACCCCCTGTCCATTTAGTCTCTCAATGTTCTGGGGAATGTTACAGCCTTCACTTCCGCCCCGGCCCAGTTTTCCAAAGTCACCATCACCCCAGGAAAATACCAAACCTAGGTTTAAGAAACACATATACTTCAGGCCAGCGTTTCATATCATTCCTACCCACCCAGAAGCACAGAATCCTGCCAGCCACTCACCTTCATCGGTCAGAGCCAGGGTCTGCGCGTCTCTACTCCCACATGCAACCTGGATTACTCTGTGACCGAGAAGGACTTTCACCTACTCAATTACAAATTTAAAAACAGAATCACGCACAGGCACGGAGAAAGCAATGGATTTTCCCACAGATAAAGCCAACCATGCACACATCTTTATGAACTTTCCTAGACTTGAAGCTTATTTTCTCTTGACATCTTCAGATGGTAAGCTTTCTGCAAGCAACAAAAATGCGTATAATCACCATTTTGGGCTTTAGCTGTGTCGTATTATCCCCATGTCCCAGCCGGCCGTACTCGCCGAGGCCCCAGGTGTACAGTTCTCCGCTGGATGTGAGGGCTGCGCTGTGCGAGCTCCCACAGGCGATATCCCGGATACGCTTGGTTTTCAGGGCCTCGATCAGCCTTGGTTTGTCACAGTTCCTACAACAAGATGAAATCAGCTCTCTACAGTCAATCTGTCCCTTCTTAGAGATGAAGGAAAAAAGACATCTATACTGATCCACATGTAGTCAACACAGGATCCACAGATCAACTATCAAAACTTAAAGCAGAACCGGTGAGACCAAAACACAAACAACCGTGTTAAAAAAATTTTGTTTAAGAACCATTTCTATAATCTATTCTATTCTAATTTTCTGCAAAATAATTCTCAAGAGTATCAGTCAGAAACAGTTTCTTATTAGCAAATGAGACTAAAAAAAGTACCCTTACATTCTGCTGAAGTGTCCAAGTTTTCCATCGTCACCTTCGCCCCACGAAAACACTTTTCCATCGACAGTTAAAGCCGTCGCGTGCCGGCCACCTGCAACATTCACAGACACACGGATTGCCAAAGGGCAGGGAACAGAAAGCCCACAGCATAGCTAGCTCCCTATTTTGCCTGGCATATAGCACACACTCAATGAGCGTGAGCTGAATAAATGAGTAACTCAACAGGATCAACAGCGGAGTTAGCAGGAAAGCTTCCTGGGACATATGTGCCAAATAGGTGAATTTTCACTAAACTACAAATTTTAACTCTAGAAAGAATTTGCAAAGAGGCAAAATAATACTGATTATTAATGGGGTTCCTATTATGTTAAATACACGAAAAATCAAAATTTAGATGAAAAAAGTAAAAATAATTTGTGATTAGACAAAATGTAAAAATAGTGTCAATTTAAGTTTTTGAGAACTGTACCTCAACAGTGAAATTATTCAATCATTTGCGATTAATGCAATATATTCACTCTTCCCAAAACACGTCAGCTTATGCTCTTTCCCCAGCATGGAATATTCTCAAAGTCCATACAACCTGCCTCAGGATTAAAGGCATGACCACTCCTATACAGTGAGTTCCTGCCAACTCCTGGGCTTTGAGAACATCACAGCAGACCCTGCTTCTTCCCCCAACCCTCATTCTCCCCCTTCCTTACCAACAGAACCCCCATGTTAAAGTGCTCAGCTAATTCCCAGCCTCCTCTGCCCCCAGGAGATGGTGACTGAAATGAGTGGGGCTTCCGAGGGGCTCTGGAGAGGGGGCTGCGTGGGCAGGAGGGCACACTGTGTGGTGCTTGCCTCTTCTGCCAGGCCTGGCCCTGGACTCTGGGGGCGAGAGCTAGTCTAAGACCATCTTCCCACAAAGGTGGACACAAAGGACCAGCACTCCTCATAGACACAGCCCTGCTGGACAGACTCTGACCCCACCTCTGGACTTTTACAAAGGAGAAAAGTAAAACTCTATATTGCTTAAGCCACCATCATTTGGATTTCCTGTTATGCAAGTTACACTGAGCCCCGTTCAGCATAGGCATGAACTGAATTAGAACTTTGTGTCTAATTCAGTTCCATTCCTCAGAGGCCTAGCACGGTGCCTCCAAAATAAACACTCCCTACACTGAAAGAGTGGTTTCATTTTCTTTTAAAGGATCTTTCTCATTACTTGGGTTCATAGATGGTTTTGGGAATCTGAAGAAAGTTATAGACTCTTTCTCAGAAAAACAGCCTACTTTTAGGCAAAGAACTTGATTTAGCAGCAATAACTAAATTCTAGACCACCTAGAGATTTACATTATCCAATTTTTATTCCTACTAAGTAAAAACTTAAGAAAGAATGTAAGGACACCAATTAGGGCTTTGGTTAACAACGGAGCAGGAGCAAAGGCCGCCCCGCACAGGCCTCCTGGTGCTTGGCTTGTACCTGAGTGAACAGCCACCTTCTTGACCACGTAGCTGCTGAGAGCTGTGATCTGCCGTGGGATGGGCACCGTCCCGCTGGAAATGCCCAGCCCCAGCCGGCCATTCGTGGCTTCTCCACAGGCATACACCTTCCCTTCCACAGTCACTGCAAGGAACGACAGCCAGGAGAGGACTCTCTTTTCACAACATTAAAAACTTTTTTGTTTTTTGGTGCCAAGCATAATTTAAAAATTTTTTAAGATTAGAATAATCATACCTGCAAACAAACTTTTAGATCCACCAGCCACCTGTACCACATTCAAAGCTGACAGTGTCTCAGAGAACGAAGGAACCTTTATCTACAACAGAATTTTTTTAACAAAAAAAAAAGAAAAGAAAATTTTACTTGCATGTTTAAAATTATGTTACCTTATTATATGATACAAGGAATTACAGTTATGCACTGTGTAACATTTCACTCAACCACAGGCTACATATACGATGGCAGTCCCAGTAGATTATAATGGAGCTGAAAAATCCTTACTGCCTAGTGGTGTCCTGGCCGTGACAACGTCACAGCACAACCTATTCCTCATGTGTCTGTGGTGATGCTGGTGTCAACAAGCCTCTGTGCTGCCAGCTACATATCAACAATCCCTAATACCTCACCATGATAACAGACTACTGCTACTGGGCTATATATTCACTCTCCTGTACTTTCTATCATTCTTTTAGAGTGTATTCCTTCTACTTTTTTGTTTTTTAAGCTAACTGTAAAAAGCCTGCGGCTGGTGCTTCAGGAGGGATTCCAGAAGGCACTGCTGTCACAGGAAAGGACAGCTAGCTCCTTTGTGGGGGTGAAAGAGAGCAACACTATGATCCTAGCTAGGCTAATGTATGTGTTTGGGTCTTAGTTTTTAACAAACACGTTAAAAAGTAAAAGAATAAATGTTAAAGATAGAAAAAAGCTTACAGCATAAGAATGTAAAGAAAACATTTTGTGCAGAGCTGTGTTTGTGTTTTAAGCTAAGTATTATTACAAGAGTCAAAAAGTTTTTTAAAAAGTGAAAAGTTCATAAAGTTACAAATAATTTATTATTAAAGAAAGAAAAATATTTTGCATAGAGTCACCTAAGCATATAGTGTTTCTAAAGTCTACAGTAACATGCAGTGATGTCCTGGCCTTCACGTTCACTCACCACTCTCTCACTGACTCGCCCAGAGCAACTTCCAGTCCTGCAAACTCCATTATTCATGGTAAGTGCCCTATGCAGGTGTTCCATGTTTTATCTTTTACAATGTATTTTTACCGTACCTTTTCGATGTTTAAATACACACATGCCACTGAGTTACAACTGCCTACCATATTCAGTACAGTTCCATGTTGTAGCCTAGAAGCAACAGGCTATACCATATAGCCTGAGTGTGTAGTAGGCTACACCATCTACCTTTGTGTTAAGTACACTCTATCATTTTCCAACAATGACAAAATCACCCAACCAAAACTTTCTCAGAATATATCCCCATCATTAAGTAATGCATGACTGTACTACTAATATGTATGGTTACATTAACCAAAGGCATTGGTTATCCCTTAGAGATTCACACTGGAGTATTTTAAGAATGAAATGATACACTGTGATTGACTTTAAACCAGAGTTGGGGGAATGGGAGGATAAAGACAGAAAAACGTAGACAGCTGCTGGTAACTATGGAAGCTGTACCAGGGACATGAGGGTTCATGAAGCTATTCACTCTATGTGGGTACATCTGAACAGTTCCATAGTAGAAAGTGAAAAATAAAATACAGTTGGTCCTCTGTATCCATAGGTTCCACGTCCATGAATTCAACCACCCATGGATTGAAAATATTTTTTATTGCACGTGTACTAAATATGTACAGATATTTTTGTTGCCATTATTCCCTAAACAATGTAATATAACAACTATTGACATACCATTTACATTGTATTAGGTATTCTGAGTAATCTGAAGATGATATACAGTATTTGGGAGGGTGTACATAGGTTATATGCAAACACTACACTGTTTTATATCAGGGACTTGAGCATCCACAGATCTTGGTATCCACAGGAAGTCCTGGAACAAATCCACGGATACTGAGGGATGACTATGCATATAATGTAAAGATAAAAACACACACCTGTAGACTATGCCTTATTTCAAGTCATGTCCTGCTCACTCTCTGATTCTGACTCTGACATCTCTAAGAAATCATATGCTTAAATTTCCCATTGTAGATGGATGTAATTTAAAATTCCTAGGGCCCTTTGTCTAAAAAACCTTTATGATTCCCTGGGTGAAATAGTCACTACTGCAGCGGAAGAAAGGATTTTCATCACAACCGTGGAACACCGACTCTGTCCTTGAAGTGAAAACTCCATGTAAGGCAGTGAGCAAGGTCATAGGCTCCCACCAATGGCCTGCACCTCAGGGACCTCTGGACAGCCCTGCATTCCCGCAGCTGAGACACTCACAGCTCACTGCCCACTGTCCACTTCCCAAACCAAGCTCAGGTACACTGAAACACAAATGCAATTCAAGACTGCTCCAATACAGATAAAAACTAATTGCACCTTGAAAGGAAAGAGTTCAAATGAATGAGTTCTAACTTTATTTCTCAGTTTCTCAATAGGGCAGGCAATAAAGAAAACGTATGATGTGATGTCTCACAGAATACTAACAGGAAGCATAAGCTCACGTGAACACAGAGAGTGCCTCTGGGCAATAAAATTTAGAGGAATTTGCTTTGTGGCTCCTCAGCCAGGAGACACTAAGTAATACAAGGAATGCTGAATTCAACTCCAATTCAAATGCATCATTTCTTACACCTATTCTTTTCAAAATATGGTCTTTTTCTCCTAAGCAACTCAAAATACAAATTAACCTCTCATCCAAGTACCTAGGGGATGAAGGACGTTGTGAACACAGAGGCTATGGCACGGCTTCCCGTGCAAGCTTCATGGTTTACTGACAAGGTGAATGAGATCATGGCGCTCTCCACCCACAACAAGCCCTGCAGAGAATAAGGCAAGTGTGTATGCGCACACATGTGCATTCTGCTTGTTTCTCTGTGCTCGCAAAGCGTTCTCTCTCTGTGCAAGCTACTTCACCCTGAAGAATCTCAGGCGCGAAGCACCTGGAGGACAGAGACAACAATTTGCTCATCTGTGGGCCACTACAGCCTTTTTACACATTATTTTGTTCATGATAGTCAAAAATGTTTATTGTAGGGAAGGCAAGATACACCTATTGACAGTCTATAATTTTCATTTATGCACTTGTCAAATCTTTTCAAAAGTTCATTTTCTAGTTTACAAGACCGCAATAAGACAATTATACCTAAAGTGAAATTTTTCAAGGAGAGACGCTTCTGAGGGGTAATTTGATAATGTCTTTTAGTTCGTGTAAAGAAACAATACAACATATAGAGAGTAAAGTTATTATAGAAACTTCACGAGGTGTGGCTGCTGCCGAGTGCCCCACCCTGCTGGGTCCCAGGGAGCAGGCCGTACCTTGGAGCCTTTCAGCCCGCCCAGCTGGTCCTTGTCATTCAGGCCCCACACAAACACCTTGGTTCTTATCGTAGCTGCTGATTCCAGCCCAGCAGCCTTCTTTCTAATGAGGCTAACCAAACGGAAAAAAAAAAGAAAAAGAAAAGAGAGGTTATTCAGCATAAAACATTTAAAAAATAAAAAGAAAAGCAACCTCAAGCACTCAAAGTTTTATGGTTACTTTCAGAAACTCTTAAAATTTTGCTTTAATAGAAAAAAACCTCAAGCATGTACAGGAGTAAGTCCTCTGGAGGGTCAAATTTTCTAGATACAACCATGCCACCTTTTAATACTAGCACTTAATTTCAGCCTTTATTTTTGGTGGAAAACGATGATACACCAGGCCTTCTCTTTCATCTTAAATACCAACGTGAACATGGGTGGGAATCATTCCAAGCCAAGGAAACAGACGCACAGCTGCTACAAATGGCACTGTAGAGACACTGAGGAAACCTGCCCAGGAGCCACGCTGGGTCTGGCCTTGCAGCACTATCCCCAAATCTAGACAGCTGTTTGGCCAATTATTTTCCCACAGAAAGAATAAAACGGATGTGGCCACATGACCATGGAGTTACTTTAACACAGACACATGTCCCAATGTAAAATGCTTCTCTCTTCCTTTATACCCTCTGCCCAGGACACCGGCCAGAGGAACCTGATCATCGGCCAGCTAAGCTGAAAGTCCTCGTCTCCTGTCCTTCCCAGAGGGCTTGCTCCTTCCACCTTGCTCATCTATCTCCTGACCTGCCCTCAACAGGTTAGGAGTTTATTTATTTTTTGTTTGTTTTGAGACAGGGTCATGCTCTGTCACTCAGGCTGGAATACAGTGGCATAATCCCGGTTCACTGTAGCTTCAACCTCCCAGGCTCAAGCAATCCTTCCACCTCAGCCTCCCGAACAGCTGGCACTATAGGCCTGCACCATCATGCCCAGCTAATTTTTGCATTTTTTTTTGTAGAGACGGGGTCTCACTATATCGTCAAGGCTGGTCTTGAACTCCTGGGCTCAAGTGATCCTCCCTGCTCAGCCTCCTAAAGTGCTGGGATTACAGGTGGGAGCCACCACACCCAGCAGGTTAGAAGTTTAATCAACAGCATCCAAAACACTCCAATTCTTGCAACTTGAAAAGAGTACACAGGACAGTGTTAGATTTTCTTGGCTGATGGTCTGATGCCAGGTGCTAAGGAATTGCTGCTTCTGTGTTTGGGGTTTTCACCTTTGTGTTTGCTTTTGCTCTATTTTTATAAGCTAGGATAGATGCCCAAAGGCACCAGACGGCTTCCAGACAGGTATCACTTTTTTCACACATTATATACTAATAAATATTTACTTTAAGGGTTCAAAATTTCATGTTTTGGAATAAAAGTGGAAAACTCTTTCATCCAATACTAGGCACAGGTGAGCAAGCATAAGCACAAAATATTGAAATATCTTGTGATACATTTTTACTTAAAAATATGTATGGGGACCAGGCACAGTAGCTCACACCTGTAATCCTAGCACTTTGGGAGGCCAAGGTGGGCAGATTCCTTGAGCCCAGGAGTTGGAGACCAGCCTGGGCAACACGGTGAAACCTCATTTCTACAAAAAAAATACAAAAAATTAGCCAGGTGTGGTAGCAGACACCTGTAATCCCAGCTACTTGGGAGGCTGAGGTGGGAGAATCACTTGAGCCCGGGAGGCAGAGGTTGCAGTGAGCTGAGATCATACCATTGCGATCCAGCCTGGGCAACAGAGTGAGACCCTATCTCAAAATATATATATATTTTCCATACACACATATATATACACACATATATGTATGCATGTATGTATGGGAAACCAGGACTGATATTCAAGATATTTAATGTCTGGCACCATGTAAGTATCAATCAGCCAGAGTGGAGGCCAGCTGTACGTGGTCAGTGTGGGAACATCCCAGTTGGGTGGCAGCCCTGTAGGAGGAGACTGCCTGGGCCACTGACTCATTCTGAAGTTATTAGCTAATTAATAAGATCTTACCAGAACAAAACCCATTACAATCAAGTATCTAGCTTTTCTTTCGACAATATATTCAATTACACAAAAATCTGATCAATGAGTAAAGCTCAAAACATTTTTGGTTATTCCACATATACAATATATGTATTAATAATTTTATGGCCAGGCGCAGTGGCTCACGCCTATAATCCCAGCACTTTGGGAGGCTGAGGCAGGCGGATTACGAGGTCAGGAGATCGAGATCATCCTGGCTAACACGGTGAAAGCCCGTCTCTACTAAAAATACAAAAAAATTAGCCGGGCATGGCGGCGTGCACCTGTAGTCCCAGCTACTCAGGAGGCTGAGGCAGGAGAATGGCGTGAACCCAGGAAGCGGAGCTTGCAGTGAGCCGAGATTGCACCACTGCACTCCAGCCTAGGTGACGGAGCAAGACTCCGTCTCAAAAAATAAATAAATAATAATTTTATTTGTCCAATTCATTTTAGTAGCTACTGAGTAAGAAAATGCTAATCTATTGTAGGGGCAACCCACCCCTACAATCTATAATCCTTTTATTAAAAATCCCAATGACTTCCTTATTTAAGTGAACTGGTATTGTCCCTATTTAATTAATATCTACAGATGCAATCAGTTTGAACTACAGCATATAGTATAACATATATTCTAGATAAGGTAATGTTATAGATACTATTTTCTTTTCAACTTCTACACAAAGTTTCTGAAATAAAACAGGACAGAATCCAAAGCCAAGATCACAGAGCCCTAGAATAACCTGATTTATTACCAGAACTACTACCCCCCACTTCTGTCTATATAACGTGCTCAACAGCGGCACAGGGCAGTGCTCTGTTGTCTCCTCATGTCACACGCTGCAGAGTACTTAGAGCACAGGGTGTCTTGGTCAACAGAGTTCAGCCAGCACTGGCGGCTTGCCTCCTGTGCCTGTCTGGAGGGCCCCGGTCACACTAGCAATCCAAAGCGCCTTGGGAATGTTAACAACATATCCATTTATTTTGCATACCCTTTGACTTAGCAATTTCACTTTCAGCAATTTATCTAGGAAAATACAACTTCTATGAGGACACTGATTATCCTCCATTGTTATTATCCACTATTATCCACTGTTTGCTGCTGGGATGGTAAACAAGGCTTAGAGCAGCCCCTGCAAATGCAAGTTCTAGATACATGCCCTGGGAAATGCACAAGCATGCAAAAACTTCGCAGATATCATTCTCCTCTGGTATGCTGTCTTCCCTATCAGAAACGCCCTTGCCTGTCCACTTTGTTTCAGTAATTCTGACTTCTGTACGTATGGCCTGGGGGGAAGTTTTCCTTGTCCTGACAGATCAATGCTCCAATGCAGACTCTCAAGGCTGTATGCACTTCTTCCTGCCTCTTACCAAAGGCCTAATAGCACACTGATGCATGTGTTTGTCTTGTTTTATTTTGCATGTTCATCACAGTGTTCCCAGTACACATAACTGGGAATGGCCCACAGTAGGCATTCAAAAGATGTTGAATGAATAAATACAACAACAGTCATCATCACAGTGCTCAGATAAAATAAGGAATTGAGTGAGTAAATGAGAACAGTCATAAGATGAAATACTGCACTCAAAAATTACAGGACTGAAGACTAATCATATGGAAATTCTAGCGATGGACAATAGTGATGGTTGCACAAAAATATGAATGTACTTAATGCCACTGAACTGTACACTTAAAATGGTAAACAATATATATATTTCACCATAATAAAAAATAAATACATTTTTTGAAGTTAATGATAAAATACTTAACAAAAAGAGCTTTAAAATATACCATACAACTTCCATAGGACAATAAATTTAGTAACAGAAAAAAAGGAAAACTACAAAGATATATACCAAAATAGTCACAGTGATATTTTAGGTAGAGATATTAAACATTTTCATTTCCCTCTTTTAATGGTATTTTTCTAAATATAATGTGTTTCTACATTAAACACTTTATTTTTTAAAAAATACAATTTTTGGAAACAACTGTAATTTACCAATCGTGTGGACATAAAATGACTCTCAGTATGAGACACATTCTAATTAAATGTTTCCTTTCGAAAGTGAGGATCCAGGAATGTAGCGGGAGGTAAGTGAGCACCTGTAACAAATGGTTCTCACCTTCCGCTGTTGCCTTTCTCATCCTCCTCCTCTTCATTATCCGAAGCTAAGAAAGGAACTGCAGCCAAATCTTCCTCTTCTGCACGGATCCGTCCCAGCAGGATGAGACCATGGATTTTACAATCGATTCCTGAGCTCCTGCACTGCTTTATAGCAATTTCAATATACCTGTGATACTAGACACAAAAACCATGATCTATAGACTCTGTAGAATCAAGCATATTAGATCCTCTAACTGGAGAACGGGATGTGTGAGACACGAACATGTACACACGGTTAGAGCTCCTTTACTTCAGTTCTGGAAATATCAACTGAGTTACTCAAAGTTAATGCAGCCACATCTGAGTAATGTTTACTTCAAAAGAAGTGGTCAACTCATCAAGATGTCTACCTGAGGCATGAGACACTCACTGATTTTCTTCCTAAAATTTTTAAATAGGATAACAGCCTTACTGAATGACTGCAAACTCTTCCGTCTTAGAGCTTTCTTGAACCAAGATGCTTTAACTAAGGAAGATATTAAATGTCAGGTAGTAACAGACCTTTCATCGTTTTTAAAACATAAAACATATTTGAATATACACAAATCAGAACAAATAGTACAAAGAACTCCATGACTCCATGACCCAGCTCAACAGTTACCAACATGTGACCAATCTTGTTCAGATATGGATTATCATTAAAAAATTCTAGGCATTATGCTGTTTCAAAACTTCAGTATATATCACTGAATTAAGGAGGTCTGGTTTTTTTTTTTGTTTTTTTGTTTTTTTTGAGATGGAATCTTGCTTGTTGCCCAGGCTGGAGTGCAGTGGTGCAATCTTGGTTCATTGCAACCCCTGCCTCCCGGGTTCAAGCGATTCTCCAACCTCAGCCTCCTGAGTACCTAAGACCACAGGCACTTGCCACCACACCCGGCTAATTTTTTGTATTTTTAGTAGAGACAAGGTTTCACCATGTTGGCTAGGCTGGTCTTGAACTTCTGACCTCAGGTGATCCACCTGCCTCAGCTTCCCAAAGTACTGGGATTACAGGAGTGAGCCACCGCGCCTGGCCAGAATTATGGAGTTTTTTGAAAAACATATCCGCATTGCTATTATCATAGCACAAACAATAACTCCCATATCACCCAATATGCTACAGTGATCAAACTTTTCTGATTATGTCATGTCATTTTATTGTTGCCTCATTCAAATCAGAACACAAGCAAGACCCAACCTTCCTCTGTTCTGCCTTTGCCATGCATTTAGTGGAGTTGGTCTACTTGTCCTGCAAATGTCCCACACCCCATGTGGCCGACTGCATGCCTGCTGTGGTACTGACAACATTCCTCCATCACTGTATTTCATGTGAACGAAGAGAGATGCGTCTGGAAGCACACACTAACAATTACTTTTTATTGCCTAAACGACCTGCTCAAACCTCAAGATCTACCATTTCAGAGGAAATACAGCTTGACCACCACCATAGGGATGCAAAAGCCAAGTTGAGAATATGAAGAATGCTACAGGAAACAATTACTCAGTTTTTTTTTTCTTTAGCAAGAAAAAAAACCAAGAGTGACTTAAGTGTAGTGTAGAATGCAAACATCATCTGAATCAGAAACTGCAAAAGGACATTTACAAGATAATTAGGAAAATCTGGACACTGACTGAATATTATATGACATTAAAGAGTAATTATTGGCTGGGCACGGTGGCTCACGCCTGTAATCCCAGCACTTTGGGAGGCCGAGGCAGGTGGATCACGAAGTCAGGAGATCGAGACCATCCTCGCTAACGGTGAAACCCCGTCTCTACTAAAAATACAAAAACAAAATTAGCCAGGCATGGTGGCAGGCGCCTATAGTCCCAGCTACTCGGGAGGCTGAGGCAGGAGAATGGAGTGAACCCGGGAGATAGAGCTTGCAGTGAGCCGGGATCACACCACTGCACTCCAGCCTGGGTGACAGAGTGAGACTCCGTCTTAAAAAAAAAAAAAAAGAGTACTTGTTAGAGGTGTGATAATGGTACCAAGGTTATATTTTGTTAAGCCCTGTCAGAGATGAATATTGAAGCAAGTGCTCCTGAAATAAGACCATGACTAGGACTTGCTGAGGCAGGGAAGTAAGGTGGGAGGGAGAAAGTGAAACATGACTGGCAAAATGTTGATAAATGTTGAAGCTGGGTGACAGGTTTGTGAGGGTTCCAGCATACTTTCTATTTTTGTTTACATGTTAGAAAAAACCCGGCTGGGTGCGGTGCCTCATGCCTGTAAATGCCAGCACTTTGGGAGGCCAAGGTGGGCAGATCACCTGAGGTCAGGAGTTCGAGACCAGCCTGGCCAACATGACAAAACCCCGTCTCTATTAAAAATACAAAAATTAGCTGGGTGAGGTGGTGGGCACCTGTAATCCCAGCTACTCGGAAGGCTGCGGCAGGAGAATCACTTGAACCCAGGATGTGGTGGTTGCGGTAAGCTGAGATCTGCCACTGCACTCCAGCCTGGGCGACAGAGTGAGACTCAGTCTCAAAAAAAAGAAAAGAAAATTCCCATAACAAACTATTTGTACAGCAAAGGCCATGCTTAAGATGCAGTGGCTCCACAGGAATGGTACAGTCTAGTTCTTTGGTCAGCTGGGGGCATGCAGGTTAGGTCAGGAGTTTTCCATTTACCTGCAATGCTTCGTATTTCTCATGTACATGACATACACTAAGTATCACAGGATGAATGGTTTTGAATTGAAAATTTCTTGGATTAAAGATATCTTTTACGAATGATAATCTCCATTGTTGATTTAATTACTTAGTTTCTGGTTTGGCTAAAGTAAAAACATCCTCTGAACTATGTAACTAAGGCACTCTACAGGCTGTATTCGGTTACATTGCAATAAGTTACCAGTAAAATGCATTAAAACTCAAGATTAATTTTTTCAGATAAATTCAATATTATCTTTCATTTTTATAGTTTGCCAATTTCTTCACTTATTAGCACCACTGGTATTGGCTATAATGAATCAGTGTATTATGAAATAGTTCCATGACATTCCAGAATAAATGGTAACTACTGTGAATGTACTACGTATTTCAAAATAGCTAAAAGAGAGGATTTTAAATGTTCTCACCACAAAAAAGTGATAAATATTTGAGGTGATGGATACATTATTTAGCATGATTTGATCATTCCACAAAGTATACATGTAACAAAACATCACAGTGTTCTCCAAAAATAAATACAAATTATTACAAATTACTATTTGGTTAAAACTAAAATAAAACTTTTTTAAAAAATGAATGGTTAACTACATTTAATAATTAAAAAATAAACTCATCAGTTATAAACTTTAAATGAATACAAAAATCAACTATTTGATATTTTTATCTGCTATCATTATAATTAGTCTACACCAGACAACAGTATACATAGTACAAAAATATCTTTTTTTTTCTTTCTTTCTTTTTTTTTTTTTTGAGACAAGAGTCTGGCTCTGTCGCCCAGGCTGGAGTGCAGTGGCACGATCTCGGCTCACTGTAAGCTCCGCCTCCCGGGTTCATGCCATTCTCCCGCCTCAGCCTCCCAAGTAGCTGGGACTACAGGTGCCTGCCACTACGCCCGGCTAATTTTTTTTTTTTTTTTTTTTTTTTTAGTAGAGACGGGGTTTAACTGTGTTAGCCAGGATGGTCTCGATCTCCTGAGCTCGTGATCTGCCCGCCTCAGCCTCCCAGAGTGCTGGGATTACAGGCGTGAGCCACCGCGCCCGGCCAACAAAAGTATCTTAATTTGTCTTATTTTACATATATTTAATGTATTAAAAATCATGCTGACATCCTATGTGGAAAGGTTTACTAAAAATTTGAGAGAGAGAGATAATTGCTGATCTGTAGTATGTGGGTACTGTTTAAAAGAACCTTCACTGATTCTTTCAAACTTTTCCAGAGATAAACTTAGACTCATTTTGAAAGCTGCCTTATTAACCAAAAAATTGCCACTCCGTGACAAGTTCAGCACTTGATGCCAACAGGTGTGACGACAAAAAAGCAACTTCAGCGTCACATATATGGTCAGGAAAACCACCAGAAACTGAGATATTTAATGAAAACCGAAGTGTTCAGATGCAATCAGCAACCTAAAATGCCTGATGAAAACTTTTGCTAGGAGCAGTTACCAAGTATACCTCTGCTACCAAAGAGAGTGAGAATGAAATTTGTTTCCTTTTCAAGCTGAACTGATAAGCAGCAAATTCAGTTGTACAAAATAAGTTGTATCTTTTAAAGTGTCAAAATTTAAAACAGAAAGAACCAATTATTTAAACGGGGAAAAACTGGGCTCAATGCTAGTATAGAAATGGCCAAGTCACCTCCCTTGTCATCTGTAAATCATCCAAATGGAACACTAGCATAGCTACTTACCTCTGTGCAGTCATTCAGAAGGGGCACTGTGGTGTCAGAAGGGTTAATATTGATTGTCTTTAGTTCAATAAGGTTATTCAGGGAATTTCCACCTAGGAAAAAATGGGTAAAGAATCAAACAAAGGCGTCTTTATTATAGAAGGTACTTCTTTTTAGGTAAACTAACTGAATTACCTGACACTACAACCAGGGACGGCATGTAGCTACTGTCAGCAGGATCTACGATCATTTTTAATCTATGAACAAGAACATCTGGGAAAATCTCCAAACGAATCCAGTGCTTTAGAAAAACAAAAAAACCACATTCTCAGTTAGCAAAATTCAGCTATATTTTAGCTACTACAATAGTATCGTTGAAGCTTGAATCTACATGAGATTTTTTCAATATAAAATGTAGCATGAGAGAGAATTTTCCCTCAACCTGGCAGCAACAAGAATATTCTACGCCATTCTTTGATTGTTAGAGAAAAGTCTCACTCTAAGACTCAGAAACCATGTATCTATATACTCCTGGCCTAGGGTGGTCCTTTTACCCACCAAGTGAGTGACAGAAAACACTACAGTCGAGATGGAGAAAGGCCCTGTCCTAAAGTCTGACCTGTGTGCCCACGAGGTGCCTCCACGCGTTGGTGTAATCACAACAGCACTCCAATGTGCAACACAAATTTGCTAGACTATACTAGAAAAACTTCTAACCAGAAGCAAATCTGAATTCATACATTCTATGCAGGAGAGGAGGAAAAAAAGCCTGACCACATCCTCTATCAAGTGGTCAGTTAGATAAAATCTATTACTCGTATTGTTTAAAATCTCTGACAATAAAATTGGATGGTATATAACTCTAACTTTGAAATAACTTATAAATTAAAACATAACGTGAGTACTGACAGGTGCTATCAGCAAAACTTTGCAGGCTGCTCAAAGTTCATTTTGAAAATGTACAAGGCAAAACCATCGGTGTGAAAGTGCCCGCTGCTGTGCCCTATTAGATGCTACCTTTCCTTGCGACCCCGATGACTGCCAGCAGGGCTCGCTGCCGTCAATGAGACGGGATGCCTGGTTCACGGAGGACGACACATTCAGGCTCTTCACCATGCGGGACCAGCTGTCCAGCAGCATGCCTGGCTGGCTGCTGTGGCAACGCTTCAGCTGTTTTCCAGAACGGCCACAAAATACCGCAGACTGACCTATTTCGTGATAGTCAAAAAGAGAATTAACCCTTGCTGAACTGGGGAGAAACATCATGATCAAGAATATTACATAGTAAGGAGCTTCTTAAAGAAAAATAGAAAGTTTCAAACTGAAAGGAGTTAATAAATGCCACAAATGGTTTCCCTAGTCAAGATATAGTTACACCAATTTATGAGATGAAGTCCACATAATGCTATGATTTATTCTACTAAAACCTCCCAGGGAACAACAGCAGATTAATATATTTCCAAAGAAAACAAAATAAGCTGTGGGAAAAGTTCAATAACAGCACTCACAAAAACCATTCTTATTAAAAATGCTTTTATAAATACAAGGCAAAAAGTAAATTGTAAAGTGCTTCCACTTCCATTAATGGCAAATCTGGAATTCAACTGGCATTCCCCATCAAAGACAACTAGTAAAGCCAGACAAAACACTCAAAAATAAATAAATTCTCTTCGAACTATCAGAATTCAGGAGAAAATAAAGAATTACAAGGTCAGAACCGCAGGAAGACCCGAGGCGAATGGAGGTGTCAAGATGACGCACACCACGGATCAGAGGCTGCTGTTCCCTGATGGCATCACCAGGTTCCAAGCAAAGTCCCTGAGACGACACATAGCATTTTGACAGCCTCGTGAAGGGAAGGGAAAGGAATGGGGTCCAGAAAGACCAGGAAGGCTGAGGATGCTACAGAAATACAACCCACACTTGGAACCCCAACAGGAAATACCCCAAAAGTCAGAGTGAACTATGAAGGGTTTTTGGGTTTCCCTTTTTTTTTTTCCAACAGATTGCAACTCAGCATAAAATCATCTCAATCAATGAATGCTGATTAAGGTAAGCCCAGATAGTCACTAACCTTTACCAAGTAGCTCACAGAACAACCTTCTCTCCTCCATTCCTTGGAGAACAATAACATCTTAGCCTCAAAATGAGTCAAGAAATAACTTTTTAAATACAATGTCCAGTACATAATGACACATGAAAAGGCAAGAAAATATGACTAAAAATTACCAGAAATGATAGGACAGAAACAGACCCACAAAGGCTCCATATATTGGAGTTAGAAGACACAGACTTTAATATAATAACTATGCTTACTGTGTTCAAAAAGATAATATTTCAGCAGAGAACCAAAAACTACTGAAAATAAAACAGAAAGACTAGAACTGATAAATTGAATAATTAAAATTAAGAACTTAATGAGTAAGTTTAGAACACACTGAACTCAGCTGAAGAGAAAGTAAAAATATCTGGAATGAAGAACTGAGGAACAAAAGTTTAGAAAACATAACAAGAAGGTAAAAGATCTGCAGGACAGAGGTTAGGCCTAACACAAATGAAAGAAGAGTCCCCCCAAAAAGATAGAAAAGAGAATAGAGCAGAGGCAACATGTGAAGAAATACTGAAAGACAGAATTTTCCAAAACAGACAACAGATATCATGCCCCAGAAGCCCTACCAACCCCAAGAAAGATAAACATCTCCATGCACATGTAAAACCTGTGCAAGATGAAAACAAAAAGACTCTCTGAAAAGCAGACGAAGGAAAAATAAAATGAACCACAATTAGACTTCCATCCAACTTCAGGAGAAATAATATAAACCAAATTGCAATGGAATACTATTTTTAAAGTGGTGAAAGAAAACACCTAGCAAAAAGACTTTTCAAAAATAAAGGAGAAATAAAGACATTTTCAGACATACAAAAATAGACAATTTGTAACCCACAAAGACACATTTTTAAAAATATCAAGGGGTATCTTCAGGCAGGAGAAAAACAGTATAGATGGAAAATTAAAGAGGAAGAAAAAAGTGGAGAGAAATTACAAAGTATGCAGAAAAATCTAAATGAATATTGACTACATAAAATCATCACATGCCCCACATGTATTGTTTGATCCTTTGACCTTTTTTTTTTTTTTTGAGACAGAATCTCCCTCTGCCACCCAGGCTGGAGTGCAGTGGCACGATCTCGGCTCACTGCAAGCTCCACATCCTGGGTTCACGCCATTCTCCCGCTTCAGCCTCCCGAGTAGCTGGGACTACAGGCGCCCGCCACCACGCCCGGCTAATTTTTTGTATTTTTAGTACAGACGGGGTTTCACCGTGTTAGCCAGGATGGTCTCGATCTCCTGACCTCGTGATCCACCCGCCTCGCCTCCAAAAGTGCTGGGATTACAGGTGTGGATCACAAGGTCAGGAGATCGAGACCATCCTGGCTAACACGGTGAAACCCCATCTCTACTAAAAATACAAAAAATTAGCCGGGCGTGGTGGCGGGCGCCTGTAGTCGCAGCTACTCGGGAGGCTGAAGCGGGAGAATGGCATGAACCCGGGAAGCGGAGCTTGCAGTGAGCCAAGATCACGCGCCACTGCACTCCAGCCTGGGCGACAGAGCGAGACTCCGTCTCAAAAAAAACAAAACAAAACAAAACAAAAAAACAGGCATGAGCCACTGTGCCTGGCCGATCCTTTGACATTTTTTGGAACTTTTGTTTGAGCATATGACCCACTTAGCATATGACTGGATTTTATGAACATTTTCTGTGTGCATAAAAGAATGTCTTCTATAGTTCTGTTAGATATGTATTTATATAAAATGTATAAAATTTTGGCTGGATGCAGTGGCTCATGCATGTAACCCCAGCACTTTGGGAGACTGAGGTGGGTGGATCACCTGAGGTCAGGAGTTCAAGAGCAGCCTGGCCAACATGGTGAAATCTCACCTCTACTAAAAATACAAAAATTAGCCAGGCATGGTGGTGGGAGCCTGTAATCCCAGCTACTCGGGAGGCTGATGCAGGAGAATTGCTTGAGCCCGGGAGGTGTCAGTTACAGTGAGCCAGGATCGCGCCACTGCACTCCAGCCTGGGCAACAGAGTGAGACTCCGTCTCAAAAAAAAAAAAAATTAAAATATGTTAAGAACATATAAATCAGAATGAAGATAAATGATCTTAAAGAGAACTAAGGTTTTTGCATTGTTTAGGTGGAGAATATACTAATAATAGATTTAAATGAGTCAAAAATAGATGTTATAATTAATATCTTCAGTAACTACTAAAACTAAAAATGTATATAACATATGCACTCCTTATACACAGAGTGAGACTCTGTCTCAAAAAAATAATAATTAAAAAACAAATAGAAAAGTTAGCTGAGCGTGGTGGCTCAGGCCTGTAATCCCAGCTACTCAGGAGGCTGAGACAGGAGAATTGCTTGAACCTAGGA
The DNA here is from genome assembly GCF_000001405.40 of Homo sapiens. Taxonomy (NCBI): domain Eukaryota; kingdom Metazoa; phylum Chordata; class Mammalia; order Primates; family Hominidae; genus Homo; species Homo sapiens. Next base: position 328,831 of record NW_011332701.1, read on the forward strand.
GGCGGAGGTTGCACTGAGCCAAGATCGTGCCACTGCAGTCCAGCCTGGGCGACAGACTGAGACTCTGTCTCACAAAGAAAAAAAGTGATATATGCATACAGTGGAATATTATTTAGCCATTAAAAAGGATGACGTTCTGACACATGCTACAATACGGATGAAGCTTAAATACATTACGCTAAACACAAAAGGATAAATCTTATATGGTTTCACCTAGATGAGATGTCTGGAGTGGTCATATTCATAGAGACCAAAGTTAGATTCAAGGTTACCAGGGTTGGGGTAAGGGGAAGTAGGGCAGTTAAATTGCTTAATGGGTACAGAGTTTCTGATCGGAGTGGTGAAAAGTTTTGGTAAGAGACAGTTGTGATGGTTGTGCAACACTGTACTTAAGGTACTTAATACCCTGAATTATAAACTTAGAAAATGATTAAGTGGCTAATTTTAAGTTATATATATTTTGCCACAATGACAAATACAATAAAAGGTATATAAATTAAAAAACTCACTCTCCATCTAACCAATTCCACATGCCATGCAACTAAACACTTACTAGTTTCTTGAGATTCTTTTAATGTTTCTTTATGGAAAAACAAGCAAACAAGCCTAGTTATTCTAATTCTTCCCCGACACCCCATCCTGATTTTTTTAAAAAGCCAGCCAGTCATCAGCGGGTAGGACCGTCACTTCCGTCTCACTGTACTCACTCTACAGAATTACTGTATACATAGGAACCTTAAAATAACAAATTCCAATACACTGTGGTCCACAATAAGTATTTCATTAATATTTGGTGGAAGAGAGAATATAAACATTCTGCCATACCTGGTTCATTTATTCTGCCAAATGTATGCCTGGTATTGTGTTTTTTGGTCTTGAAACACGTTTCACAAAAATCAAAGTCATCACAGTTTCTGCATTTGAATCTGGATCCATTGATAGGAAACATCTGACATCCATCACACCTATTTGTAAAATAGCAACTGAGTTAAGAAAGGTCATTTATTAAACTTAATTCAACAGAAAACCATTCGTCCCAAAGCAAATCTAGCAACCATAAAAATAACTCACGTAACCCCAGGATGAATACTGGGTACCAACTCCATTTCTGATAGCAACCCAGTCCAGTGAGACTGCTGGGGAAAGTCGACAATGATATCTTTTCCATTGGCACTGAAAGCTAGGACAGAACAGAAATCACCTGATCCATCTTCCTCTTCACCAATAAAAACCTGAACTTAAAACTGCACCTAGCCATGTCATACTACATTGTAGTTATTTTTTTTTTACAAAGAGTCTACCTTTTAGAGATAGGTACTAAAATGCTTATGGATGAACTAATACATGATGTCAGCGCCTGGTTTCAAAATAATCACAAGAAGGGAGCATGAATAATTTTGGCCTGAGGCGACAATCGTTAAAGCCAGGTAATGAGCACATGGAGGTTCATTGTAAACTACATTCCTTACTTTTGCATTAGGTTTAAAATAGGACATTTTGGTTTTTAATTACACCAAGTCAACAATTCCATACAATACCTTCGGTATCTCAGGGAATAAAAACCACATTAATAACATGAAGACTTCTTTCGTCCTTTGATAAGAGCAACGTGTCACTCAAAACAAAGAAACCAAATTCTTATTTTTAAAATTTGTCTTGTTTTGATTTGCAAATATTTTAACAATCTCTTAAGCAAAGAAAAATGTTTAAAGTAAAATATTAAATAATCCATTTGTTTTTATGTAACATGAGAAGCTCTAGGAACCTCTCACCACTGGGGAACCACCAACTGTGGCCATTTTCTAAGCGATCTGATGAAAAGAGAGCCTTCCACAAGGTTCAAACAAACAAATAATCTCTTTATGGCATCAAGAGTTTATAAAACTATACACATACTTATTTCTCATGCAACTGTTAAAACGGACATAGTATACCTTTCAAAGTGTGCCACGGATTTGATTTGGAATCTCAATAGTATCATATTAAATATAATCTGAGAATTGTTCCCAGTTCCTAATTCCCATCATTAGCACATTTCCATTTCTTAAATTCAGTCCTAAATTTTTATACAGCATGAAAAAGAGCCAGGCATGGTGGCTCACGCCTGTAATCCCAACACTTTGGGAGGCTGAGGCAGGCGGATCAATAGGTAAGGAGTTCGAGACCAGCCTGGCCAACATGGTGAAACCCCATCTCTACTAAAAATACAAAAATTATCCAGGCATGGTGGTGGGCACCTGTAATCCCAGCTACTCTGGAGGCTGAGACTGGAGAATTCCTTAAACCTGGGGGCGGAGGTTGCAGTGAGTCAAGATGGCGCCACTGCACTCCAGCCTGGTCAGGGGAGGAGAAAGAAAAAGCAGTCCTGACAGTCAGGAGCTGGCCTGTTAATGTCAATGTTAGAACATTTCACAGAATAACTGACAGGACAAGTTTACAGAACACGAACATCAGGTAAGGCCACTCTGTGACTGATGAATCAAGGCACAACCAAAACCCCTACTTAACCATGTGTGATTAAAGTTGAGTCTAATCCAAACCACAAACAACCACACAGTCCCCTATCCTGGTGATATGAATGACTACTTCCTTACCAATCATGACGTTAGCATGGCTCCATTCTTTCTGCCTGCTAGGTAAATTTATTAAGACATCCTGTTTTAGGATTACCCCTGCTTTCTCGACCCCTCCCCCAAATACCCAACATAAACTTCATTAGTCCTCGCTCACTCCCTCTGATGGAGACACCCATTCCCCAAGGTGTGTGTTCTCCTGTACTGCAATGAGTTAATATTAATAAATCTAATTGTTTCACTGCAGGTGAGTTCCTCTGTGGCCTTTGGCAGAAGGCACTGACAAGCAAAGGAACACTCTATCTTTCTTCAACACTTGTTTTCTGTTTTGTGTGCTTGAACAAAAAGAAATACTAAGTACACATGCGTTAATGAAAAGTTAACATCAGGAATTTTATTACCCAGATAATATTACCTTTCACAACCCCCACACTCTGATGAGTCACAGATCCCCATTTGTATTTTGGTGTGGTGACAGAGGCTTTGACCCGCACTTTATCACCAATCTTGATGTGAGAAGAAGAACTTGGTGGAGGATAGCCTACAGATGTCAATAACAAATCATTATAATCAATATTCATTTAAGGGAATTTTGTCTCTAAGAAAAAACAAAAGCACTGAACAAAGAATGTGCTCACCTATAAGTTCCACATGAATGTACCTAACCCAGTAGGTGCCCCCTTTCTGCTGCCAGTCACACTGCACATTGAGATCATGCAATCCATCTCTGTCCAGCTTGATGACTTTGCCAACATCACCTTCGCACACTTCTTCATACGCTCGGCAGCATCTAACCATCATTCCCACCTAGAATTAAAATGAAATTGGAGATCCAGTCCATCATGTACACAGGTGAAATGAGCCATGATAAGTAGTATTACTCTACTCTTAATAAAGAATTCTGACTGGGCATGGTGGCTCACGTCTGTAATCCTAGCACTTTGGGAGGCTGAGGTGGGAGGATCACTTGAGCTCAGGTGTTTGAGACAAACCTGGGCAACATGGCGAAACCCACCTCTACCAAAAATACAAAAATTAGCCAGACGTGGCGGTGCATGCCTGTGGTCCCAGCTACTCGGGAGACTGAGTTGAGAGGATTGCTTGAGCCTGGAAGGTGGAGGTTACAATGAGCCAAGATCACACAACTGCACTCCAGCCTGAGTGACAAAGTGAGACCCCATCTCAAAAAAAAAAAAGAATTTCATCTAGCACCCAGAGTGCATTCTAAGTATTATTTAATGATAAAGGGAAGAGAAACTCTTTAGAACACTGTCTGGCTTTGTGTCTCAGGCAGGAAATATACAGGAAGAGCCTGGATCAACTTGTGTCATAAAGGAAGGGAGCTTTCAAAGATTACTGGGTTCACTCAAAAGGATTCCCTGATCATCAAAAACATAACAGTGGAAACATCACACCCTAAAAGCCAATGGATTGGTCATCATGATAATAAGGAAAACAAAGCTTCCTGGTCATCTTTATACATATCAGAACACCAATGCATCATTCTGAAAACTGATAAAGTCTCCCTGTATTATCAAGAGCAACCAAGATTAATAACAAAGCTTTTTTTCCCAGAAGAGAATTCCAGCTAATGAACTCAGAGAAGATGAAGTTAGAAAATCACTATGGTGCAGCCCCTAATGATAGGTCTAGATGATGACGCTAATGCCTACTGGAGCTATGAGATGGATAATTAATACAGAATGTCATCAAGGAAGGAGCAGGCTGACAAGACCTAACCCACCCAACCCTGCTTGCCTGTTGAGATGGGGCCGGAGGGAGTACATGCCTATGAAGCTTCCTGCCTGAGATTCAGCCTGGTCCAATCACCCTCCAACCCTAACTCCTATTGTATTGGAGAAACAGGGAGAGAGGAAGATGTTAGCCACAAGGAAGCCACCTCCAAATGCAGACTGTAAGACATTTGGAGGACATGGTTTCAGCTACAAATAAACAGCATGAAAGGAGAGGACGGGGGAAGGAGTATTATCATGAATGTTTGTGTCCCCCCCACCAAAATTCATGAAGTCCCAACTCCTAATGTGGCAGTATTAGGAGATGGGGCCTCTAAGGAAGTCATTAAGGTAAAATCAGGTCATAAGAGTGGGCCTCTGACACAACAGGACTAGGGTCTTTATAAGAAGAGACTCCAGGATGGGCATGGTGGCTCACGCCTATAATCCCAGCACTTTGGGAGGCCAAGGCAGGCGGATCACCTGAGGTCAGGAGCTCGAGACCAGCCTGACAAAAATGAAGAAACACTGTCTCTACTAAAAATATAAAATTAACCAGGCATGTGGTGCATGTCTGTAATCCCAGCTACTCGGGAGGCTGAGGCAGGAGAATGGCATGAACCCGGGAGGCGGAGCTTGTAGTGAGCTGAGATCACGCCACTGCACTCCAGCCTGGGTGACAGAGCGAGACTCTGCCTCAAAAAACAAACAAAAAAAAAAGGTAGCCACCTACAAGCCAGGAAGAGGGCCATCACCAGAAACCAGCCAAGCTGGTACCTTGATCTTGGATTTCCAGCCTCCAGAACCATGAGAAATAAATGTCTGTTGTTGAAGCTGCCAGTCTATGGTACTGTGTTATAGCCAACTGAGCTAAGACAAGGGGGAACCACTCTAGCTTGGAATAGACGTCAAAGATCCATCAACCAAATGTAGATAAGGCATACAATCTTGGTTGTATCCAAGTTCAAAAACTAACCATTAAAGCCATTTCTGAGAAAACTGGAAAACTACAAGCAAGCGTTAGATATGAGATGATATTAAGGAATTATTATTTATTTTGTTAGGTAATGCTGGTAAACAGAAATGTCATTATGTTAAGATTCTTTATTAGTGATACTCACTGACATATATACAGGTGAAATGAGATGATTTGGGGGATTTTCTCTAAAATATACTAAAACAAGAGAATTAGGACAAGAAATGATTTAAAGTAGATAAAGGACTATATAAAACATAATTAGATTTTTAAAGTTTGATGGCAATGAGAATTACATAAGAAAAACAAGGAAAGGTATGTAGGAAGTGTCACAAGTGGGGCTAGTAGAAAACAGCCATCCCTGCGCCATGTCCACCGTGGACAGGCCACTTGTGCTCTCCGGCTGCCCCTGAGCCCATCTGCCCCTCTGTCCTCTGGCTACACCGGGGCAGCCACAGCAGCCTCTGTCTGGGTGCCCATCCTGCTCAGCCACCCTTCACACCCTGTAGGCTTTGCACCCATGTCACCTTCTCATTGCAGCCCCACATCCCTGTAATGTGCCCTCACTCCTACCCCTTTACTGTAGTCTGTTCTTTCTCATTCCAGGGTACACAGCACCTTCTAGCGTACCATGAGCTCACTGGTCAGGTATGTCTTCCAGCACCAGAAGGCAGGCTCCCTGAGGGCAGGGGCCTCTGTCCACTGATGTTTGGCATATAGGACATACTCAAATATTTGCTGAATGAAAAACGGATCGAGGCTCCAGCTTAAGACAATTACTCACCTGAATATTCTCTCTCACATATACAGCATAATCATCATTACTCAAGAAATCAGCTCGTTTTTTGTACGTCTGGCTCTCCGTCACAACAGCACCAGTAGACTGCAAGAAATAAATACATTCAAACAAAAAAACAGGAGAACATGATAAACCTACTCAAAAAGAAATAAGTCTGTGAAATCTATAATATTAAAAAGTAGAGGATGAAATCCTTTATTTTCTCTATAAAAATCTTCATTTAAAAAAGACTAATAGCAGTAGCATAGTAGGCAGAATGAATCTCAAAAGCTACAAGTATACAAAATTTCCAAGGCACTTCCAAATTAATCCTACGAATAATTTACTCAGGTCAGAAACTGATGTGTCAAAACATGGTATTTTAATAAAATATCTTCTAATGGCTACCGAAGATCATGAGATGTTTGAACAAGGGTCTGTTCTGAAGCTAAAAGTAATTATGATATAGAAACCCAATCATCCCTTCAGTAGTGAAACACAGCTTTGTTCTGTGCCCGGCAATACCATAGGTTGGTTTTATGGAACAGTCCACAGTAGATATAGTTAATTCTTTCAAGGGACAGAGAAAGCCAAGGTGTAAGACTGTTAGAGCGCTAGACGGACAGCGGCCCAGGTGCGGGCGGTCACATGGGAGGCACTGACCATGGAGTAGGCGGCATCATCCACGTCCTCCACCACCTCCTCGTCAGAATACTCGTCGGACACCGTGTCTGCATCTGAGAGCTCCGTGACCTGTATGTCGGAGTGGTCCAGCAGCCACCCGACCAAGGCTTCCACACCTAAGAGAGGCACACACAGCACAGCAGCCACTGTGAGTCAACAGCCCTGAAGCGGGAACCCACACATACACAAGCAGAGGCCAGGAAAACGAAGTACCAGGCAAGCTGGATGCATTCCCGGAAGCACCAGTGAGAGACTTCAGGGCAAACTCGATGTTCCTTCTGGAAAATCCCATCTCCATGAGCTGCACCACGATCGGCAGAGCGGGAACGGGCGACTGCTTGCGCCTCTTCACTCTGGCAGGGCGGATGTGCTGCACGGCGACAGGCGTGGTGGCCTCACTGGAGCTGCAGTCTTCAAATCCTGGGCTCGAAGGGTGAGTGGACTCCACAGCCAAGCACTGGCAAACGGCCAGTGCAGCAGCCTGGGCAGACAAGAGGGTCCTGGGAGATTTGGGAAGTGCCCTCAGCTAGCTTACACAGTCTAGGAACACAGGGGTGATGGCCTTCTACTGTGAACTGCAGTATGCAAGTCTAGAAAGCCCGCATTCACATGTGTGTTTTTCAATGAGTTCCTAAAACATGTTAGAAAATGACAAAGCCAAGTTTCACGGTTTAATGCAGAGAAAATACGTGGGGGTAAAATAACTTGCCTGTTTCAGCAGACAGAGAGCCTACTAAATTAGCCAAGTATCAATGTCCATTAAGGAAAACTTCATTACAGCCCCAAGCGAACAGTCACAGGGGCTTGAAGGAGCAGGGAGAAAGGCATTCCCCCTGCCTTAACCAGGCACTGTGGTGGCGGCCACAGGCACCTGTGTTTTAGACAGGCCAGAAATGACACAGGACTCTCATGTACCATTAAAACAACCCTCAACTATTCAAGGGTTAAATAACCACAGTGAGGTTAAACAAGGTATTAAAAAGTAAGAGAAATAAAAGAGTATTAGTTGGGAAACACACTGCAATGAATCAGTGAACATCTAAACTGCCAGTCTCTGCAGCTGGGAACTCCCCACCTACAGCACAAATAGCACTTCCCTGATCTGTCTGTAACTCCCTGGTCCTCCTCCCCAGCTGCTCTCATAGCACTGACTTGCTATTTTGTTAAACGGAGCATGTGAGGAAGGAATCAGGAAGAAACCGAGGACACTGTGGAGCCCCCCGGTGCTCAGGAAGTATCAAAGCCTAGGGTTTTGCAGCGAAGTCTGGGTAACTTGGAAGTGACAGGTTTCATCCTAAAAGTTTAAAATTCAGAGCCAGATTGAGCCAAGAGTTCTGGTTCTGATAATGGGGAGTTAGGGTGCATTGGACTAACCCTTGGCTGATAATAATCATGAACTCTGGATAAAATATTTTTTAAAACTGCTTGAGGGCACTGGAGAACAGCTGACGCAATCAGCAATAAAACAAGCACAACCCCTGACACCGAGAAGCCTGCAGGTAAGACGCGCATTTAACCACAGACGGCGCACCTTCCTGCACTGCAGGGGCTGGGGTCCCGGCCTGCCAGAGCAACCAGAATGTGAGGGAAAGCCCGCCTGAGAAAGAAACCACAGAGGGAAAACCACGAAATATGCGGACGGACTACCCGCAAATCTACAGCTGAATCTAAACTGAAGCACCACTGAAGAGCCTGCGCTCGGCACAAAGGGACCGCTGGAAGGCTGCAGGGGCTCCCCAGCTGCCCAGGGCCAGGACAGCATCTGAGGCTCAAGCTCAACCAACTAGAGGTGGGGAGGAGAATGTCAAGGCTTCCAGTGACGCCCAGAAGAGATTCTAAATCCTTGAGAATTAAGGATCCACAACCAGGGCTAAGGGCAAATACAAAATCATTAGAAAGCCTGGCACCAAGCCACCTCAGGATCAAGGAGGACTGCCAGGTACTGAACTGCCTGTGAGAAGAAAACTCCCCTTTCTCCAGAGGCGGCAGAACCCAGAGCCAATACAATGTAACGTCCAAAGAATCCAGAATGAAATAAGAATTCTCACATATGTGAAGGACAACAACCAATAACTGACTATAATCAAGGAATAAAAACTGCAAAGAGCAGCAGACCAACAGGTGGGCAGATGTTAGAATTAGCAAACAAGAAATTCAACATAACTATCAGAAATATGTTTTAAAATGTACAGCAAAAGATAGATTTGGCCAGGCACGGTGGCTCACACCTGTAATCCCAGCACTTTGGGAGCCCGAGGAGGGCGGATCATGAGGTCAGGAGTTCGAGACCAGCCTGGCCAACATGGTAAAACCCCATCTCTACTAAATATACAAAAATTAGCCAGGCGTGGTGGCAGGCACCTGTAGTCCTAGCTACTCGGGAGGCTGAGGCAGGAGAATCACTTGAACCCAAGAGTCAGAGGTTGCAGTGAGCTGAGATCACGCCACTGCACTCCAGCCTGGAGACAGAGCGAGACTCCGTCAAAAAAAAAAAAAAAAAAGATAGACTTAAAGGATGAAGAAAGGAACTGTCAGAAGAGATATAAAACTATTAAATGAGAGCCAAATGGAAATAAGAGATGTGAGAAATATAAAATAAAGTATGTCTTGGATGGATATAACAACAGATTAGGCCCAACAAAGCAAAGCATCTTGACCTTTCAAACAGATCAAGACAAACTAACCAAGCTACTAACAAGGAGAAGACTTTCTATTAAAATCGTAAAAGGAAACTCACTAACAGTGTAACAGATGTATAATAGTATTTCCAGAAAAGAACAAAAAGAGCAAGGCAGGGGGAAAAAACAATAGTCAAAAGTTTCCAAATTTGGTAGGGGAACAAAAATCAAGCCAAAGATGCAAGCAGCTTCAGCAAATTTCAAGGAGGACGGTGGGGTGGGCGGGGTGTGCCACCATTGTATACATGAGCCCAGCTTAGGGAAACTGCAGAAAACCAAAGATAATAGAAAATACGAAAAGCAACCACAGAAAAAAGACATTTCATGAAAAAGAAGAGAACAACAACTCTCCATCAGAATCCATGGAGACAAAACAGCGGAAGGTCTCTTTTTGTACAACAGTCCTTCTCAGTTCCTGAAGGACAACTCTACACGGCCTTCCAGTTGTTCACACTCGGCATCTCCCAGCATGACTGCAGGGAGCACGTGCACCGCCCCACGTGCTCTCAAGTTGCTCAGCGTCTTCTTTTGATCTCTGCCAGGGAGACTGGAAACACAACCAGGCCCTTTAAAATGAACCTTCACCTTGGAGGTTCCCAGACCTGAGAAGAAGCTGGAGTTCAGAAGAGCTCATGGCCAACCTCCTCCCTTCCTGCCCACACCCGTTTCTTGCTTTCTCCCTTTGCACCCCCACCATCTTTCCAGCTCGTTCTAGGACTGGGGGAGGCCTCCCACCTGTCCAAGGCAGTGGCTGCCTCATCTGGACCCTTGCTCCCAGAAGGGCCCTGCTATCTGAGGGTTTCTGTTAGGGTAATTTCTGATTGCCAAACTGAGTACTGATAGTTTTATTTTTGTCTCTGATATTTTGTCCAGATTTTTAATGTATTACACAGCAAGAAAGATTTTGGAATGAACATCTCTAATCCTCTATGTTGCCAGCCATGAAAGCTCCCATCCCTCTTACACTCAATCACGTCGCCTCCTCTATGCGAACGTCCCGTAGCCCTGACCCTGTGCCTCGCTGCTGCCCTCACCTGCTCCACAGCATGGAGAGAGCGGAGAGGCTGGCGGCACCAGAGCACCCCCAAGAGGCTCCTGAGTGAATGAAACAAACGGCTGCCAGAGTCCTGACGAGCCTCTTTGAATAATTCTACTTCCTGGAAAAAGATCCCTTCATGAAGATGTGAGCATTTAACCCATGCTGCATCTAGTTAATATTTTTTCACAATTTACACAAACCCAAAATAAGGTTAAACTTCAACCCTCTCAGTCTTTAGTATTATAATGTTCTGCAGACTATGCACAAACATGGTTAAACCCCAATGAATCATTAGAATTATTTGCGTACTATCATTTAACATTCAGAATAGATCCTTAAGAAAATATACATCTAGAAAAAAAGTGTTCAAAATTTAGTGCTGTGGATTAAAAACTGTCAAGGCTGCATGGCTGTACCTCAAGTTCCTGTTTATCAAATATGGCCTTCACAGGAGACGGCTGGGTGGCCGAGGCCAGCAGCTGCTGCAAGAGGATCATGGGGGGCTGCGGCCCTTCAGGAGACATGTCCCCAAGGTCAGGTGATACCACTGCTCCATCATCTGAATTTAAAAACAAAATATGTGTAAGATTCTATTTTCAACTGCGAACACCACTTTACTATTAAAGAAAATGCATTAAGCATGTTAAATCAGGTATGACTTCTGCCTCATTATGTGATAGAAAACCAAAATCTTCAAGGTTCAGACATCGAACAAAAACTAGACTCTAGGTTGGGTGCGGTGGCTCACGCGTGTAATCCCTGCACTTCGGGAGGCCAAGGCGGGTGGATCACAAGGTCAGGATATCAAGACCATCCTGGGTAACACGGTGAAACCCCATCTCTACTAAAAATACAAAACATTAGCTGGGCATGGTGGCGGGCGCCTGTAGTCCCAGCTACTTGGGAGGCTGACACAGGAGAATGGCATGAACCTGGGAGGCGGAGCTTGCAGTGAGCTGAGATTGTGCCACTGCACTCCAGCCTGGGCGACAGACCAAGACTCGGTCTCAAAAAAAAAAAAAAAAAAAAAATTAGCTGGGCATGGTGGTGCGTGCCTGTAATCCCAGCTACTCGCAAGGCTGAGGCAGGAGAATTGCTTGAACCAGGGAGTTGGAGGTTGCAGCGAGCCAATATCACACCACCATACTCCAGCCTGGTGACAGAGCGAGACTCCATCTCAAAACAAAAAAAAAAAAACTAGACTCTAAACCACTTTCACTGCCTGCTTTTGGTCTCTGTCCTTCATTAGTGCATCTGTCTCTTAGAGCCAGCAAATGCTCCTTCCCAGATTTCTGCACTTGGTCTGATTCTTTCTCTTTTCTTGAGATGGAGTCTCACTCTGTTGCCCAGGCTGGAGTGCAGTGGCACAATCTTGGCAAACTGCAACCTCTGCCTCCTGGCTCAAGCGATTCTCCTGCATCAGCCTTCCCTGTAGCTGGGACTACAGGCACACGCCACCACGCCCGGCTAATTTTTGTATTTTTAGTATAGATGGGGGTTTCACCATGTTGGCCAGGCTGGTCTCGAACTCCTGACCTCAGGTGATCCACCCGCCTCGGCATCCCAAAGTGTTGGGATTACAGGCATAAGCCACCATGCCTGACCTACACACTCTCTTTCGTGTTCACTCACGGCTTCAGTAACCCCTGACACAGACACATCCCACGTGCATATTTCTAGCTGTAGCTTTTCCAGCTAAGCTTTGTTGAGATCATTAAGTGACCCCAATTCCAAATGTGTCATGTGCTCAGGGTGATGGCTTTTTGTCTGTTATGAGTAGCTTTAGGTGCAGCCTTTAGGACTCTGTTTGACACAGCCCCAGGGAGATCCACTGCCCTCAAGCCCACTTCACACATCTAGGTACTCATCCAGGTACTCACAGCATTTGCATGTGCTGGTTTTCTTCAGTGACAATTTCAACTAACTAGACCAGGAGCTGGAAATCTTTCTCTTAAAGGGCCAGAGAGTAAATAGTTTAGGCTGATGGGCTGTACAGTCTCTGTCCCAACTACTCAGCTCTGCCATTGCAGAGCAAAAGCATCCAGAGACGATGTGTAAACAAGTGGTGTGTCTGTGTTCCCATAAAAATTTACAAAAACAGGTGCACGGCAGTTTTGTCAATCTAGCTCTGTTAGGAGTCCCTGCTCGGCCCAAAGCACAGACTTGATCATCCTGATTCAGGTCTGCTGTCACTGCTCATTGGGCTGAGTGCAGAACAGAACAGCCAATCCAATTCCCAGGCTCCAATCTTCCAATCTCTACAACTGGGAAATCTTCATGTTCCCTATAACCTCTACTATTAATTGATTCTATACTTTCAATTGATTTCTTTCATCCTCAGCAGGTTTAAAATTAATTTCATAACATCCTCTCCTCTTAAGATTAAGAAACAAACCCACATACTCCACATTCTACTGGACTTGCATATTTTTTTCAAACGCACCACTCACTATTCTCCCCTCAATTCAAGCTTGAAACAGCAGAGTCACCTTCCACTTTTTGCTGGTTCCCCATAAAGTTATCATCTACAAGACTACACCATCACAGTGGATGGCACCTTCCTTCCACCAGAACCTTCTTTCCCTTTTCATGCCTTCCCCCTCATCACCTGACGCAGGAGCAATTCTCCATCTCTGTCATCTCCTGTTTCAGATACTCCTATACCTTCCTAGCAGGTGTATCACCCGAAGGTCAATGCTTACCATGTGGCCCCTACCACAGCTTTCCAAGTGGGCCTCAAGTTTCACCCTGGTCTCCCAGGTACTCTGTAACAGGATGTCACCCACCCATCCAGCTTCAGCCCCACCACTCATCGACAAACCCTGAGCTCCAAGCAATGCAGAGCTGCTCAACACGCTTCCAAAGACTCGCCACTTTCACTCCTCTCCTCCTGGTCCACCACCAGCAAAGTGCTTGTCTGCTGGCATCTGTCTGCCACAGCCTTCAAAGGCTGCCCGTCCAGTGCTCAGCTGCCACTGGCTCCAGATGCCTGTGGAACCACTCACATGCCTCACCGCCTCCTGACCCCAGAGGACAAAGAGAGCCATCTGCATTCACTTCCTCTCCTCATCCAAACCCTAGAGAGCAATGATCACAGAAAAGGACTTTCCCCGAAAAGACTTAGCATAATGTCTTTCAATAGCAGGAGATCAAAAAATGTTTTTTTCTATTAAAAGTGACACAAGCTCATTCTAGAAAACTAAATATAGAGAAATATAAAGAAATAAAGACAGCCAAATTCCACCAAAGATTACTGGGTCACTATTTCACTAAACAGATAACTATGGCATATCTATAAACGGATATACATAGCAATGTGCTTTTCTGTTTACTTATCATTTTCATATTTCCACGGCAATAAACATATACAGCTAGCCCTCCATATCCATGGGTTCTGCATCCAAAGATTCAACAAACCACACATCAAAAATATTCAGAATAAAACAATTTTTTAAAATATAATTTTAAAAAGAATAGCAATAACAACTATTTACATATCATTTATTTTATTTTTATTTATTTATTTTTTTTGAGACAGAGTCTCGCTCTGTCACCCAGGCTGGAGTGCAGTGACACGATCTCGCCTCACTGCAAGCTCTGCCTCCCGAGTTCACACCATTCTCCTGCCTCAGCCTCCCAAGTAGCTGGGACTACAGGCACCTGCCACCACGCCCAGCTAATTTTTTGTATTTTTAGTAGAGATGGAGTTTCACCGTGTTAGCCAGGATGGTCTCGATCTCCTGACCTCGTGATCTGCCCGCCTTAGCCTCCCAAAGTGCTGGGATTACAGGCATGAGCCACCGCGCCAGGCCTATATATCATTTATATTTTTAAAGTATTTGGGAGGATGTACATAGGTTATATGCAAATACTACACCATTTTATAGAAGGGCCTTAAGCATTAGTGAATTCTGGTATAACTGGGGGTCTTGGAACTCATCCCCATGGATATTCAGGGAAGACTATATAAGTACCATCATTTTGAATGGCACCATGGTATCACACTGTATGGATACACAACATAAGAATAGGTATTTTGGTGTCTACAGTTTTTCAACACAAAAACAATACCAAAAAGGAGGCCATAACGACACTGTTGAATACATTATCTTTTTTTTTTTTTTTTTTTTTTTTTTTGAGACAAAGTCTCACTCTGTCGCCCAGGCTGGAGTGCAGTGGCACAATCTGCACCCTGCAATCCGCACACACTGCAACCTCCGCCCCCCGGTTCAAGTGATTCTCCTGCCTCAGCCTTCCAAGTAGCTGGGATTACAGGCGGCCACCACTATGCCCCACTATTTTTTTTTATTTATTTATTTTTTGAGACAGAGTCTTGCTCTGTCGTCCAGGCTGGAGTGCAGTGGCGCCATCTCGGCTCACTGTAAGCTCCGCCTCCCGGATTCATGCCATTCTCCTGCGTCAGCCTCCCAAGTAGCTAGAACTACAGGCGTCCGCCACCGTGCCCAGCTAATGTTTTGTATTTTTAGTAGAAATGGGGTTTCACCATGTTAGCCAGGATGGTCTCTAGCTCCTGACCTCGTGATCCGCCGCCCGCCTCGGCCTCCCAAAGTGCAGGGATTACAGGCATGAGCCATTGTGCCCGGCTGGTGAATACATTATCTTTACATGCCTTTTCGTGTGATAAAGTCCCACGGAATGACTTGCTGGGCCAAAGTATATAAATACATACATACATCTATGCATGTCAAAGACCAACTCATTTCCTCAGACGCCCATTAGATGGCTACACCAACTGAAATTCCCAGCAGCAGCCTGTTCATGGAGTGCGGCTTTACGCGCATTTGAAGAACCAGCTTAGGTTCTACTTGTTACAATACAGGCTCTATTTCTTTGGTCTGGGGTGCGGCCTGGGAGTCTGCATTTCTAACACATACCTGCGTGCCACCAATCTTGCTGACCCATGCAGCACACTTTAAATGGGAAGGCATGAAAATACCTTTTTCCCTCCCCACCCACCAGATGCCCTCAGTCTTGTCTTATAAGATGACGATGACAATTTTATTCACAGTTGGTGGTTGCTGGGCAGGCCACATGTCTGTCTTGTACATTTATAAGCCACCTATGTCCATTTTTATGAACTGATTATTCACTTCCTTTGTCTACTTTCTACTGCCCTTCTTATAAAGATTTAAGAACTTTTTAAAAAGACACCTGTGTGAACAGTTCCAGTCTCCTGAACAGCTGGCTGAGACAGGATCTGCCGCAGTTTATCCTGGTGGGAGAGCAGCGCCCGACCTGCTTTCAGGATGTATAGCTTCAACTGCTGGCACCGCAGCAGGTCCAGGTCCACTTGTCCTGCGGAAGGAAAGACTCAGTGAGAAGGGCGTGCCCTGCTCAGACTCCCTCCTCGCCAGCAGCAAGCCTCCGCCACATGGCGACGAGTAACGCTCTGCCCTTCAGGAATCTGCCGACCGCACACACTGTCCGTGACGAAGGGCTTGCCTTTCCCAGAGTTACACTCGGTGCTTCTGGGTAAGCATCTTCTGCCTCCTGGGTCTTCCTTCCCTGCTCTCCAGGCACCTAACTTGATAGGACGCAGGATTCAATGGGTTTAACACGGTTAGAACCATGTTAGCTACTATTAATATGATCAAATGTTCCCCAAGTTGCTGAAGTTTCAGCCGCTTTCACTCTTCTTCTAAGACTCCTCTGAGAGAATCTGTCAGCCCCACTAGCTCTTTAACTGATGAAGATGGCAGCAATGCCCAAGGCTTATCTGATAGCAGAGGCCGCAGAAGCAGCACAGAGAGCATGGGGTGGGAAGGAAGGAGGGCCGCAGGTGCCGCTCGGACACTGGCTCAACTAACTGGCAGACAGGTTTATTCACCACGATGGGAAACGGCAGCTACTAGAGAAAGCCAGCTGAATTTCGGACATGTGGTGATTTGCATGCACTGCACCTCCAACCAGACATGTGAATGGGAGATCCAGAGTTGAAAGTGCTTACATCATAAATGCTGAAGCAGCAATCGTAGGTCTGTGGGAGCAAGAGGGGAGAAAACTCAAGAAGAGTGGGCAGAATACGCCATAGTTACGGGTGAAGCCACACAGACTTCCAGGACATAAAGAATGAGCAGAGAGAAGAGCTCCCTAGAAACATGGAAACAAACTCAGGAGAGCCGCATTCTACAACCGAAGGAAGGCAAAGCCAAGCCAGGCTACAGTCACAGTCTTAGCCATCCTGAATGTCACAGGCAAGCCAGGCGCTTCCGGGACAGAGGCCCCTGGATCCGGCAGAGAACAGGCTGTGAGCCATGGTCCAACAGGGTGACTGGGCCACAGGGCCCTGGGATGGAGAGGAGGAGGGAAGAGGTGAACACAGACTTCTCTTCCGGGATAAAGGGTGACACGGAGAAGAGGGTGTGAGCCATGGGGTTCTTCAAGTGTGGCTCCGAACATGGCGACAAAAGCTGACTCGAAAATACTCATTACCACGAACACAGGGTTACATTCCCAACCGCAACTCAACAAATGGTGAGCCCACGTGAACCCCAGGACTTTAGTACGTCCGTGAATTCACTCATAAAAGAACACTGTACAAACGACACGAGTTTAAGACGGCAGCTATTTCATCAAGAAGCACCATGTACTGACCTGCAAAGGCCTGTTTAGTCGATTTCTTTATTTTGTGCTTTTCTAACTTGCTTCCAGCGAGGTTCACCAACTGAGCCCAGACAGACAGCATGGGCTCTGTGAAGGGCAGGTTGTTCACATTAAAGGCCACGGCAGGGAGCTGGAGAGGACACAGAAGCTGTCAGAGTGTGGCCAATACGACTAACAAATGAAACGTTCTGAAAGTCATCAAAACCATGGGCTTAATCCTGAAATGCCACACATACCCGTAAGCCTTTTATAGCTGAGAATAATCATTTTTTAAAATGACATTAAAGGCAGGATAGAGATTTACACATATAATAAGTATAATCTATATTAATTTTTCTTTACAAACCTGTCAACAATAATTACATCAGTGTGGTGGTTACTATCTTCTCAGATATTTTCTATATACTTCAAGTTTTCTACAACGTGTATATATTCCTATAATAATAAAAAAGAGTACTTTATAGAAAATATAGTCAGGCCAGGCACGGTGGCTCACGCCTGTAATCCCAGCACTTTGGGAGGCCGAGGCGGGCGGATCACCTGAGGTCAGGAGTTTGAGACCAGCCCGGCCAACATAGTGAAACCCCATCTCTACTAAAAATACAAAATTAGCCAGGCGTGGTGGCACACACCGTAATCCCAGACACTCAGGAGGCTGAGGCAGGAGAATCGCTTGAACCCGGGAGGCAAAGGTTGCAGAGGGCCGACAACATTGTGCCATTGCACTCCAGCCTGGGTGACAAGAGCAAGACTCCATCTCAAAATAAAAAAGAAAAAGAATATATAGTAAGATTGCACTTGGGCTACATCAAAATAATGTAAATGGCTCCTTCTCCCTGTGCATCCTTGATTCACAGATTAAGATGACAGTAGCTGCTACATTAAGTCACGTCACTCAAAACTACTAAGCATTTTCTACATGAAGAAAGGCTGTTTTTTTAAAGGTGTTTAAACATGTTTGTTTTTTTAAAACTTGAGTTGTTGAATAAAAAGTAAACTTCATAAATTCACATTTTAAAATAATTAGAACTACCTCATAGATGCACGGTACCTTCTAGGTTGCTAAAGCCCTCTTCGTGTCTCTGAGGCTGAAATACACACGAACCACTGCTTTAAGTGCCCTGTGAGACAGGCCCTGCTTACCACAGAAGCACAAGCTCACACAGCTTCCTGGAAGGCAAACTTCAAGTACCAGAATCAAGTTCTTTCAAGTGCTGATGCTGGTGCTCGGTTCTAGTGTAAAGTCAATTTCCCTTATCATGCAGTAACTAAGCACAAGTTCACCTACTGGTTTCAGCTGATTCAATGGGCAAACGCGACACGTCCGCATGTCAGAGAACTGCACGGTGATTTTGCCCTTTGGGGTGATGCGAGTCACAGTGCCTTCTCCAAACTCATCGTGCATAACTTGACCGCCCAGGCGCAGGCGACCATCGATGCCTCCAATCACAGCCAGGACTGCCATGAGGCCCCCCACTTCAGGGTTCTCGGAGTCGGGGAAGTAGTCCTCTAACTGGGCCTAGTGCAGACCAAACAGCGAGCTCGACAGAGACACTCACGGAGCTGCCCAATCCCTACAGGTTCACCGTTGAACTAAATTAATTCTGAGAACACAAACCCACCCCTTCGGAAGGCCTTCCCACAAAGCTGTGGGTGATGGAGCGGAGCTGGGAGTTGATGTACTTGTTGATGAGCCCATTCCACTGAGTCAGGGAGTGCAGCGTGCGCAGCAGTGCCACCACCTCCTCCGCCAGTGTGCTGCTGTGGGTGGCAGTCAGCGAGGCCTGCGGGCGCACCCTGCGCCGCCTCAGCGTGGACTCTGAGGAGGAAACCAGGGGAGAAGCTGCTGCACCGCTCTTCACCAGGGCACAGGGAAAGGAGACGGCTACCCACCTCTAAGTGACGGCACTGCGCCGCTCTTCACCAGGGCACAGGGAAGGGAGACGGCCATGCACCTCTGAGTGACGGCACTGCGCCGCTCTTCACCAGGGCACAGGGAAGGGAGACGGCCACGCACCTCTGAGTGACGGCAGTACACCGCTCTTCACCAGGGCACAGGGAAGGGAGACGGCCACCCACCTCTGAGTGACGGCACTGCGCCGCTCTTCACCAGGGCACAGGGAAGGGAAACGGCCACCCACCTGAGTGACGGCACTGCGCCGCTCTTCACCAGGGCACAGGGAAGGTAGACGGCCACCCACCTCTGAGTAATGGCACGTCAGAGGAGCAGGTAGTGAGCAAGCTTCCCAAGAAGTCAAACAGCTTCTCCACGAGGCATTTCATGTCCCTCGCCCTTTCGGTCTTGTCCCATGATGGAAGGACTGCTTGCAACAAATGCACAGCTAAGATCTGATAAAAGAAAATTTATAACGACAAGCATTAAAAAAAATCTGATGAGGAAACTACAGATTGTTATTTTTTTATTTTTTATTTTTTTGAGACAGAGTCTCACACTGTCACCCGGGCTGGAGTGCAGTGGCACGGTCTCGGCTCACTACAAACTCCCACCTCCCAGGTTCAAACGATTCTCCTTGCTTCAGCTTCCTGAGTAGCAGGGATTACAGGCACCCACCACCAAGCCCGGCTCATTTTTTTTTGGATTTTTGGTAGAGACAGAATTTCACTATGTTGGCCAGGCTGGTCTCAAACTCCTGACCTCATTATCCACCTGCCTCGGCCTCCCAAAGTGCTGGGATTACAGGCATGAGCCACTGCGCCCGGCCTCTCTTTATTTTCTGTTCTCATAACGCAAGTAATCAAGTGAAAATTTTGAGATTCATTATTTTACAGCCAGGTAATTACACTCAAGTTGATTAGTGATTAGGATTGTCAGGAACTTTAAAAAAAGCAACATTACAGATGCATGTGTTTAATTTAAAAAGAATTATTTTTAGTTTAATTCTTAAGACAATTACACTACAAATTCTGTGAAGCAGATGAGTGAGTAGTTGCAGGATTTACCACTTAAGAGAAAAGCAGGTAAACTGAAGGTTAGCAACTTACCAATTATCAAGGACCTCTGCCCCTTGCCTCCAGAAAATCTACCCTGTCACTTCTAGACCCTTTCTGCACTCGTTACTGAATAAAGGCCCCTGACTCTGAAGGCAGGGAACTTCAGTACATGGAGGCCTCTCTCAGGGAACTGGTTTTGCCTGGCAGCACATTACCTGCCTCTGCAGCGAGGTGGCAGTGAAGGGTGCGTGCCCTTCCACGACCTTCATGAGCAGCGTGATCCACTGCGGGGAGCTGAGGGCGCCGCATACCTGCGGCGTGAGAGCGATGCTCCGCACAAACCCCAGCGTGCACCAGCTCCGGTGTTGCTCCCTGTACACCAGCCTGTTTGGAGAAGCTGCAGGAGGGAAAATAGACATGCTTGGTAACAAGTCCCTAAAGACAAATCCCTAAAGATATATCCTTATTTTTTTATCAACTTATTTTATTTTTCTAAAATAAGCTCCTTTACAAATATATTGCAGTTTGTAAATTAATTCAAACTAATTCAAAGTGAGAAGTGGAAGGCAGCTTTTAAGTTAGTTCAAGAAACATTTCTCAATTTTTCTTTTTTTTTTTAGAGAAGGGCTCTCACTGTGTTTCCCAGGCTGGTCTAAAACTCCTGGGTTCAAGTGATTCTCCTGCCTTGCCCTGCCAAATAGCTGGGACTACGGGCATTTTTAAAACCTTCTAAGTATGTGTAGTAAAAGTAGTTAGGGAATTTTAGCTATGCATTGTTTCTAGGCAATAGGAAAACCATCTATAATTCAAATAACAGTACTTTGCAACAGTGCATCTATTATATTTTTAATTTCGTGTTTTAAATATCTCCACAATCTTGCTTATATTTAATCTGCACCACTTAAATATTTTTTTTTTTTGTATTTTTAGTAGAGACAGTTTCCAATCCAAGTTTAATACATCTGCATTAACAAAATGAGTTTTTCACTAGGTTTACACCACTGGATTCTAGCACCAGTGGGCCCACCTCTGCTCCGCCTGGCTCCAGGACTCCACTACTCCCTGAATGGAGGCTGAGGCTTGGAGGCTGGGCCCCCTGAGGGACCCCGCCCACAGCCCCACAGGACCTGCTCTCCCTCCCACCTCCCCCACCCTGCCCTCAGCTATCCAAGCTTATGAGGACACCTGCCTTCCTTCAGCACACTCACATGCGCTCACACACACACACTCACTCTCACACCCTCATATGCATCCTCACACTCACACTGATACTAAGTTATTCAGACACACTCATGGGCACTCATACACCCACCCTCACACTTTCAGGTGCACTCACACCACTGTCGCAATCACTAACACACACACAATCCCAGTCACACGTATGCACAAACAGATGCAAGCTGACACACACTCCCATGCACTCTCACATACACTTACCCCTCCCAATGCATACAAAAACTCACATATGCACTCACACTCCTCAACACTAGTAACGACCGATTACTCACCCACTCACACCTTTACCCACACACTTTCTCACTTTGCACTCACACCTATACTGTTATAACCTCCCATTCACTGACACAAGCAAAATGCTCACATTCACTCACACGCATTCACAATAACATCACTCGTGCTCACACTGACACAAGGCACTCATACACATTTACACAAATGCTCGCACTCAATCGCACACTTACACACTTGTGCTGCCACCCACTCATACTTCCTCACACTCACCAACCCTCACTGACTTACACTGACTTACACTTACACTGGGTGTCTCATTCGCACACCCAGTAATCCCCTCACACTCACTCATGCCTCCCTCATGCTCACCCTCACACACACACTGGCTCAATGCACTGACGCTTTCACTCCCACTTCACCTGAATGTAGTCACCTGCCCACTTACATGCTCTCATGGACACACACCCACACAACCACATGCTACCAACACACCATCACACTTGCAACACAAACGCTCAGCCACTTGCCCATCGACCGCTAACACACTCACTCTCATCAATATGTGCGGACGCTCCAGCACACCACTAATACACGCATGCTCTCACACACACTGGAGGACGCCCACATACCCACCCACACTCACATGTGCTCACTCGCAGTCACATGCACACTCACCCCACTCCCTCAGCTCACATTTCTCATACTTACTCTCCACACAAACACTTTATGGATTAAACTGTGCCTGTCCCCCAACTTCACATACATTCGGAACCTCAGAATATGATCTTATTTAATGAGGTCTCTGTAGACGTCATTAAGGTAAGAATTTAGGTGACATCATGTTGGATTAGAGTCAAAGAAACTCAAAGAGTCCTTTCAGAGACAGAAAAGGACATGCAGAACACAGGGGCAGGGGCCATGTGAAGACGCAGGCAGAGACTGGCACAATGCGTCCCAACACCAAGGAAGCCTGGAGCTCCCAGAAGCTGGACAAAGTAAGGAAGGACCTTCCCCTAGAGCCTGTGGAAGAAGCATGGCCCTGCCCGCACCTGGATTTGGGACTTCTGGTCTCCAGAACTCTGAGAGAACAAATTTGTTGTTTGAGGCCAGTGTTATGGGTTGAATTCAGAATTGCAAAATTCGTATGTTGAAGCCCTAACCCCTATCGTACCTCGGCAGGTGACCTTGTTTGGAAATAGGGTCGCTGCAGCTGTAATCAGTTTGATGAGGTTGAATGATGTCCTTATGAAAAGGGGAGATTTGGAGGCGACTCACACACAGGGAGAATGCCATGTGAAGATGACGGCAGAGATAGGGGTGACACCTCTACAAGCCGAGGAACGCTAAAGAGACCAGTAAACTCCAGAAGCTGGGGCAGAGCCCTCAAGCAGCTTCCCCCTCACAGCCCCAGAAGGAACCACCCTTGATCTCAGCCTTCCAGCCGCCAGAACCGTGAGAATTTCTACTGTGTAAGCCCCCAAGTTTGTATACTTTGTTACAGCAGCCACAGGAAAGGAATCCACACACATCCACACCCACCCACATGAACACCCAGACACAAGCGTGCGGCCCCCAGCGCTGACTCCCTGGGCCCTCGATCTCTCATTCCATACATGTCTTGTCCGTCGTTCCGCTTTCCACTAACATTCGCAGCAGTCCGCATAAAGTCTTGGTGGCTTCGCTCTGCATGATCTCAGCATGAACTCCAGCAGACAGACAAAGAGTCTGCAGTAAGTTAATAGTGCTGGTAAACATCATTGCAGTGGGGTGAATGTTCCTTTCAGTTTGTTCGGCTTCTAAAAAAAATAATCAAAATTACAAATTATATTCCCA
Source organism: Homo sapiens (assembly GCF_000001405.40). Lineage (NCBI taxonomy): Eukaryota > Metazoa > Chordata > Mammalia > Primates > Hominidae > Homo > Homo sapiens. The sequence goes on from NW_011332701.1 coordinate 352,171, forward strand.
AGTAAAACTGGAAGATAGTCCTGCATATAATTCAACAGCTTTAATATTACATTCTTGTTTTATTGAAGACTTGAATTTTAGTGCAGTTTTAGGTTCACGCAAAATTGAAAGTACAGAGATTTATTTTTGTGTTCTTTTTTCCTTTGAGACAGGCTCTGTCTCCCAAGCTAGAGTGCAACGGCATGATCATAGCTCACTGCAGCTTTGACCTCGCAGGGTAAGCAGTCCTCCCACCTCGACCTCCCAAACTGTCATCTTTTCTGCTTTGGAAAGGGAAACAGATCTTTACAAGAAGAAAAGATGGAACTCAGGATGCACTAAACGTGCACCCTGATCATTTTCTGTTCCCATCTTCCTCAAGAATCTTTTAAATAATAATTCTCGAAACAACATTAGCATATAACTCAGAAGCAATAAATGATTCCAAGGTTTCACTTCTTTAGAAACACAACTTATCAAATGTCAAGCGCTGGTTTCTGATGAGCTGGCTGTGTCCTAGATGAGGACAAAGCACCGGCATCTGTGGAGTGGGGCGACCAGACGCTCATGCAGCCCGCTTGGCTGGCTTTGGGATGAGGAGATGTGTGGCAAATGAGGCCACCCTCTGCCGTGGGGCCACCCCTGCCCAGGCTCTGATGCCTCTGTGGGGAAAGGCCCCAGGCAGGGAGCCAGGCCTGCTTCCTGCAGGCAAGGGAGGCTGAGGGAGGAAGCAGCGACTGGTGTCAGGCAGCATGCTATAGGCTGGATGCTGGCGGCCAGCACCACATCCGCCCTCAGGGACAGGGTTCCAGGTGCCATATACATCGCTCCTAACAGGCCTACGCAGTAGGGAACACTTCTGCTCACACCTGAGGGACCCAGGCCCCAGAAGTGACGTGTCAAAGATGGTGGTATCAGGATCTGAGCTGTGTGCCCCGAGCCCAGACGGTGCGCTATGGCATAGCCTCTTCCAGCCCCCATACCACCTGCTCTCTAGTGAGTACACCTTCTAAGATCTCGTGCTCACTGAAATAGCCATTTCTGAGCCTGATGACACTGTAGCCATGGGGGGCACTGCGGTGCTTCCGGAGGCAGCCCCAGCCTCTTGGATGGTATTACCAAACCCAGCCATGTGAAGCTTCACATGTCTTTTAGGAACAGCTAAGAAATGTCACGAAACCTCCTCCCGCAACCTGGATCTCCACAGATAGGATCTAGCTTTCTTGGTCCACCCCTAAATTCTCACCTCTGCTTCCCTAGAAGCGATAAAGTGCTGACTAACTCCACATTACATGAAGAGTTCAGAGTCAGGGACCACAGAGGAAAGGTAAAGGCAGGTGGCAGGTGGGGTGTGCTTGGGCAGGGGCTCTCACTGGAGGAGGAGGCAATGGACCGAGACCACAGGGCAATTCCACCAGGCCTCGGCTCACTCGCTCAGACACAGGCTCAGCGCCAACCACATGAGACTCACTGGTGGTGCAGCTGCCCCGGCCTGGCCACCACATTCTCAAAGAGGGGCGGGTGCACACATGAGAGTAAAATGCAGAAAGTCAGTTCCAGCCAGATCGCCGGATCCCACAGCCACTCCACACACCTGCATCGGAGGTGCCTGGGAGCTTATTTAAATTGCAGGCTCCGAGGACAGAGCGCCAGCTGCAGGTGCGTCCTGACATCCCATTCTAAGGCCCAGATGACAGTGGTGGCAGCCAGCACCTGGACAGTTTGTGGGCTGCCTTGGACTAAACACCTTCCTGAGTCACCCACCAGAGTCATCCTCTGTGTCCGAATCCTCTGCTGAGGGCTGTGCAGCAGCCGGCAGCTCTGCCAGCTTGAGGTCGTATTTTCCTTCTTTCCCCATCCTGTAGGAGTTGGTGCTGCCTGTGTCCCACTGGACTCTTATCCATCCGTCCTCTCCCAGCTCACCAATCACGCGGCCTAGGCCTGGAGGAGGCCCATCCTGAGAAAGCCAAAGTAGAGATCAGTTAGGAGGGTGCGTAACCTGCCCTGGTCCTTCCATGGCTCCCAGCAGACCTCAGTTAGGAGGGTGCATGCCCTGCCCTGGTCCTTCCATGGCTCCCAGCAGACCTCAGTTAGGAGGGTGTGTGCCCTGCCCTGGTCCTTCCATAGCTCCCACCAGACCTCAGTTAGGAGGGTGCGTGCCCTGCCCTGGTCCTTCCATGGCTCCCACCAGACCTCAGTTAGGAGGGTGCATGCCCTGCCCTGGTCCTTCCATGGCTCCCACCAGACCTGTTAGGAGGGTGCGTGCCCTGCCCTGGTCCTTCCATGGCTCCCACCAGACCTCAGTTAGGAGGGTGCGTGCCCTGCCCTGGTCCTTCCATGGCTCCCACCAGACCTGCCACACAGATGTCGCCATATGCCACCCTGTCTGTCAGGGGCTGTCCCCAGACACAGATTTCACCTCTCCTACAAAATGTGTGCTTGCATCATTTTAAATTAAATGGCATAAAATAACGTGCTCATGCTGCTTTACCAAGGAAGTCGGGGAAATCTCATCTCAATGAGGATCCTCTGAGTCAATGCAGAGACAGGGCTTTGCAGCAAGTCCTGACCCCACAATCCCTCACGGGCCTTGCAAGAGCGGAAACCTGAAACAAGCACCAGCACCTCCACATTCCCTTTGCTTCAGTTTCCCCTGGGCCCCAGGGGGAAGCTCTGTCTCTCACTTCTGCAGGAGAAAGCTGTTTCTAGGATGGATGCTGTCTCCAGACACTGCTATTTCTAAGATGACTGTGACAAAGCCGGGGCTTACCAGCGTGGCTGAGAAAAGCCAGACAGACCATGGGAAGGTGAACACTGCCCTAACTTAGCTAGGGCTGTGGTAAGTGACTTCCACCTGGGGGCACCTGGCAGAGATTTAGAAGAGACCTGCGATGAGGGAAGATGGAAACGTGGCCACAGGCCCATGAAGTAGATCCCTAACTACTGGCTTCAGGGCACTTCGCAGCACATGGCCATCAGCCCACAGGGGCAGCATCTGGGCTTCCTGCCTCAGAGCCTTCACTACACCAACTTTCAGAATGAGATTTACTCTCTTGCTCACTCTCACACTCTTGTTCCAGTGACCCATCAAACTGAGCCTCATGCCAGTGAGTTTCCTGAAAAGAGCTGCCTCTCTTTCCAGACTTGATTCTGCTCAGATGCCCTACTTATGATTCCCTACTTGTGTTCACTCCCTTCGGCTGCTCGGGAACCAACACCTGTGTCATCAATCAACTGACACATCCTGGATTATTCCAATTTCCACCCACCAATATCGTACAGAACTGTGCAGAAGATAACTAATGTGTGGCTAATGTGTTCACATCAAATCTCTGAGTACCTGATCGCCCCATTTCCAGTCCACACCTCTCATGACCCTTGTTCCAATCTTCATCATGGCAGCCAGTTCTGGCCCTGAAACAGGGAGCTGCACAGGAGCCGTTTCCTTCCTTGTTTCTTCCAAAACTGTGGCAGAAGCACCTTGAGCAGAAGCATTCATATCTTCCTCAACGTTGTCACAACTGGGGCCTGATGGAGCGTCAAAAACAATAGCTGAGCCAACAAGTAGCTACAGTGTCCCCTTAATACACACAAAACATTCACAAAGTACTAATGAAGATCGTAATTTTGAACAATCCATACTATATGTTTTATCAATATAATATTATGAATATTTTACTGATATAGGATAAAAAGAAGATAAACGGAAGGATGAAATACATAAATATCCTAGGAAGATATAAAAGATATTAAAATGCTCAGTAAAGCTACTCTCTCTACTTCTAGGAATTACTCCCCCCAAAAAAGCAAAATAACTAAGTTAGAAAGATATTCATCATATTTTTTATTAATAGAAAAACAAAGATAACTACCTAAATATCTAACAGTGGGAAACTAACAAACTTTAATCATGGTTCTGTGCAGAAGACAGCTAACAGCTGGCCCGAGATACAACCTCAGACAGGGTTGCTGCAGGCTGGCCCTCGGCTGGAGTCTGGATCTCAGGAGGGCTCTCCCATTCCCTAGGTAGTAGGTGTGGTTCCCTGTGCCTGAACTGTCTGTACAAACAATGTGGTCTGTGCTGAAACCTGCTTTCCTTGTTCTGGAACTTCGTATGCGCCAGGAAGGGGGTGCCCGTGTGATCAGCCCTAATGGAAACCCTGGGCCTGGAGTCTCTATCCAGCTTCCCGGCAGACAGCACCTGACACAGCTCAGTGCCAGGGCAGTTAAGCTCGTCCTGTGTGGATCCTGTGGAAGCTTGTACCTGCTTTCCTCTGGACTTTACCCATGTCCTTTTTTCATGATTTTGCTCTGTGTGCCTTCACTGTAATAAACTATAGCCCTGAGTTCAACTACATGCTGAGTCTTGTGAGTCCTCCTGGCCAACCATCAAACCTGGGGGTGGTCTTGGAGACCCCTGACAATTGGTGCCCTGGGTGGCTACAGAGTCATCCATAGCACAAAACAGAAGCCGAGCTGCTGTCACCTGAGAGCAGTAAAACTTCCCAATGGATTTGAAAATAGGAGCGCTAACCCCAGGAGAGTAGGCTAGATTTTTAACCCCCCTTTTCCCACTTGCTAAACTGAGAGGGGGTAGGAGTGTGGTTCTGGTAACTCCCTTGATTTTAGTTTTCTCCTCCAGGTGGGCGGGAAAAAGACCCAAACAGTCCCAAAGGTGGGCTTGGGCGGACCAAAAAATGTAAAAAGTTTGTGTTTCTCTCTCTTCCAAGAGAGCAACAAAGGATATTCAATTCCCAGGGCTGGAGCAAAACTTTAGATAAACTAGCAGGGGAAACAGCCTTTCCTTTAGCCTAGCCGCTACTTTAGGGCCCCCAGGAAGGGGCCCCAAGGAAGGGACAGGAGTTGCATTCTAGGTGGATCTCCCAGGAGCCCCTGGGCAGCTATACTGTTAACTCTGTAAAGACTGAATGTATTGCTAAGGACTTGAATAAATTTGCAAGCAAAACTGGGGGAATTTTTCATTTTGCATAGCTTTATGTTTTCTGGCTGTTACATGTGGATGTATACATTAAGCTGGTATAAAATATTATATGCTTATGATTTCTTAAATGACAAGAAGGATACCCTGATCAGGGCAGGCCGCAAATATAGACAGATATTCATGAGACACAACTTCCTTGCTTTTTGCAGCCAGTGGGCCAGATGAAATTTAAACACATGAATACTATCAACAGAACAAGTCCCCATACTTAATGATTTGTGCTGTGATTGTTACTTATTGGAACCTCTGGGAAAAAAGTAGACAACATAAAAAGGCCATTTCTCGATGGAGATATGCTTTTGTAATTTTTAAATGCAACTTTTGGTTGCTAATGAGGCCTCAAGAAATCAGATATAACCCTTACTAGATTATTATTTTCAGCTGTAATACACATATTAAAATATATATTTAACACAACATATAAATATATAAATTAAAAAATTATACACACACACACACACACACACACACACACACAGAGAGAGAGAGAAACAGACAGACAGACAGACAGATAGATAGAAAGATTCCCCCCACCCCCAAGACAGGATTTCACTTTGTCGCCCAGGCTGGAGCCCAGGCTGGAGTGCAGTGGCTTTATCTCCGCTCACTGCAACCTCTGCCTCCCGGGCTCAAGCAATCCTCCCACCTCAGCCTCCCAGGTAGCTGGGACCATAGGCACACACCACTATGCCCAGCTAGTTTTCGTATTTTTTGTAGAGACAGGGTTTCTCTATGTTGCCCAAGTTGGTCTCAAACTCCTGAGCTCAAGCGACCCACCCGCCTCAGCCGCCCAAAGTGCTAGGATTACAGCCTGGCCTGATACATATTTTTGAATGGATTAATGTGAACTCTAAGACTGATGTGATTAAAAGAGCTTGGGAAAACCTTGCTTTTTCACTGTGACTTTGATAACTGGCCCTGCAGCATCTCAGTTTTAGCCAAAGAACACCACCATAAACCAATCAGATCTAATAGACATATACAGAACATCTCACCAAAAAGAGCAGAATACACATTCTTCTCAAGTATACCACAGAACACTCTCTTAGACTGACCAGACCATATGTTAGGCCACAAAGTCTTAAATTTAAACAGACTAAAATCATACAAATTACCTTCTCCAACCAAAATGAAATGAGAAATAAAAAAAAGAAAAGTGGAAAATTTACAAGTATATGAAAATTAAACAACACACAGTAAACAACCAGTGGGTCAAAGAAGAAATCACAAGGGAAATTAGAAAATACTATGAGATGAATGAAAACACAACTACCAAAACTTCTGTGCTGCGCCAAAAGCAGGGATGAAGGGGCAATTATACTATGAAAGTCTGCATTTACAAAAGATGATCTCAAATCAATAACTTAACTCTACATCTGGAAGAACTAAAAAATAACACAATAAAAACCAAAGTTAGGCCAGGTGTGGTGCCTCACACCTGTAATCCCAGCACTTTGGGAGGCTGAGGCAGGTGGATAACTTGAGCCCAGGAGGTTGAGGCTGCAGTGAGCCATGACTGTGCCACTGTACTTCGGCCTGAAGGAAAAGTAAGACCCTGTCTCAAAACAAAGACAAAAACAAAAAAATACAAAGCAGAAAGAAGGAAAC